>NC_000012.12:104732855-105035885 GCF_000001405.40 Homo sapiens | reverse complement strand
TATATATGTGTGTGTGTATACACACACACACACACACACACACACATATATATATATATAGACACACTATATATAGTCCAGGGAGGTTTCCTGCAGGTGAATTAGAAACTGAATTTCTAAAAAGGGAAAATGCACAAAATTCATCAGTCTTCCAAATCCGTCATTTTTGAGTGCCTTCATTTCAAAGATTTCTCAAACTTCTTGTTGAAAAACAGGTATTTCTTTTCATGAGGGGGTTAGAGAGGCTTTCTAAATATTTATGATTTATGGCTGCACGTGGTGGCTTACGCCTATAATCTCAGCACTTTGGGAGGTCGAGGTAGAAGGATCGCTTGAGCCTTGGGGTTCATGACCAGCCTGGGCAACATGGCAAGACCCTGTCTCTACAAAAAAATAAAATTAGCCCAGGGTGGTGTTCACCTGTGGCCCCAGCTACTAGGGAGACTGAGATGGAGGATCACTTCAGCCCAGGAAGTTGAGGCTGCAGTGAGCCATGATCACGCCACTGCACTCCAGCCTGGGCGACAGAGAGAAACACTGTCTTAAATAAATAAATAAATACAAATAAAAAATTTTAAAAATTGTGATTATACAATCTAATGTAGAGATTTTTAAAAGCAAAACTTGGTATACAAGTTATTACATTTAAATGTATAGAATAATCTAGATTTTCTAGGCCAAGGCAGGAGGATTGCTTAAGCCCAGGTGTTGAGTCCAGCCTGGGCAACATAGTGAGACCCTGTCTCTACAATAAATAAAAATAGAAAAAATTAGCTGGGTAAGGTGGTGCACACCTGTAGTGCCAGCTACTTGGGAGGCTAGAGAGAGTGGGACTCTATCTCTAAAAAATAAATTTAAGAAGAGAATAATCTAGATTTTCTTTTATTTATTTATTTATTTATGAGATGGAATCTAGCTCTGTCGCCCAGGCTGGAGTGCAGTGGTGTGATCTCAGCTCACTGCAACCTCCGCCTCCTGGGTTCAATTGATTCTCCTGCCTCAGCCCCCTGAGTAGCTGGGATTACAGGCACCTGCCACCATGCCCAGCTAATTTTTGTATTTTTAGTGGAGATGGGGTTTCACTGTGTTGGCCACACTGGTCTTGAACTCCTGACCTTGTGATCTGCCCGCCTCAGCCTCCCAAAGTTCTGGGATTACAAGCGTGAGCCACCACGCCCAGCCTAGATTTTCTTTTAACACAAAATTTGTTTCTAATGGTACATCTTTATTGTTACACATACATTTTTTTAAAAAAATGCTCAGGGACCAAAAGGGGGAAAGGATAAACAAAATCTCTCAAATCATGCTAAATCAAAACAGAGTATCTCCAAGAAGCTCTCATCACTAACAAGGCCAAGAGGATTGTCTGTGACTTATCTATATTGCCTGCTGTCTTCCAAAAACAACTAACTCCCTCTGTGTACAACTTTATGAGAATCTTGACTTCTCAAATGATGTTAGCAATATTTTCTCTTCTCCCACTGAAGGGCATGGGAGCAGTATTTTTCAACAAAGGAGAGAACTGTATTGCTGCTGGGCGGTTGTTCGTGGAAGAATCCATCCACGACGAATTTGTGACAAGAGTGGTGAGGCACCTTCACATTTACTCTGAGTTGTTTAGAGATTTTGCTTTTACTTGAAAAATCCTACTTCTAGGATTGTTCATGAATTTTCAGGTGTGATAACAGTATTGTGGTTATGTTTTAAAAAAAATCAGTCCCTAGTTTTTTTATAGCTACATACTGGCATACTTACAGATTAAATTATATGATGTCTGAAATTTGCTTCAAAATAACCCCGCAGGACAGGAAATGAGTAGGGGAATAAATTGGCCAGGAGTTGGTAGTTGTTGAAGCTGGGTGATGAGTACATGGGGTTTCACTGTATTATGTGTCTACTTTCACATGTGCTTATGATTTTTTTATAGTAAAAAAGTTAGAGGTTTATATAAAAACCTGATAAAGTATATTGAAGAGCTATGATACCTTACTCTACATTTGTAATATATTAGATCCTTGACATTGTGAGAGTTACGCTCCTAGATTTTTATAAATCTCTAAATAAACTATGAGAGATACACCATGAATCCCCAATTGCGGTTGACATGATAGCATATAATTCCTTCCACTAAAATAACTAGCTAAATAAATAAACATCCCCAGGACATTGATCATGACTCCATAAATATGGGACTAAAAGTCATCTATAGGAGTGTTAAGATGAATTATGTGGCTAAAATAAACTCTAACTTATACTATGTCATTATGAAGGTAGTATTAATCAAGAATTTGCTTATATTTGCAAAACCAGCATCCAGCTATATTTTCCCCAGAGCCAATTCTCCACACCCCAACCCACCAAAAAAACCAAAGGTATTCTTTCTTCATGAGAATGAGTAACAAGGAAGTCATATAGACAGGCAGATGGAGGGCAGTCAGGTAGGCAGTGGCTGCCTCCTGAACATCACAGTGTAATTTAATTTTGTGTCTCACTGAAAGACAGTCTGCAGTGCTATATATCATGGGCTTTCACAATCAGCTAAAAGTTGTTGAAATTTCAAACACTGAGACCAGAAATGTCAAGGATTTGCTATATCAGTACATCAACAAGCATGTTTTACAAACATGCTGTTCATATTCATTCATCAGCAGCATTTCTCAAGCACCTACTTAGTACCAAACACTGCATGCTGGGAATATAAATGTGAACAAGGCAGACATGGTCCCTGGCCACTCAGAACTTCTCATCCAGTGCAGAACCCTGGGGAACGCACTAAGAGATTACGGCCAGGCCTAAATTCAAAGTCATGGACCTGCTGGGTTATAACTCCCATTCTTCTTACCAGAATTGGACTTAACATTAGAAGATGCAGAAGTAGGTTAAGATAACTGAGGAGTGGAAGAGATAATTACAAATACATGTCAGTGATGAACATCGTGCAGTAAAGATTATTTTTCGTCAGAGCATTCTAGTGGGTCATCTGGCATGGCTACACCAGGAGAATTTTACAAAGGCAGTCTGCCACATTTGAGGAGGAAAAAAAAAGATAACAATGTGACCATTTTAGAAATTCTCTTGCCATGAACAGTGTAAGTATGTGATATTAATAAACATTTCAGAACATTAGTTTGCTATTCTTAATGGATTAACATTTAGGATAATTTTCATATAGTGTATGTAGCTTATATTGTGCTAGTAGATAGTGGTTAAGGACTTGGGATTTCAAGTGGAAAAAAGTCTACAGTATTTAGTGGTTGGGTGCACTTACTTAACCCCTCTAGGCCTCAGTTTCTTCTTCTGAGAAGCTGAGGCGGGAGGATCACTTGAGCTTAGAAGTTCGAGGTTGCAGCTGGGCGCGGTGGCTCACGCCTGTAATCCCAGCACTTTGGGAGGCTGATGCGGGTGGATTGCCTGAGGTCAGGAGTTCGAGACCAACCTGACCAACATGGAGAAACCCCATCTCTACTAAAAATACAAAAATTAGCCGAGCGTGGTGGCAGACACCTGTAATCCCAGCTACTTGGGAGGCTAAGACATGAGAATAGCCGGACGCAGTGGCAGGCGCCTGTAATCCCAGCTACTCAGGAGGCTGAGACATGAGAACAGCTTGAACCCGGGAGGCAGAGGTTGCAGTGAGCCAAGATCACACCATTGTACTCCAGCCTGGGCAACAAAATAAGACTCCACCTCAAAAAAAAAAAAAAAAAAAAAGAAGTTCGAGGTTGCAGTGAGCCATGCCATGCCACTGTGATCCAGCATGGACGACAGAGTGACTAAGACCCTGTCTCCAAAAAGGAAAAAAAAAAAAAAACCAACCACCTACCTCCGGTGCTATTGTAAAGACTAAATGACAATACATCTATAAACACCTTAGTATAACACCTACCACTTGGTAGAAACTCCATTATTATTAACAGTGAATTGTGTTTTTATGGACTGGGTAACATACAGGTAGAAGAAATTAAAAAGATGAAAATTGGTGATCCACTTGACAGATCCACTGATCATGGGCCCCAAAATCATAAGGCTCATCTGGAAAAGCTGCTGCAATACTGTGAAACTGGAGTGAAAGAAGGGGCCACTTTGGTGTACGGGGGAAGACAAGTCCAAAGGCCAGGTAAGATCACCTCTGTGGGGGTTTACCGGGTGCCCGCCTTCTTCAGTTGGAATGGACAGCGACAGTTTAAGACCAGCCTGGCCAACATGGTGAAACTTCATCTCTACCAAAAATTAGCCCAGTGTGGTGGCACGCACCTGCTACTGGGGAGGCTGAGGCACAAGAATCACTTTAACCTAGGAGGCAGGTTAACGTGAGCGGAGGAGGCTGCAGTGAGCTGAGATCAAGCCACTGCACTCCAACTTGGGCAACAGACTGAGACTCTGTCTCAAACAAAACAAAACAAAATAAAACAAAGAAGGGGAGACAACTGGATAATATGTGTCTCCTGATGGAATAAAACGTGTAATACACAGTATCACCTATGAAGTGTTCCTGCCAAAAAAGCTTAAGCTGAATCTAATTATACCTTTAAGCCAAGCTTTCTATTCATAAGAACTGCAGTAGGGAGGGAGGAAGGAACAGGAAGTTATTTTTTAGTGGGTATAGAGTTTCAGTTTTATAAGCTGAAAATAGTTAATGAAAATGGATGGTGGTGAAGGTTGCATATTATGAATCTCATAACACTGAGCTGTACACTTAAAGATGGTTGTGATGGTAAATTTCAGTTATGTGTATTTTACCACAATAAAAGTCACTGGGAAAAAGAAGAAATACAAGAGATAGAGAAACAAATATCATCCAAAGGAAGCAATGATTAACCAGAAAGAAAGATAATGTATAAACAACTGACCCAGTCTCTTTAACATGACGATAGCATAAAAAATAAGGGGAAGACAAAATGGGGAAATGTTTTAGAGTAAAAGATCCTTAAGAAATCTAAACACCAAATACAATGTGTAGAAGAATTTGAATCCTAAATCAAACAAACCAACTGTGAAAAAGCTAATTTCTAGACATTAAGGAAATTAAAATATAAACTCTGAATAAAGAATACTTACTAATTTTGTTAAGCATGACACTGTATAGTGGTTATATAAGAAAATATCCTTATTTTTTACAGATGTGTACTGAAATACTGAGGTGTTAAAATTATGATATCTGGAATTTGCTTTAAAATATTTCAATGAGGAAAAGATAAATACAGCAAAATATGGATATTTATTTTACCATTCATTATACTGTTTTCTCTACCTTTACATAGGTTTGACATTTTCATAATAAAGACATTAAAAAATAAGAACCTGGGCATGCCAACACCAAATAGAGAAATGCAACTCTTCTTGGTTTTACTGGGCCAGAGGGAAAGAAAAAATTATAATGTAATTAAGTGAGAGGACTATTAATTGAAAATGACTTAACCTACAGTTGACATTTTTTCTTTGTTTTTTCCAAAAAGGCTTTTTCATGGAGCCGACCGTGTTCACAGATGTGGAAGACTACATGTACCTCGCCAAAGAGGAATCCTTTGGGCCTATTATGGTCATTTCTAAATTCCAAAATGGGTAGGTTCTTCAGACACAATGTAACTTAGGTTTTGACTAGATAAGTCATTTTTCCCCTTTGCCACTGTGCTATATACACAGCATAAGATTAATGAACATGTAATTTTCTACCATAAGAATAATTAACTTAAATAATTAGAAGTTACGCTTTTGCTAACCATCGTAGATCATAGTATATTTTTGCTTTTCAGCTTCAATTAATGGCCAACATAATGGGCTTTTAGCTGAATAAATTTTAGTTTTTCTGCACTTGACATTTGAGATGTCTGTGGAACAAAGTAAATAACTGAGAAATAACAAAACTGGTTTTCACATTTAAATTCCTAGGGTATGCATCTGTGAAATCTTATTTCCCTAGAGAAAGAGTGCTGTTATTATAGGGGATATTGCCCCCCAAAGCTTGATACTCAACTTTTCATGGAAATGTTCATAATCATCATATAATCAACTGTAAATGACATGCTGGCTTGTGATACTACATGAAACTTTGCAAAGAGTTCAGCTTATCGAAGAGGTCCAAGTGCTAACTGAGCTCATAAAACAATACTTAATAGAATGGGGTCTCATGGTATACTGCACAAAATTCTTCAGAATGGCTTTAGATTTATTTCAGCCAATGAGAACTTGAAAAAAAAATAAAGAATAGACTTTCTCGGTCTTTAATAGATATAGTATAAAAGACTTCAGGGGACTATAAGGTGTAGTGAGTAACCTTTGATATATCCATTCAAGGATGCATGCTATGCCATTTCTCATTATACATTCTCCCATGGTGGTGGTGTTAAATGTGCAGACATTAGAAGTCAGGTTTGAGGGAATCTACTGTAACATGGGTAAGTCACAGCCCCTGACCTTAAGGAGTTTATTATCTAACAGGGGAGACAGACAGAGATGACAGTTAGTCCACAGAGGGTCAGAGGCAGGATGGTGCAGTGGGTCAGAGGACCAACTCTGCCTCCTCTCCCCTCACTAACCCTCTGAGCTTGGGCCAGTTACTTAACCACTCTGCACCTCATGCCTGTAATCCCAACACTTTGCAAGGCCAAGGTCGGGGGACAGCTTGAGGCCAGGAGTTTGAGATCAGCCTGGGCAACAAAGACCCTGTCTCTACAAAAATTTTTTTTAAAAATTAGCTGGGCATGGTGGCATGTGCCTGTAGTCCCAGCTACTTCGGAGGCTAAGGTGGGAGGATCACTTGAGCCCAAGGAGATGGAGGCTGCAGTGAGCTATGATTGTGCCACTGCACTGCAGCCTAGGCGACAGAGCAATGCCTGGCCTCTAAAAAAAAAAAAAAAAAAATTTAAGCAGATGGCAGTAATGTTTTCCCGTTTCTAGCATAGACGGGAAAATTTTCAGAACATAAAATGAATCTTTTGCTTTACATTTAATGAAGTTTTATGTCTTCCTAAAAACATAGGGACATCAATAGAGCATTGCAGTGAGCAAATAATAGAGTATGGTTTGGTAACAATGTGTACCTCCTTAGGTCATTCTGAGTATTACTAAGTCAAGTATTTGCTGTTGCTGCTGCCATCAATATATGCTTGTCATTGCTGTAGACATAAACAATGTGCTATGGAGCTATGGTGATATCTTGATAGTCCTCAACGAGAAATGGCATAAAACCATCTTTCTCCCTCTAGTCCATTCTATAAATATTTGGGTCCCTACCATATGCAATGCATCAAGAAGTGTGAGAGTTTTAGCAGAGTCCAAGTTCACTCCAGGTTAGATTCCAGATTTCTTGTGCAAGTTTAAAATTTTGGATAGTCAAGATGCCTTTGAAAATTCCTTCATAAGGCACTACACTGAAACCTGTACTGTCTCAATAAATTCAGCACTCGAATTTTTCCTCCAGTTTTGGAACAGATCCTGTGTCTTTGCTGGAGCACCAGATGAAATACCTGGCTTGGCCAGGCGCAATGGCTCATGCCTGTAATCCCAGCACTTTGGAAGGCCAAGGCAGGCGGATCACTTGAGGTCAGGAGTTCAAGACCAGCCTGGCCAACATGGTGAAATACAAAATCTCTACTAAAAATACAAAAATTATCTGGGTGTGGTGGCATGTACCTGTAATCTCAGCTACTCAGGAGGCTGAGGCAGGAGAATTGCTTGAACCTGGGAGGCGAAGGTTGCAGTGAGCCGAGATCGCACCACTGCCCTCCAGCCTGGGCGACAGAGTGAGACTCCATCTCAAAAAGAAAAACAACAACAACAACCTGGCTTGTATTTGCTGGCCATGTGGTAGAAAATGTGTGCGTTTTTAAGCATTAGGATCACACTAGAAGAAGGTACATACACTATGACAGGCACATTAGAACTCGACTCAACTGAGAAAAGAGTAGGTTCATGTCTTCACCTGCTTGGATGTGTATACAAACTAAGTCAAAAGGCAGGGAAATCACGGGACCTATTTTGTTGAATAAGCACATGTAATCCCACTCACTCGCATTTGACGATGCAACACCATAGCATAAAGAGGTATATGAGACATAAAGTTATCCCTGCCCTCGGGGAACTTTTATCTTCCAATTTATGGAGGGTGAACCATTACCTACAGGAAGAGTTAAGTCAGCACTATATAGTTGGTTCTACCAAAATATTAAGTTTGGAAAAATATGTGCTACCTGATGATAGCTGGCTTTTATTGAACATTTATTGTGTTCCAGGCATGATTTGTTCATTTCATCCTCATGACAACTAGACAGGTCCTTTTATTATTATTTCCATGGTTCGCAATAATAAATGAAGGCGAGGGGAGATGGAGTCATTTACCCAAGGTCACCAGGCAGTCTGGCTGCAGAGCCCTCTCACAGAACCACCCTACTCTCCCACCTCGACAATGGCACTGGTGGGATCTGAAACGGCTTCAGGCACTGAAGGAGGCTTGAACCTTATGTGCAAAATCGGAAGAGATGGAAGGAAATAGGGAGGACACTCTGAAAATCCATCTAGAAGTGGGAGTCATGGGAGAGGGGAGGGAGTGGGAGATCATGAATGAGAACCATTGAAGAAGATTGAATATATGACTTTGGGTCAGATTTTGAAAGGTGTTGCATGATATATATGAAAAATGTAATACTAGTAATATTTTTTTGGGACTTTCTTTTGGTGTGAGCCTGATATTTTCATTTATAAAAATTTAATCAGGCTGGGCGCAGTGGCTCACACCTGTAATCCCAACACTTTGCAAGGGCAAGGTTGGGGGATAGTTTGAGGCCAGGAGTTTGAGATCAGCCTGGGCAACACAGGGAGATGCTATCTCTACAAAAAAATTTTTTTAAAAATTAGCTGAGCATGGTGGCACATGCCTGTAGTCCCCGCTACTTGGGAGGCTGAGGTGGGAGGATCACTTGAGTCCAAGGAGATGGAGGCTGCAGTGAGCTATGATTGTGCCACTGCACTGCAGCCTAGGTGACAGAGCAATGCCTGGCCTCTAAAAAACAACAACAACAAAAACATTTAAGCAGATGGCAGTAATGTTTTCCTGTTTCTAGCATAGATGGGAAAATTTTCAGAACATAAAATGAGTCTTTTGCTTTACATTTAATGAAGTTTTATGTCTTCCTAAAAACACAGGGACATCGATGGAGTGTTGCAGCGAGCAAATAGTACAGAGTATGGTTTGGCCTCAGGGGTTTTTACAAGAGACATAAACAAAGCTATGTATGTGAGTGAAAAACTGGAAGCAGGAACTGTTTTTATTAACACATACAACAAGACAGATGTGGCGGCCCCATTTGGCGGAGTTAAACAATCTGGCTTTGGAAAAGACTTAGGTATGGCTTTACTTTTCTGCTTCACCTTCCCTTTGTTGTCACATCACAGAAAAATCTGCTCTATGTTTCATGACTTGTGTGTGACTTTGAGGGGCATTTCCTACATGGCAGTTATATCTGGGTTTAGAAGGGCATTCGTTTTTTAAAATATTAAACATTTCTATTGAATATACCATACATACAGAAAAGTACACACATTGTGTGGAAAGATATTTCTTTTCAAAAAAGATTAATGTTTGAAAGGAAAAAGAAATTGCAACAATATACTTTAGCTGAAATATGTTTGGTGTTTAATCTGACATTCGGCATGAACTTGGGTTAGCTGTCACGAGACTAAATGGAACCAAGAGAGGCAAATGGGTGGAGAGCAATAACCAGCGAGCTCCAAGAATAAATCCTGTCCTGGAGCTTCTTGGCAGGCTTTCAGAGTCAACACTGAAAAAACCCTGCAATTGGCAGGGTTTTTGGGAGTCTGAGCAATGAGACTTAAGAGTTTGTAAAAAGCCCAAAATGTAATTCACTGTGAGCAGTGACACTAACACCTTTCAAGCAATAGCTTACTTTCAGTGCGAAACACATGCCAGGCCCCATTCTACTTAGCCTGTATAAGCAAAGGCAATTCTCACACGAGCTCAGAGGAATAGGTACTATTATTATCTTATTATACAGAAGAGGACAATGGGGCTCAGAGAGGCTGGGTGAGTTGCCTCAAGTCACAGAGCCAGGCACTGGCAAGAGAGAATTCAAAGGCAGGCGGTCTGGCTGTGGAGCACATCTCTTATTCCCCTCAGTCTGGTACGTTGTTTCAAAAACTGAAATGTTTGTGATTTACTGAAATTACAGTCTGCAAATATAAGTTTAGTTCATTTGGAGTTTTTTTGTTTTGTTTTGTTTTTACATTTTCTCTTTACTAATGACTTTGGCCATGTATTTGCAGCAGTAAAAGTAGCTCTCATTTTAAATTCCATTGGGTGAAGGTAAGGGCTTCCCCCCCAACTTTTCCATGTCTTTAATCTGGTTTTCATGCCTGAATCCAAATCACTGTAGGAGACTTTCTTAGGGAATTTATTATTAGAAAGTGAGGCATCCCTGTTTCACCCATCTTTTGAGAGAGTGTATTTGACCAGCTCCAGGTCTGTTTTACTATAAAATACTACAGTTTTTCTAATAGTTTCTTCCTCCCCCAATTTTAAAACCCCTTAGCCCAGTGGTTGTCAACCTTAGCTGCACAGTGGATTCAAATCACCTGGGAGCTTCAAAAAATACAGATACTGATCTAATTGATCTGGGGTGTGATGTGGGGTCAGGAGTCTTAAAAGCTCCCTGAGTGATTCTAACATGCGGACAAAGTTGACAGCCCTTGTTTTAGCTCAGCTTCCAGAATCACGCACTCATTAGTTTTCCCATGGTATTCAGTGCCCTTTAACCTCTGTAGAGATTGATGACAGTACTGGCTCAAAATAGAAACAGTCAAAGAAAGGCAGACCTATTTATTTTTGCCTAGACAGGTTTCCCTGTGTTTCTAACAAACAATATAAACTGAATTTTCCTTATCTTTAAAATAAGGTTAAACCAAATGATTTCAAACTTTCCTGTGCTCAGTTCTGCTTTAATTAATATAATCCAGAGGACAGTATCCTGGTTACTTCTGTTTAGTTTAAATGGACAAAAAGGCAGAGTCTGTCATCAAGTAGGGAAATAAAAGAGAAGGGTTTTGGTTTGAAGCTGACCAGGCAACACTCTCTGCTCCTTAGAAGGCCTGGTAGCTGGTCTGGGCTGTTACTATTCAAAGTGTGGTCCATGGACCACTAGCATCAGCATCATCAGGGAATGGTTAGCAACACAAAACCTCTGGGCCCACACCAGACTTAATCAGATCAGGATCTGCAACTTAACAGAGTCTTCAGATGGTTAGTATGAACTTCAAAGTGTGAGAAGCACTGGCTTAGGCCACATTCTATTTACTTAGTGACCTGGACACCTACGTATACCTATGTCTGAAGGTCTGAAGACATCACATGTCTGCCTCTGAATGTGGTCTGTCAACTGCTTTTCTCTTCCCTAGGTGAGGAAGCTCTAAATGAATATCTCAAAACCAAGACGGTGACACTGGAATATTAGAGCAACACCATCATCAGGAAAGCCTTGACAGACAGCCCTTTACAACTCTGGACACACTTAAGAAGATTGGGTGTGTTGAGGCAGGAGGTGTCAGCCACAAACCAAAAAATACACAGATGGACCATGAAGAGGGCCAGGCCATGTTAAAGCATTTACACATGTGCCTGAGTATTTTCTAATACACCTTCCAGTGATTTGGAGTTGTTGCATTTTGACTATGTTGTATATCATACGTATTTCTAAAATACCAAGCTGTTTCTCCCCTACCTAGACAAATCTATTCATGGTTCCCATCTTGAAGATGTCAGTACCATGCAGTTATAATACACAAGGTGCATTTATTGGAAACTTTGTATAATATGTACAGGTTTTTAACCTCTGAACTATACATAGGGGGTTATTAAAAAGATTTTCTATAAGTCTTCTAAGGAACAGTATAACCTGTAAGGAATGTGAAGGTAGTTCTTTTTTAGTATTTGGAAATAAGATACATCTTTGTGCCTTTGATATTCCATTTTTTAACCCACTGTGATGGGTGATCAACCTAGAAACATTATCTTGAGTACCTACTAGGTACCAGGTACTATATTATGTTCTGAGGAGTATAGAGAATTTAATGATATGATGGCTGGCCCCCACATAGTTTAAATTTTAGTAAATAGCTTTTGAAGCAAATTTTACATATGATATAGTAGAAGGCTGATCCTGGTCGTATCATACCATCTTCCTATCTATGTAACTTTGGGAAACTCTCGCAACTCCTCTGAGCCTCTGCTTCCCTATGTGTAAAACAGGGATAGTAAATGCCTTCCTCAGGACCCTTAATAGGAGAATTCATTGCAGTAATGTAAGTAAAGCACCTCACATTAATGCTTTGCTCATGGTAAGTACTCAAATTTAACTCTGATTTCCTCCGTCACCATTCTTAAAAGATATTGAGATAGTTTAATTAACTAGATGAATTCATTTCCCACAACCCTTTTCAATCATCAATTCCTAGATATTTTTCTCATCCATTGTTCTGACACAATGCCTGATACAGCAGCACTGAAAAATGCCACACAATGAAAAATGGCAATAGTACAAGGAAAAGGGGTGCTTTTCTTTGGGCAGCTCGCTCGTCCTTCATGGGACATCTTACTTTCCATTTTTCTACCTATTGGTTCTGCTGTTCACTGGCTGTGTGATCTTGGGCAAGATAGTAATCTAATATCTCAGAGCCTAGGTTGAGTATCTATAAAATGAAAATCAAATCTCTATCTCAGTAGGTGTTGCAAGGATTCAGTGAGATAATATACATAATGCACTTAACAAGGCGTTTGGACCATAGCATTGAAGAAATGGAAACTATTAACAGCCCATTTCCCATTGGCAGACAGAAGTAGTCAGGTGAGTAAATTTTCACCATCTATGTGTGACTAGAAGGCGGCAAATTTCTGAATCACATGAGTCTCCAAAAGATAGCCAGAAAGTTAAATTCTATTAATCCTCCTTTAAAAATAAAATTTCAGTAAACATTCCTTTTTCTTTGGCTTTGAAGAAGCCTTAGGGAATATTTGTCATTTTGGAGACTTGGCAGAATAACATGAGGGGATTGTAGGGAATCAATAAAAACTAAACAACAAAATCAGAGTCAGAGAACATTTTCAAAAGGAAGAATAGGAGGTTTGATCCCAGCATGATAAACAGAGCGAATTTGGCCTGGAAGCACTTTTGATTATACTATAGCTCATTTACCATCCCAGAGTTTGGCACAGCTGAAATTTTAAGTTGGAATGAATATTCACTGGGCCCAAAATGACAGTTCATATTTGAATAAAAGTGACAAAAGCCTTTTTATAAGTAATCACTTTTAAGTGAAATGTTTTAACTGATTTCATGTGATTTAGAATATGATTTAATCAAATTATTTTAATGATAGATGGAATGGCAGACAAAAACATGCCTGTCCTTCTAGACTGATTTTACTTTACCCTCTAATATTCATCTCAGTAGCAGTGTTTTAAATATTCTCTGGGCTGCAAAACTCTTTGGGAATCTGATAAAAGCTATGAACACTCCCTGTGTCCCGCTTCTACCCCCAAAATTCATGTGCACACACACAATTCTGCAAGTATCTTCAAAGGGTTCACAGACCTCCCAAAGGCCATGCTTGGGCCCCAGATTAAGAACTCCTTTCTCCATAGCAAGTTTTAAACATTTCTTACCAGCTTACATTTTTAGATCTGGCTGATCAGAATCAAAGGCTCTGTGTAATACATAAAGTTACCAAGTGAACTGGAATTGGAACATCACCCTCCCCAGCCTGCTAGGTGATTTACTTAACACATAGAGTAATAAAATCATCGCTGTTGCTTTAGATCACGGATTATTTTGCTAATAATGCTAAGGATGAAGCTGTGATCTTATTATCACCTGAATCGGGAGGTGTGGACACTTTAAGCAGTTCCACTTTCCTTCTAATTCCCCATCCCCATGCCTTTGCTAAAGCTGTCCCTTTTGCTCTAACACCCTTCCTGGACCTTCCTACCCTAGCTGGGCTAAGTGTTTCTCCTCAGCGTTCCCACTTGTTTCAAACATAGCACTTACCACTTGTACTAAAATTACTTGCCTTCTTAATTAGATATGAACAACCCTCCCCAACTCCAGTATGGGCCTTCTGTCAATAATAATACGATATGACAGCTACCATTTATTAAGGGCCTCCTGTATGAAAGACCTTAGGCTAAGCATGTTTTAAATGTTATTTAATCTTCACAATCTCTGAAAAAAATGAAGAAATCAACGTGCTTTTCTTACTACCTCTACCCCTAAGCCATTATTACTTTTTTTTTTTTTTGAGACAGAGTTTTGCTCTTGTTGCCCAGGCTGCAGTGCAGTGGTGCAATCTTGGCTCACTGCAACCTCTGCCTCTTGGGTTCAAGCGATTGTCATGCCTTAGCCTTCCAAGTAGCTGGGATTACAGGTGTGTGCCACTACACCTGGCTAAGTAGAGATGGGGTTTCGCCATGTTGGCCAGGCTGGTCTTGAACTCCTGACCTCAAGTGATCCACCTGCCTCCGCCTCCCAAAGTGCTGGGATTACAGGCATGAACCACTGCACCTGGCCTGTTACCTCTTTCCTACAATTTTGCTCAAGTCTCCCAACTGGTCTTCTGGATTCCTCTCTTCTGCGGTCCTGTTCAAAGCTTAAGTCAGACAGTGTCACTTCACTCGTCTGTTTAAAACCTTTCAATGGCCCCCATTTCACGTAGACCAAAGTCCAACGTATTTACCTGGCCTACTGATCTTGCTCCTAGCTACCTCTGACCTCATCTCCTGTCAATTTCCCTCTCATTCTGTTCCACCATCCTGACTGCCTTGACTTCCTCAACAGAACAAGCCTGCTCCTGCCTCAGGGCCTCTGTCCTTATTCTTCCTCTTCCCAGGGGTGTGCTGGTAAAATATTTAACAAATAGTTCTCCGGGACGGGGGAGAAAACCCTCATTTGTAGCATTTGCAGGTATCTATGTGTAAATACTCTCATCAAGGCTATTTTTGAGCCACTAATTTGCCTTCACTGAATACAGAGTTTGGGAAGAGATGCATGCCATCAGAACAAATGCAAGCCAGCACCAGCACACCACTGCCTCTTCCTGCAACTCTTGTCCATACACAACCTCATGGCTGGCTGGCTCACTTCCTGCAGGTCTCTCCTCAAATATCATCTGATGAGAGACACATTCCCTGACTATGCTTTCTAAAATAGGCCATATGCCCCCACATTCATACCCCATCTGCTGTCATTCTTTATTCTTTTTATAAGTGCATTATTTTCATAGCACTTATCACTACCTGTTGTATATTAATCAATGATCTTTTCCCATTAGAATGTAAGTTTCATGAACAGGTACTTGTTTTAATACTGTATCTCCAGTCCTAATGTGTAACAGGAGCCCAATAAATGTTTGCTTTCAAATGGAGAGGTTAAGTAACCTGCTCAAATCACACAGCTATTAAGTGGCAGAACAGGTTTTCAAGCAATGCATCTGGTGGTTTTAACTAAGTCGAGATAGTTTTTATTCCTAATGCCTAAATCAGGGCCTAGGTAGTGAGCTGTGGGCACATATTAAGTATTGGTTAAACTAAAAATAATAAGCAAAATGGACATTATCTATAAAAGCTTTTGTGGAAATGGCTAGAGCTAGGGTAAGGAAACAAATTTGGTTCCCCATACCTGCCCTCCAAGAAAATAAAGCTGTCAAGGAAAATCTGGGCTAAGAGTAGGATATGAGGGATGATGGATAAGGCATGAGACATGAGAAATAAGGGGGATTAAATTATTATTACTATTATACAAATGATGCCTGAGTAGATTTTTAAAATGATTAAATACCCAATGATGTAAAAAACATTTATAAAATAGGAAAGTAAGACTGACTCAACCATAATTTGTTGAGTCAACCCAAAAATCTATTTGGTTATTTTCAAACAGAAATAGCCTACAGATGATATCTGAGATTGTTCCAAACTTTTTCTATGAATATGTATACTTTTTTTACATAATTAACATAATACTGTATATTAATTTGTTACCTGCTTTTTCAATTAACAATATATCATAAGCATCTATGCCAATAAACACAATTCTGCATATTTCAATGGCTTTAATTCAACATGTTGTCTATCGTCGGACATTTAGATTTGCTTTTTGCTATTTTAAATGTCACAAAAAATCTTATATAAAATTTATGACCAAAGCTACACTTATGTAATTAGAACAAATACCTGGAAGTGGAATTCCTGAATCAATAATCCCACCAACAATTTTCCCACATCTTTGCCAACATTGTGTATTACAAGTTATGCAATTAGTATCTCTATGCCAATTTTCTCAGCTGTGAAGTGAATATAAGCATATCTCACAAGGTGATAGGCTTTTTTGAAAAAAAAATAAGGAAATTTATTCTGCCACCAAAAACAGAGCCCAGCAATAGTGCAGTATACAAGTTATTTGATGCAGTGACTCTATAATGTTCTTTGCTCTTGTCTGCTATCTGTAGTGTGCTCACTTTACCCTCAAGAGCTGGCTCCATTCATGGCCACGAGAAAGGAGTTCCAGGAATCATATCCCATCATAATGATAGGGACAGGAGGCAGGAAAATTCTGAGCAGAAGAGGATGGGTCCCCAGCGAGGGCCCCACTCTTAAGCGTGGAACCACAGCCCAAAATGAGAACATGCATTCCCATTTTCCTGCTCGAATGTTGCCTTTTCCAAAACTATCCATGGCCCGCCCTACCCCAATCCTGTGCCCACAAAAACCCCAGCCCCTGCAAGTAGAGAGAGGAGAAGAGGAGCAGCAGCTGGCCGTCAAATACTACAGTTGGATGTTGGAGAGAAGCAGCTTGACTTCAGAGGGACAGCTTGACAGTGTTGCTTCAGAAAGGAGCCCAGCCAGGCCAGGGACAGCTGGACTCCGGGGGAAGATTATCTTCCCATTCTGTCGCCTTTTCAGCTCCCCTTCCCGCTGAGAGACGCTTTCATCGGCAATAAAATCCCCTGCATTTACCCTCTCCAATTTTCATGCAACCTCATTCCTCCTGGACGCTGGACAAGAATTTGGGTGCAGGTGCAAAAGGCTGTCACGCTGACCCTCCACTGAGCTGTTAACATTTAAGCCATCTACAGACAGTAAAGCTAAAAGAGCATGGACTGTAACCCTCTTTCTGGGGCTTCAGGGGTCATAGGCAGCCCCCTAGATGATGCCATGAGGCCACATGGAGTTTTGCTTCTGCCAGTGCCCAAAAGCACTCACCCGGCTCCTGCACCCACTCACCTGTACTCACCTTCCTGCAAGGGGTGGGACACAGTGGGACAGAGTGAGTGGAGTCTGCCCCTTCTGGCACTGAAGCAGCTGGCTAGTTCTAGCGCCTGTGCACTCCAGTTCCCACCCATGAAAGAGTCAGGGAAAATTTCCTGCCTCGCTATCTTGTCCTTTCTTCCAAAAGAAAGGAATCATTTTGTCATGTGCCTCCTTTCTAGGAATGAGAAATACAGTCATGTGCCAGATTCCTTTTGAGCAACGCAGCATTAGGCGATTTTGTTGTGTGAACATCACAGTGTACTTACACAAACCTAGATGGTATAGCCTACAACACACCTAGGCTGTATGATATAATCATCTCGTCATGTGCCTCCTTTCTAGGAATGAGAAACACAGTCATGTGTCGCATGATTTCTTCTGAGCAATGCATCATGAGGTGATTGTGTCATGTGACTATCATAGTTTACTTACACAAACTTAGATGGTATAGCCTATGACATGCCTAGGCTGTATGATACAGCCTATTGCTCCCAGGCTACAAACCTGTACAGCATGTTACTCTACTGAATACTGTAGGCAACTGTAACACAACAGCAAATATTTGTATATCTAAAAATATCTAAATATAGAAAAGGTACGGTAAAAATATAGCATTATAATCTTATGGGACCACTGTTGTATATGTGGTCCATCGTTGACCAAAACATCATTACGCAGTGCATGACTGCACTTTCCTTCCCAAAAGTCTACAGACTTTCCACATGCCTCGCTGGTTAGGCTCACATCACGTGCCCATTCCTAAACCAGTAACTGGCAAGAGTTTTCCATGAACAGATGGTGGGGAGTCAAACACAAAGATTCCAACATTAAAACTTTTGGGAAAAGTCTACAGATCATACATATCCTGTATTTTTGCTTCAGGATTTTGACCCAGGATTGTGAACTGATGTTTAAGCTGAATTATTTTGTTGACATAAAGAGAAGGAAACAATAGTCAGTTTAATGAACATTTATTATATATTCCAACTGAGTGAAAGGCACTATGCTAGGCAGTGAGAGAAATACAAATGAAAATAAGACTCAACCTCTTTTCTTACATTTTTTTTTTTTTTTTTTTTTTTGAGACAGTCTGTCTCTCTGTCACCCAGGCTGGAGTGCAGTGGCATGATCTTCGCTCACTCCAACCTCCACCTCCTGGGTTCAAGCGATTCTCCTGCCTCAGCCTCCCAAGTAGCTGGGATTACAGATATGCACCACCGCATCTGGCTCATTTTTATATTTTTAATAGAGACAGGGTTTCTCCATGCTGGCCAGGCTTGTCTGGATTCCTGACCTCAGGTGATCCACCCACCTTGGCCTCCCAAAGTGCTGGGATTACAGGTGTGAGCCACCATGCCTGGCCTTTTCTTACATTTCTTATCACGGTCATGGATACAGGCAGAGTAACACAAACTATCCTGCTAGGCAGTTTTTAAAAATAAGTACCATATTTGATGCGCAATTAAAATGTTATTGGAACAGATGGGAGATTTATTCAGAATGAGATTTTTGCTTCAAAAGCCATTACACCTAATTTTCGGATCTGTAACTGTCACAGAGCCATAGAAAGACGGTACGCCACAAGTTTGAAGAGAACATTTCACTCATTTTAGGAGTGCAACTGCTCTCCAAATGCCAAACTGCCATCAACTCACACCTAAGCATCAGGGTAAGCAAAGAGTTGGACAACCAAAGCACAACAGTGATGCACTTTCCACACACTGTAGGGCAAACTGCTTACAAACAAAACAACTTTTATATAAGGCCATAACATACTGATATGTTTTGGCTGTGTCCCCACCCAAATCTCATCTTGAATTGTAGCTCCCATAATTCTCACGTGTTGTAGGAGGGACCTGGTGGGAGGTAACTGAATCATCGGGGCGGGTCTTTCCTATGCTGTTCTCATGTGAATAAGTCTCACCAGGTCTGATGGTTTTATAAAGGGGAGCTCCCCTACACAAGCTCTCTTGCCTGCTGCCATGTAAGACATGACTTTCTACCCCTTTACCCTCTACCATGATTGTGAGGTCTCCTCAGCCATGTGGAACTGTGAGTCCATTAAACCTCCTTTCCTTTATAAATTACCCAGTCTCGGGTATGTCTTTATTAGCAGTGTGAGAACAGACTAATACGCATACATACAATAAAGTCCTCAAAAGTTACATTTACAACTCCATTAGCCTTTACATATGTATGAGTGGTGGTAACTCTTAGACTAGTAGCTAACACAGAAAGGGCTCAGTAAGTACCAGCTACTGTTGCATCTGCCAATTTGACAGGTGAAGAATGCAATCCTGATTTCATTTGCATTTCTCTGATAAATGGAGTTGACCCTTTTTCTGTGAATTACTTCTTCATTTCCTATAGTCTTTTCACTACTGAGATATCCGTCATTTTTTTCTAAAATGTAAAAGCCCATGATATATTAATGACACTCTGTCATGTTTCAGATATTTTCCCCAGTATTTCCCTTATCTTTTGAATTTATTTGCAACACACTAGTTTTTAATATTTATGGGGATGAATTTTCCACTCTTTTCCTTTGTAATTTTAGGCTTTGATGTTATGCTTTTTAAAAAAAAAAAAAAAAACCTTTCTTGACTATTTTACTAAATATAAACCTGCATTTCGGTATGGAACTCTTATAATTTCTTTTTTTACATTTAAATCCTTAATCCATATATAATTTATCTTTGCATATGATATGAGGCTAGAGAATCTAATCTTGTTTGAAATAGCTGGTTCTGACATTATTTATGAATAATTCATCCATTTTACCAGATTATACAAGTAGTCTTATCCATGGGGGATACATTCCAAGACCCCCCAGAGGATGCCTGAAACATTTGATAGAACAGAACCCTATACACACTGTTTTCAATCTGAGAATCCAGATGGCTGCTAAGTGACTAAACGGTGGGTAACATATACAGCGTGCATAAGCAGGACAAAAGGACAATTCACATCCCAGGCGAGACGAAGTGGGACAGCCTAAGATTTCATCACATTATTCAGCAACTTAAAACTTATGTATTATTTCTGGAATGTTCCATTTAATATTTTTATATTGTGATTGACTATGGGTAGCTGAAACCATGGAAAGCAAAACTGACAATAACAACTGTACTTGAAATTACATCTTCATATTCTCCTGCCTGGAACCGTCTATGATAGCTTAAAGTCTCCTGTATACCTTCATGCATCCATTTAATCCATTTATTATCATTATTCCATGCCTACTGTGCACCACACACTATGCTAAGTAGTGAAACAGACAAATGCAACTGTTCACACAAGGTAGCATAGCATCCAGTGGAAGAAAATCTTTAAATAAGTACCTATGCCAATAACTCATCACGGCTGTGTACAGTTCTGGTGTACTCTTTCCAGCTGAAAAAATCTTGTTTCAGATCTGCTCATTTCTTTACACATTTAGCGAGTGAGTCACAGTCAAGGAGAGCTGGTTCCAATTTCCAATAAGAAAGATCAGAAAGGACCTGGATAATTATCTTCACAGCAATCACAAGAAGACTCAGGCCAATGTGAAGAATTGGAAAGAACAGAATTCAAAGAAAACCCGAAAACATTAGCAGACAAAGTTCCATCAGCTCTGCCCACTCACAGATAGTCCTTAAATTCTCAGGCCTCTTTCCTGAGCAAAAGTCAGGCTCATGGCAGATGAGATCCCAAATAAACTTAATAAAACCAAGAATAGGGCAGAAAGGCAACTCCAGCCTGAGGTCATTTTGACCTTTGGAAGGGAAAACCAGCTGTCGCCTTTCTTTGTACTATGCCCTCCAAATTTTGCTGTGATGTCCCTATTTTCTACATTTGATAGGTTTCAGGCTGTGGGCAACTGTGTGGAACAGTTTTAATAGCTGAGATAAGAAGTTTTGCTTTACAAAAAAAAAAAAATCAACTAAAAACTGATCTTTCCAACCAGTAAATTCTGCATGCATTGTATGACTGCACTGTCACCAACAGTGATTACACTACAAGCATCAGTTTTCCAACTCAAACTAGAAAGGAATTCTTAAAATAAAAATAGGTATGTTTGAGAATAGCTAAATACAGGTGACACTTGAACAACACAGATTTGAACTGTGTGGGTCCACTTATACATGGATTATTTTCAATAAATATATTTTTAACATTTTTGGAGATTTGTGACAATTTGAAAAAATTCACAGATGAACTGCATGGCTTAAAAAAAATTAAAAAGTTAGGTACGTCAAAAATGCATTAAATATATGTAGATACCAGTCTATCTCATCATTTCTACCATAAAAAATATATAAATCTATTATAAAAAGTTAGAATTTATCAGCACTTACCCACACAAACACTTATAGACGGTACCTAGTACCATTTGCAGTTGAAAGAAATACAAACAAATGCAAAGACACAGTATTAAATCATAACTGCATAAAATTAACTCTAGTACTGTAATAACTTTGTGGTCACCTCCTGTTGCTATTGCGATGAGCTCGTGTTGCAAGTATCTACTCACGATACCATGTGACACTAATCATCTCTGTGTGAACAGTTCCTCTCTGCAGTAAATTGCCTATCACAGTAAAAAGTGATCTCTCGGCTGGCTGGCAAGATGGCCAAATAGGAACAACTCCGGTCTGCAGCTCCCAGCGAGATCAACGCAGAAGGCAAGCGATTTCTGCATTTCCAACTGAGGTACCCAGCTCACCTCATTGGGACTGGTTAGACAGTGGGTACAGCCCATGGATGGGGAGCAGAAGAAGGGTGGGGTGTTGCCTCACCTGGGAAGCACAAAGCGTTAGGGAACTCCCTCCCCTAGCCCAGGGAAGCCAAGGGAAGCCAGGGAACTCCCTCCCCTAGCCAAGGGAAGCCATGAGATACTGTGCCGTGAGGAACGGTGCACTCCGGCCCAGATACTATGCTTTTCCCACGGTCTTCACAACCCGCAGACCAGGAGATTCCCTCGGGTGCCTACACCACCAGGGCCCTGGGTTTCAAGCTCAAAGCTGGGTGGCTGTTTGGGCAAACACCGAGCTAGCTGCAGGAGTTTTTCTTCATACCCCAGTGGTGCCTGGAACACCAGCGAGACAGAACCGTTCACTCCCCTGGAAAGGGGGCTGAAGATAGAAAGCCAAGTGGTCAAGCTTAGCAAATCCCACCCCCACAGAGCCCAGCAAGCTAAGATCCACTGGCTTGAAATTCTCACTGCCAGCACAGCAGTCTGAAGTCAACGTGGGACACTTGAGCTTGGTGGGAAAAGGGGTGTCCACCACGACTGAGGCTTGAGTAGGCAGTTTTCTCCTCACAGTGTAAATAAAGCCACAGGGAAATTCAAATTGGGCAGAGCCCACCACAGTGCGGCAAAGCAGCTGTGCCTAGACTGCCTCTCTAGATTCCTCTCTGGCAGGGCATCTCTGAAAGAAAGGCAGCAGTCCCAGTCAAGGGGATTATAGATAAAAGTCCTATCTCCCTGGGACAGAACACCTGGGGGATCGGGTGGCTGTGGGCGCAGCTTCAGCAGACTTAAACATTCCTGCCTGCCAGCTCTGAAGAGAGCAGATCTCCCAGCACAGTGCTCAAGCTCTGCTAAGGGACAGACTGCCTCCTCAAGTGGGTCCTTGACCCCTATGCCTACTGACTGGGAGACACCTCCCAGCAGAGGTTGACAGAAACCTCACACAGGAGATCTCCAGCTGGCATCTAGCGGGTGACCCTCTGGGAGGAAGCTTCCAGAGGAAGGAACAGGCAGCAATTTTTGCTGTTCTGCAGCCTCTGCTGGTGATACCCAGGTAAACAGGGTCTGGAGTGGACCTCCAGCAAACTCCAGCAGACCTGCAGCAGAGGGGCCTGTTAGAGAAGGAAAACTAACAGAAAGGAATAGCATCTACATCAACAAAAAGGACGTCCACACAGAAACCCCACCCAAAGGTTACCAACATAAAAGAGCAAAGGTAGGTAAATCCAGGAAGATGAGGAAAACCCAGCGCAAAAAGGCTGAAAATTCCAAAAACCAGAACACCTCTTCTCCTCCAAAGGATCACAACTCCTCACCAGCAAGGAAACAAAACTGGACAGAGAATAAGTTTGACGAATTGACAGAAGTAGGCTTCAGAAGGCAGATAATAACAAATTCCTCCGAGCTAAAGGAGCATGTTCTAACCCAATGCAAGGAAGCTAAGAACCTTGAAAAAAGATTAGAGAAATTGCTAACTAGAATAACCAGTTGAGAGAAGAACATAAATGACCTGATGGAGCTGAAAAACACAGCCCAAGAACTTCGTGAAGCATACACAAGTATCAATGGCCTAATCGATCAAGTGGGAGAAAGGATATCAGAGATTGAAGATCAACTTAATGAAATAAAGCGTGAAGACAGATTAGAGAAAAAAGAATGAAAAGGAACAAAGCGTCCAAGAAATATGAGACTATGTGAAAAGACCTAGCCTACGTTTGATTGGTGTACCTGAAAGTGACAGGGAGAATGGAACCAAGTTGGAAAACACTCTTCAGGATATTATCCACGAGAACTTCCCCAACCTAGCAAGACAGGCCAACATTCAAATTCAGGAAATACAGAGAACACCATGAAGATATTCCTCGAGAAGAGCAACCCCAAGACACATAATCATCAGATTCACCAAGGTTGAAATGAAGGAAAAAATGTTAAGGGCAGCCAGAGAGAAAGGTTGAATTACCCAAAAAGGGAAGCCCATCAGACTAACAGTGGATCTCTCTGAAGAAACCCTACAAGCCAGAAGAGAGTGGGGGCCAATATTCAACATTCTTAAAAAGAAGAATTTTCAACCCAGAATTTCATATCCAGCCAAACTAAGCTTCATAAGCGAACGAGAAATAAAATCCTTTACAGACAAGCAAATGCTGAGAGATTTTGTCACCACCAGGCCTGCCTTACAAGAGCTCCTGAAGGCAGCACTAAATATGGAAAGGAAAAACTGGCACTAGCCACTGCAAAAACATACCAAATTGTAAGGACCATCAACACTATGAAGAAACTGCATCAATTAATGGGAAAAATAACCATCATAATGACAGGATCAAATTCGCACATAACAATATTAACCTTAAATGTAAATGGACTAAATGCCCCAATTAAAAGACACAGGATAAAGAGTCAAGATCCATCAGTCAAACTGGATAAAGAGTCAAGACCCATCAGTGTGCTGTATTCAGGAGACCCATCTCATGTGCAAAGACACACATAGGCTCAAAATAAAGGGATGGAGGAATATTTACCAAGCAAATGGAAAGCAAAAAAAAAGCAGGGGTTGCAATCCTGGTCTCCGATAAAACAGACTTTAAACCAACAAAGATCAAAAAAGACAAAGAAGGGCATTACATAATGGTAAAGGGATCAACCCAACAAGAAGAGCTAACTATCCTAAATATATATGCACCCAATACAGGAGCACACAGATTCACAAAGCAAGTTCTTAGAGACCTACAAAGAGACTTAGACTCCCACACAATAATAGTGGGAGACTTTAACACCCCACTGTCAGTATTAGATAGATCAACAAGACAGAAAATTAACAAGGCTATTCAGGACTTGAACTCAGCTCTGGACCAAGTGTGCTTAATAGACATCTACAGAACTCTCCACTCCAAATCAACAGAATATACATTCTTCTCAGCACCACATCACACTTTTTCTAAAATTGACCACATAATTGAAGTAAAACACTCCTCAGCTAAATGCAAAAGAACGGAAATCATAACAAATGGTCTCTCAGACCACAGTGCAATCAAATTAAAACTCAGGATTAAGAAATTCACTAAAAAATGCACAACTATGTGGAAACTGAACAACCTGCTCCTGAATGACTACTGGGTAAATAACGAAGTTTAGGCAGAAATAAATAAATTATTTGAAACCAATGAGAACAAAGACACAACATACCAGAATCTCTGGGACACAGCTAAAGCAGTGTTTAGAGGGAAATTTATAGCACTAAATGCCCACAGGAGAAAGCGGGAAAGATCTAAAATCGATACTCTAACATCACAATTAAAAGAACCAGAGAAGCGAGAGCAAGCAAATTCAAAAGCTAGCAGAAGACAAGAAATAACTAAGATCAGAGCAGAACTGAAGGAGATAGAGACACAAAAAACCCTTCAAAAAATCCACGAATCCAGGAGCTGGTTTTTTGAGAAGATTAACAAAATAGATAGACCACAAGCCCAATTAATAAAGAAGAAAAGAGAGAAGAATCAAACAGACACAATAAAAAATGATAAAGGGGATATCATCACTGATCCCACAGAAATACAAACCACCATCAGAGAATACTATAAACAACTCTATACAAATAACTATAAACACCTCTAGAAAATCTAGAAGAAATGGATAAATTCCTGGACACATACACTCTCCCAAGATTAAACCAGGAAAACGTTGAATCCCTGAATAGACCAATAACAAGTTCTGAAATTGAGGCAGTAACTAATAGACTACTAACCAAAAAAAGCCCAGGACCTGAAGGATTCACAGCAGAATTCTATCAGAGATACAAAAAGGAGCTGGTACCATTCCTTCTGAAACTATTCCCAACAATAGAAAAAGAGGGACTCCTCCCTAATTCATTTTATGACACCAGCATCATCGTGATACCAAAACCTGGCAAAGACACAACAAAAAAAGAAAATTTCAAGCCAATATCCCTGATGAACATCAATGCAAAAATCCTCAATAAAATACCAGCAAACTGAATCCAGCAGCACATCAAAAAGCTTATCCACCACAATCAAGTCAGCTTCATCCCTGGGATGCAAGGCTGGTTCAACATACACAAATCAATAAACATAATCCATCACATAAACAGAACCAATGACAAAAAGCACATGATTATTTCAATAGATACAGAAAAGGCCTTTGATAAAATTCAACACCCCTTCATGCTAAAAACTCTCAATAAACTAGGTACTGATGGAACATATTTCAAAACAATAGGAGCTTTTTATGACAAACCCACAGCCAATATCATACTGAACGGGCAAAAGCTGGAAGCATTCCCTTTGAAAACCAGCACAAAACAAGGATGCCCTCTCTCACCACTCCTATTCAACATAGTATTGGAAGTTCTGGTCAGGGCAAGCAGGCAAGAGAAAGAAATAAAGGGTATAAAAATAGGAAGAGAGGAAGTCAAATTGTCCCTGTTTGCAGATGACATGATATTTAGAAAACCCCATCATCTTAGCCCAAAAACTCCTTAAGCTGATAAGCAATTTCAGCAAAAGTCTCAGGATACAAAATCAATGTGCAAAAAATCACAAGCATTCCTATATACCAATAACAGAGAGCCAAATCATGAGTGAACTACCATTCACAATTGCTACAAAGATAATAAAATACCTAGGAATCCAACTTACTAGGGATGTGAAGGACCTCTTCAAGGAGAACTTGCTCAAAGAAATCAGAGAGGACACAAACAAATGGAAAAACATTCCATGCTCATGGATAGGAAGAATCAATATCGTGAAAATGGCCATACTGCCTAAAGTAATTTATAGATTCAATGCTATCCCCATCAAGCTACCATTGACTTTCTTCACAGAATTAGAAAAAACTACTTTAAATTTCATATGAAACCCAAAAAGAGCCCATATAGCCAAGACAATCCTAAGCAAAAAGAACAAAGCTGGAGGAATCACGCTACCTGACTTCAAACTATACTACAAGGCTATAGTAACCAAAACAGCACAGTACTGGCACCAAAAGAGATATACAGGCCAACAGAACAGAACAGAGGCCTCAGAAATAATACCACACATCTACAACCATCTGATCTTTGAAAAACTTGACAAAAACAAGCAATGGAGAAAAGATTCCCTATTTAATAAATGGTGTTGGGTAAACTGGCTAGCCATATGCAGAAAACTGAAACTGGACCCCTTTCTTACACCTTATACAAAAATTAACTCACGATGGATTAAAGACTTAAATGTAAGATCTAAAACCATAAAAACCCTAGAAGAAAACCTAGGCAATACCATTTAGGACACAGACATTGGCAGAGACTTCATGACTAAACACCAAAAGCAATGTCAACAAAAGCTAAAATAGACAAATGGGATCTAATTAAACTAAAGAGCTTCTGCACAGCAAAATAAACTATCATCAGAGTGAACCAGCAACCTATAGAATGGGAGAAAGTTTTTGCAATGTATCCATCTGACAAAGAGCTAATATCCATAATCTACAAAGAACTTAAACAAATTTACGAGAAAAAAACAACCCCATCAAAAAGTGGGCGAAGGATACGAACAGACACTTCTCAAAAGAAGACATTTATGCGGCCAACAAACATGAAAAAAGCTCATCATCACTGGTTATTAGAGAAATGCAAATCAAAACCACAATGAGTTACCAGTTAGAATGGCGATCATTAAAAAGTCAGGAAACAACAGATGCTGGAGGGGATGTGGAGAAACAGGAACACTTTTCACTGTTGGTGGGATTGTAAATTAGTTCAACCATTGTGGAAGACAGTGTGGCAATTCCTCAAGGATCTAGAACTAGAAATACCATTTAACCCAGCAATCCCATTACTGGGTATATATCCAAAGGATTATAAATCATTCTACTATAAAGACACATGTATGTTTACTGCAGCACTGCTCACAATAGCAAAGACTTGGAACCAACCCAAATGCCCATCAGTGATAGACTAGATAAAGAAAATGTGGCATATGTACACCATGGAATACTATGTAGCCATAAAAAAGGATGAGTTCATGTCCTTTGCAGGGACAGGGATGAAGCAGGAAACCATCATTCTCAGCAAACTAACACAGGAACAGAAAACCAAACATCACATGTTCTCACTCCTAAGTGGGAGTTGAACAATGAGAACACATGGACACAGGGAGGGGAACATCACACACTGGGGCCTGTTGGGGGGTGGGGGCCTAGGGGAGGGATAGTATTAGGAGGAATACCTAATGTAGACGACAAGTTGATGGCGGCAGCAAACCGTCATGGAACGTGTATACCTACGTAACAAACCTGCAAGTGATCTCTTATGGTTATCGCATGTTCTTCGTCTTTAGTGCAATATTGTAAACCTTGAATAACACCATAGGTAGGAACCATATAAAGTGCTACTAGTGATGTTGGAATTTCTTCCAAGAAGCAGAGAAAAGTCATGACATTACAAGAAAAATATGAATTGCTTGATGTGTACCATAGACTGAGGTCTGCATCTGTAGTTGCCCACCATTTCAAGATAAATGAATCCAGCATCAGGACCATTGTTAAAAAGAAAAGGAAATTTGTGAAGCCATTGCTGCAGCTACGCTAGCGGGCACAAAAATCTTTTTGTGAAATACATTTTTATTTCCTATTGAAAATGCAGCTTTTATGTGGGTACAGGATTGCTATCAAAAAGGCTACAGACTCTCATATGATTTGAAAAACAGGGAAGTTATTAAATGACAACATAGAGCAAAGGGAAAGTGAAGGGTCTAAAGCTGGATAATTCAATGCCAGCATAAGATGCTTTGATAATTTTAGAGGTTTGACTTAAAAAAAAAAAAAAAGTCAAGATAATAGAAGAAACAGCTTCTGCTGACCAAGAGGCACCAGCCAAGTTCCCAGGTGCCAATAAAAAAATCATGGAGAAGAAAGGATATCTTCTCAAACAGGTTTTAAATACAAACAGAAGTACCCTCATCTGGAAAAAAAAAATGCCACAAACGAAATAATCTGCACACCAAACCCCTATGACACACAAAATACCTATATAACAAACCTGCACACAAGTACCCTTGAACCTAAAAGTTAAAAAAAAAAGAGCCACAAAAGACATCAATTAGTAAGAGAAGTGAGCATGATTTAAGGCAGGAAGGGATAGGTTAACTCTACTGTTTTGTGCAAATGCAATTAGATTTATGATCAGGACTGCCCTTATCTATAAGGCTGCTAACCCCTGAGCCTGGAAGGGAAAAGATAAATACGAGTTGCCAGTCTTCTGGTTTACAACAAAAAGGCTTGGACAAGACCCCTTTGTCTGGATTGGTTCCATCAATGCTTTGTCTCTAAGGTCAAGAAGTATCTTGCAAATAAGGAACTGTCTTTTATAGTTCTTTTGATATTAGACAATGCCCAGGTCACCCAGAAACCCAAGAGTTCAACATTGAAGGTATCAAAGTGGTCTGCTTTCCCCCAAACAGAAGGCTTCTAATTCAGCCTCTAGGGTCAGGGGATCATGAAGACCTTTAAGGCTCATTATACATGATACTCTATGGAAAAAATTTTCAAAGCTATGCAAGAGAACACTGATAGAACATCATGAAATTCTAGAATGATTACACCATTGAAGACAATATCATTGTTATAGAAAAAGCTGTGAAAGCCATCAAGCCTGAAACAATAAATTTGTGCTGAAAAAAACTGTGTCCAGATATCATGCATGAATTCATAAGATTTACGACAGAGCCAATCAAGGAAATCATGAAAGAGATTGTGAATGTGGCAAAAAAGGTGGGGCAGGTGGAGTGAAGGGTTTCAAGACAGGGATCTTGGAGAAATTCAAAAGCTAACAGACATCACACCAGAGGAATTAACAGAAGACAGCTTGATGGAGATGAATGCTTCTGAGCCACAGTGCCAGACGATGAGGAAGATGGAGAAGCATCAGTATCAGAAAACACATTGACATTAGACAATCTGGCAGAAGGGTTCTGATCATTCAAGGTTGCTTTTGACTTCTTTTATAACATGGACCTTTCTATGATACACACACTAAAACTAAAGCAAATGGTAGAAGATTGGTACTGTATAGACATATTTTTAGAGAAACTGAGCCAGGAGAATAGGGCCTGGAGGCAGGGAACTTAAGGCCAATTCGCACTGACTTCCTAGACTGAATCAAAAGGAAAACCCCAACTTTCCACGCCCAAGTAACAAAAGGATCAGAGGCTCTCCCTTTGCAGCTCCTCTGCTTCTGTGTCACAGATGAAAAATGGCAAGTACTTCTGGTCCCCTCCTGCAACCAATCAGACTGGTCACAAGCCTAGTCTTTGCGCAGGGTTACAACTTTGTAACTTCACTTCACCTTCCACAACCAATCAGATGTTTGCATAGGGTGTAACTCTGTAACTTCACTTCAGCCTCTGATTGGTCACCCAGCAACTAATCAGACTGGCTGCAGACCACTACCTCATTTAAATAGGGTGTAAACCAAGTAACCAATGGGAAACCTCTAGAGGGTATTTAAACCCCAGAAAATTCTCTAACCAGCACTCTTGAGCCACTTGCTTGAGCCTGCTCCCACTCTGTGAAGTGTACTTTCATTTCAACAAATCTGTGCTTTTGTTGCTTCATCCTTTCATTGATTTGCACGTTTTATCCAATTCTTTGTCAAACAACTCAGAGTCAAGACCCTCCACTGGTAACAAAATGAGTAAGTAAGAAAGTCAGACAGAAATTACAATGTATTTCCATAAAGTTACAATGAGTATGCCTTCTTCTTCTATACCTCTTCCACCTGTGCCAACCCCTCTGCTTCCTCCTCCTCAACCTACTCAACCTGAAGACAATGAGGATGAAGTCTTTAATGATGATCCACTTCCATTTAAAGAACAGTAAGTATATATTTCTCTTCCTGATTTCCTTAGTGATATTTTCTTTTCCGTAGCTTACTTTATTGTAAAAATACAATATATAATACATATAACATATACAATATGTGTTAACTATTTATGTTTCACTAAGGCTTCTAGTCAATAGTAGGCTATTAGTAGTTAAGTTTTCAGGGAGTCAAAAGTTATACATAGATTTTTGACCACAAAGGGGGTCAGCACCCTAACTCCTGCATTGTTCAAGGATCAACTGTATAAGTAATTCTTTTCTTTGTAAAAATCTTTTTTCTTTTTCACATATTCCTCCCTCATTAAACCCATCTTGATGGTGACAAGTTTGACTTTATAATAACCTAAAAAAACTAGGTTATTTTATTCAAACAGATAATTTAAAACAAAACTGGTAATTTTTATTTATTTATTTGTTTTGAGACACAGTCTTGCTCTGTCACCCAGCCTCCAGTGAGCTCAGCTCACTGCAACCTCCACCTCCTGGGTTCAAGTGACTCTTCTGTCTCAGCCTCCCAAGTAGCTGGAACTACAGGCACGTGCCACCACGCCCAGCTAATTTTTATATTTTTAGTAGAGACGGGGATTCACGTTGGCCAGGCAGGTCTCAAACTCCTGACCTCGTGATCTGCCCACCTTGGCCTCCCAAAGTGCTGGGATTACAGGTGTGAGCCACCGCACCTGGCCTTTATTTTTACTTTAAAATAAAATTGATGTTTCTGAAATCCATGCTGAAGAAAAAAGATGCTAACAAATTCACTCATCACCATGCACAAAATTAAGCTTTCTAAACTCTACCATAGAAGAGAATAAAGATCATTCTACCCTGGGAAGACATCCAAATGCTATATATCCCAACTCTTTAAAAACTAGCTCTGGTTTCTCTGAGAAACAAAATACATCCAATATTACATATGTGAAATTAAATAAGCAGGAGGCCATTAGCCTGAGACTCCCTTGGTACTTGTAGTTCCTATATAACAAACTGCAATCTACCTCAGTAATAAACAAACCAAAACCTAACTTAGCAGAATACTTTTGTAACGAATAGCTAGGTTTAAGCCAGACAGAAACAGGTGAGCTTCAGCCAGTCATAGGCAGTCAAGTTATCAAACCATGCACAAATAGGGCAAATGCCTAGCTGTAACCAATCCAGTTATTTCTGTAGTTTACTTCCAAGTTCAATTTATACTTATAAAAGCATACTCTCTGTGCCACAGAGTGGAACACTCTGAACCTTTCAGTTTTGAGTGCTAATTCATAAAATTGTTCTTTGCTCAAACAAACTGTTAAATTTAATTTGTCTAGAGGTTTTAACAATTAAGTTTTTGGTGTCAGAAGTGGCGTCCAAAGGCGACTTCCAACAACCGCCCAGGAGCACCCTAGTGACCAAATGAATGTATTTGCTGGGTCTATTGTAACCATTCCTCTCTCACAGCAACTGGAGGTTGTGTGTGATTTCCCTTTCAGATTAAAGCTACACAGATTTGTGTTTTGAGCTCTCCAAATTTACTTGAACAATTCTTTTACCAAACAGGGTCCAGAGACTGGGTCCAGTAGAAGGCCTATGATAAGTCACAAGAAGACAGGGAATCATGAGTTCATCTGGATCCATGGAGTCTAGAACTCCTCCATCTGGAACTATAGCCAATTTCGTGTATAAGAACTACAGACTCAGGGCATGTTGCTTTTCTAGAAAAATGAAACTCACACACACACAAAAAAAATTAGAATTCCAGTGGCCCACAGTGGGAAAGTTTTAACCTACATAAACTTGTTCACTTGCAAGGCACACTACAAAAGAAAGAATCCAAAATGCTTCATAAGCAATGAGATGCATTCTTTAAATTGGTACATACAGGTAGTAAAAGATTCCTTACAGAAGGCAAATGAAAACCTTAAGTAGCTTAAGGATGATACAAAAAAAGACTGTATCTTGACTGATTCAAACCTGTTTTGTTCTTTCTCTTTACCCATCTTTACCTCAATACTCTGAGTCTAATAACCTTTTTGCTCAACTACTCTTTCATTCTAAAGATAATGAGAAAAGGCAAGTTAGACAAATGCCTTACAAAATGGGATTCTCTGATCAGCCAGGCCTGCCTGCCATAACCACCTTTACTCCATGGTCAAAAATTAAGCTTCCAGACACGGTAAAAGACTTCCCTAGCCCAGGGAAAACACTCAAAAATGTACTGAAGATTTTAGAATTTGCACAGGAGCTTACAAGCCAGGACTCTCTGACCAATTTATTCATATGATACTGGGACATGGCAAAGCTTGAAAATGTATGACAAGAGAATGGGAAAAACTTAATCAGGATATTAAAGACTCCCCCAAAACCTCATCAAGAGTAGGGCCAATGAGACCTAGAAAAATTGTTGAAAACCTTTAAAATTCAATTCCTAAGATTTTGCTACAAAAAATTGATTGGTCCATCATACAATCTCATAGACAAAAAATAGAATGAACCAGTTTCAGATTACAGGGTCCATTCAGAAAGACTATTTGTAAAACATTCCAGGTTCCAATACACCAAGGGATACTTCTGGCAGTGCCTGAAACAGGATTAACTGCTCTATTTGTAAATGGAGCTCATCCTGAACTTAGTAACCTGAATAAAAAACACAAACCAGGATGGGAGGTTATAGATATGATTGAATTGGTGGCCCTAGCCCAACATTTTGAGAGAATAGAGTAAGTAAAAGACTAAAGGTCGAAAAGCTCATGTCTCTCTAATTACAATAACCACAAAGACCAAGACCAAAGGGACTTCCTCTCCCTTATTTTAAGCTAAAACCAAGAGATCTTAGACCAAGAAATTATTTGCCCTAAGGTGTCTCCCTTCATTGCAAACAACTAGGATGCTGGAAAAGAGATTTTGCATTCTTATTTCAGTATACCAGTAAGCCTCCTTCCTTGGGGCCATACTATTTCCCCACTAGAATGAGTCCACAAGGTCTTAACTCTAGAGATAATAATCAACATTGATGAGCATCCAAGGAATTCTCCAGAAAACTGCTCCCCATAATACCTTTAAATAAACATGGATAAACAGCAACTCAAAGTACTATTAAAAAAAGAAAAGAAATAAACATGGAAAAACAAAAGTTAAAACAAATGAAAAATCTTATACAATTCTGGTGGATACTAGAGCCACTTTCATCTACTATAAACTCTACCTTAATAAGCTAATACATCCCTCAGAGTAAAAATGTTTACTCTGTGGAAACATTATTTCTGTGGTAGGGTTTCAAATCAAGTTGAAAAGGTTCCCATACTGGAAGCCATCCAACTGACACTGGTGTCATTTACAGAAAATCATACTTTTTAATTATGTGATACTGCCCCAGTAAATCTGCTGGGGCAAGACTTGCTCTCCAAGGCAAAAGGGCATATAAAATTCTCTTTCAGAGGGACAAATAATCTTAGAGTTTCCTGACTCTCCTGAACCAGAACTGTTATGCTCTCTAAAGGCAGAAATTGAAAAAATATTGGTGGGATGACTATTCTAAAATTGCTAAAATGGCTTATAACTAATGTTTGGTTTATCAAGCTCATAATCCTGGAAAGATAATCCAAATTTTAGGTGGTACATTTCTACTGCCTCCTGGACCATTTGAATGTTTACAGATGGATTTCATCAATTGCCACCCTTAATGGGATAACAATATGTTCTTATAAAAGTCTTTGTGTTCTCTAGACGGATAGAAGCTTTATCATGTAGGAAGGCCAATGCTATGACAATAAGTTATTAGAAAGTATGTTTCCTTCTGGGGCTTCCCTGGAGGAATTTCCAGCAATAGAAGAACCTGTTTCACTGGACAAGTTATAAAACAGCTAAAACAGTTAATCGAACACAATGGTATTACCATCATCCCTAACACCCTTAATCTTCTGGAAAGCTCAAAAGAACAAATGAAACTTTAAACTGAAATTGGTAAAGTTAACTGAATTGATTGAATTGCCTCGTCCAAAGGTATTACCATTGGCCTTATGGGCAACTAGATCCACCCCAACAGAAAATACAAAATAAATTAGTTTCTTATGAAATAGTTACTGAAAAACCTATGCCCCTAATAATTAAACCTCATATATCTCCTGCTCCTGTAAACTGACATGACTAAATACTGCAAGGCCTTAATGTATTATGCCAAAGTATATTTTCACCAGGTTAAAAAAAAAGCCTTTCACGATCTATCAATGGAGGACAACCAAGCATTTCACAATCTGGAACATGGAGATTGGGTCTTCTGAAAACAACATCAGTGAAACACTGCCCTCAAACCCCTATGGAAGGGACCATACCAAATTCTTACCATCCACACTGCAGCAAAAGTTCAGACCCTCAAGACTTTTGCTGCAGTATGGGTGGTAAGAATTTGATCATGGATCAAGAGTTCTCTTCTCTGTCATCATGATAACTATGTCCCTTTTCTTTTTCCCTTATTTCCTATTGTCTTAATCTTTCCTTTTCCTTACAGGAAAATCCATAGGACCATAATTTGCAATGGCTTTAGGTAAGGCTCATGCTCTAGCAGAAAAAACAGAGCAACTGTTTGGGTTTGTGGGCTAATGGGTAAAAACCAGGAAACAACTCCACTAATGCCAACACCTCTCTGAGTTCCCGAAGAGAATTACCCTGAAACCCCAAAGGAAGAGAAAGCAATCCTTGATGTTCTAAATGTCACTGCTATTTGCTTGCCTACACTCACTGAAAGGAATATCCCAACCTTTCCAATTAATAACCTAACCACTATCAAATATAGAACATCAAACCAAGTGATGCCTACAAAAGGTATATTATGCTTCCAGGTATCACATACTCAAGACTTGGGGACTATCTATGTGGGCACCGGTGATTATTTGTATAATGTCATTGGATTAAATATAGTAAGGTGCTTTTCCACTAAATGTGGTTATACACATTATGCTATAAAGGGAACAGGTTGGAGGCAAGATGATCAGCTAGATGCAGCCAGAAGGAACATCTGCCACCAAGAGACTGGGATATCAGGAAGACTGGTGCACTCCCAGCAGATCTTCAGAGGGAGGGCACTGAGAGTGGATGAAGGGAAGACACAGATGCTGGGCTGAAGAGGGAGGAAGCGGGGAACCCTGCAAGGGGCTACCACACACTAAGACTCGTTCCTGGCCCCCGACTCCTGGAAAAGGGGTGAGTTGAGCAGGCAAGCAGCAACTGACTCCCACCACAGGCCTCTGGAATCTGGCAGGAGACCCCAGGACCCCCATGGACTCTTGAGCTTGCAGGGAGAGCTGCTTAGAGAAGTGGTAGGGCAGAATTCTAGCTGGTGCAGAGCCCAGAGGCTTTGGTGCGGGAGCATCTGTAGTGGATCATGGCCAGGGACGCCCATCACCCATGACTCACCTTGCTCCCCTAAGAGACTTCAACCCTAGAGGAACTATCAGACTTGAAAAATGCAGGGCAGTCTTGCCTATGAGACCTGGCCGATCGGAACTAAGCACTCCTCAGTTTCCTGACCTCTCCCTGGGCCTCAGCCTGGCTGTCCCTGCTTGCAGTGCAGCCTTAGATGCCCAGGTGGGGTGCGTCCTGGGGGCCTACGCTATAGCACCTGAGTTGGCAGATCGTGCCTGAATGGCAGAGAACTCCAGTACTACCCCCACCCACAACAGACCGTGCACCAGACCACCTGATCCCACTCTCTCCTCCCACTGCAGACTCCCCCATGGCACCTTGCCTGCAGACGCTGGCATGCAGCCAACCCCCGAATCACTTTGCCAGCACCTGTGTACACAGACCTCGCCTCCAATTTCCTGCCAGTGTGTGGGTACATGTGCACCTGGCCATGCCACTACTGCTGGCTTGAGCACACTGCACCCGACCACCATGCTGCCACTGCCACTGGAGTATCTGCAGGTACGGAGACCACCAGTACCCCACTCCGACACCAACACTGCCACCAGCTGCAAAACTAGGCACAGTGACCAGTGGACCTGCCCTGCGCCCTGTGCAGCCACTGCAGCCAGCATAAACGTGCGCACATTTGGCACCAGTCCCGCAGCCACCAGTACCCTGCCCCTGTGTCAACACTGCCAGTGGTGTGAAACTATGCATGGAGACCAGCAGCCCGCCCCCTTACCCTGAGTGGCCACTGCTACCCATGTAAGCACACGCACAGAGGGCACACAAAATCTAGCAGCAGCCACAGCGCCCCACCCCCATGCTAACACCACAGCCACTACAAATGCCTGCACAAAAACAGCACCCTTGCAACTGCCAGCACCCCTCTGAAGCTGATGAGTGTGCACCGCACCCCACTGCTATTGCTGGCATGTGCATATGAGGACAGATCCCACTGCCACTGCCATACAAAGCACTTTGGCTGGCACCACCCATTGAAGTGTTCTGACCAGTGGTCCAGAAATATCTTGGCCCCTCTAGCACAGCAGGTACCTAACCTCCAGTGGCCAGAGAACAAAGCCAGGGGCCTGATATCAGCCCCCCAGAATTACAGCATACAGTCCAGGAATCCTGAGTTGAGCCTTGGCCCCTGAAAACCTTCTAGAAATGAAGCCAGTTGACTAAACCCACTTTATACCACAATTAAACACACAAGGACATAAAGTAGGATAAAAGAAAAAAAATCATCCAAAGGATAGCAACTTCAGCGACATGAGCCCACAAAGATAAAAAAGAATCAGTGCAAAAACTGACAAAAGCACTAGAGTATCTTCTTACCTCCAAAAAACTACACTAGTTCCCCAGCAATGGTTCTTAACCAGGCTGAGATGGCTGAAATGGCAGAAATAAAATTCAGAATATAGACAGGAATGAAGATCATCAACATACAGGATAAAGTCAAACCCAATCCGTGGAATCTAAGGATTACAATAAAATGATACAGAAGCTGATAAACAAAACGGCCATTATAAGAGAGAACTAAACCGATCTGACAGAGCTGAAAAACACACTACAAGAATTGCATAATGCAATCACAAGTATTAACAGCAGAATTGACCAAACTGAGGAAAGAATCTCAGAGCTTGAAGATGGCTCTCTGAAACATCTTTTTCTTTATTGGAGAAAAAAAACAATAAAGAATGGACAAAACTTCCGAGAAATATGGGATTATGAAAAGAGACCCAATCTATGACTCATTGATGTGACTGAAAGGGAGAGAAACCAAGCAACTTTGAAAACATATTTCAGGATATCGCTGATGAAAACTTCCCCAACCTTGCTAGAGAGGCCAACATTCAAATTCAGGAAATGCGGAAAACCCTTGTGAAATACTACACAAGCAGACCAACCTAAAACATACAGTCATCAGATCCTCCAAGGTGGAAATGAAAGAAAAAATGCTAAAGGCAGTGAGAGAGAAGGGGCAAGTCACCTACAAAGGGAAACCCATCAGGCTAACAGCAGAACTGTCAGCAGAAACTCTACAAGCCAGAAGAGATCGGGGGCCTATATTCAGCATTCTTTATTTATTTATTTTTATTATTATACTTTAAGTTTTAGGGTACATGTGCACAATGTGCTGGTTAGTTACATATGTATACATGTGCCATGCTGGTGTGCCACACCCTCAGCATTCTTAAAGAAAATAATTTTCAACCAAGAATTCATATCTGACTAAACTAAGCTTCATAAGCAAAGGAGAAATAAGATCCTTTTCAGACAGGCAAATGCTAAGGGAATTTGTTAACATCAGATCTGCCTTACAAGAGTTTTGGAAGGGAGTGCTAACTATATAAAGGAAAGACTGGGTTACCAGCCGCTACAAAAACACACTTAAGTAGGTAGATTAGTAACACTATAAAGCAACCACACAGACAAGTCTGCATGGTAACCAGCTAACAATATGATGACAGGATCAAATGCACACATATCAATACTAACCTTGAATGTAAATGGGCTAAATGCCCCAATCAAAAGAAACAGTGTGGCAACTTGGATAAAGAAGCAAAATCCAATGGTATGCTATCTTCAAGAGACCCACCTCACATGCAGTGACACTCAGAAGCTCAAAGTAAAGGGATGGAGAAAACTCTACCAAGCAAACAGAAAGAAAAAGGCAGGGGTTGCTATTTTAATTTCAGACAAAACATACTTTTACAAAAATAAAAAAAGACAAAGAAGGGCATTACATAATGATAAAGGGCTTAATTCAATAAGACCTAACTATCCTAAACATACATGCACCCAACAGAGAAGCACCCAGATTCATAAAGCAAGCATTCAGAGACCTACAAAGAGAGCTAGATAATAGTGGGAGACTTTAACACCCCACTGACAGTATTAGGCAGATCATCAAGGCAGAAAGCTAACACAGATGATCAGGACCTAAGCAACCAACACAGGAACAGAAAAATACCACATGTTCTCACTTATTAGTGGGAGCTAAACGTTGAGTACACATGGATGCAAAGAAGGGAACCAGACATTAGGGCCCACTTGAGGATGGAGGGTGGGAGGAGGGTGCAGATTTAAAACTACCTATTGGGCACTATGCTTATCACCAGGTGATGAAATAATCTGTACACCAAACCCCCACAATACCCAATTTGTCTATATAACAAACCTCCACATGTACCTCTGAACCTAAAAGTTAAAAAAAAAAAAAATGAAAATAATAAAATGTAAAACATCTTTTTAAAAGGAGGGGAACTATAAAAAAGTAAGTTTCCTCCTGGACCTTGTTCAGGAGCTATGCAGATGTACCAGTGGATGAACTGAACTGACTGATGCTCAAATACCACTAGGTAGCCCTCTTTTCCAGCCTCAGAGGGTCTGCCTGTATTGGTCTACAGAAAATATGCTTACTCCATTTTGCTCCCCACTGGTTAGGATCTTGCTATTTGGCATGGTTCAATCCTGCCTTCCAAATAGCTTCCCCAAAAGTCCCCATAAATACCTCCTATTATCAGAGTCTAAAATGGTCAGCAATTGAAATTTGCACCAACCTTGGAATAGATGAAGAAAATAAAGATAAGCTAGTTTCCAGCCGGGCACGGTGGCTCATGCCTGTAATCCCAACACTTTGGCAGGTCAAGAAGGGTGGAACACGAGGTCAGGAGATTGAGACCATCCTGGCTAACACGGTGAAATCCCGTCTCTACTAAAAATACAAAAAAAAAAAAAATTAGCCGGGCATGGTGGTGGGCGCCTGTACTCCCAGCTACTGAGGAGGCTGAGGCAGGAGAATGGCGTGAACCCGGGAGGCAGAGCTTGTAGTGAGCTGAGATCGCGCCACTGCACTCCAGCCTGAGCAACAGAGCAAGACTCCATCTCGAAAAAAAAAAAGATATGCTAGTTTCCACTGAGGAAAGATTACAGTGGGGCTCCTGGGGACTCACTCTTTGTAGTGGTTGGGTGCTAGTCATATGGAATTTAAAACTAATGCACAGATAGGGAAAAATCTTATTTTATGACCAACCAGACCTCCTGGGGTAGGAGCCACCCTCTGAAAGCATTTAACAAAAGCACTTAATGGGATATCATGCAGCCTTAGATCTCCTCTTTGCTCATGTTGGGGGTTATGTATGGTGCTAAACAAAACTGAATGTTGTACCTATTTTTCCAGATTTTGCTACTACAGAAAATTCAATACAATTTGTAGCTGACACTATTGTTTCTTTGGACACTGCCACCATATGCATGAAAGAAATTTCTCAAGGGAACAGAACACATGATGTTTGCAGGAGGAGCTAATGGTTAGTTTGCAGGCATCCCAAACAGTGGACGACATGCTGGGCTTAGGTCTCCTCTTTGCCTTATTTAGGCAAACACCTAGCTGTAACCCATCAAGTTATTCCTGTACTCTACACACCAAAACCTAACTCAGGAGTGTATTTTTATAACAAATAGCCAAGTCTGGCCAATCACAAACAGCCAAGCCTCAGCCCATCGGACAAGGCAGCCTTAGATCTCCTTAGATCAGACCATACCTATGGGACATCAGGCAGCCTTAGGTCTCCTCTTTGCCTTATTTAGGCAAACACCTAGCTGTAACCCATCAAGTTATTCCTGTACTCTACTTCTGTGTTCAGCTGATAAAAGCACACTTTCCTTGCTGTAGAGCGGAGGTCTCTGAACCCCTTTCAGTTTACAATGCTACCTAACTCATTAATCATTCTTTGCCCAAAGAAACTCTGTCAAATTTAACTTGTCTAAAGTTTTTAACATATAAAAGCACCATAGGTGCCTGAAAAGCAAAAGAACCCGTGAATCACATTCTTTTTCACAGAATTTGCAGACATATGTCACCTGTTTCTTTTCAGATAATTTATTTGACTATTTCTTTTTTTTACTTGCTGGACTGTCCAAAACTTCAATCTTGCCTTTTCCACCTTCAGAATTGGGAAGCTTAATGTTATCTATGGTGACTTCAGATGGGATGCTGTCATCTTCGTCTTCTGATTCTGAACTGTTCTCTGAACTGTCTTGTGAACTCTCTTCTGAACTGTCCACTTCTTTTGAATCCGACTGATTCATCTCAAACAAAGCCACATCCTGCAAAAAGTAGTGGACAGGAAATCTATTTCAGAGCAGTTCCTTAAAAAGTCGTAATAAAACAATATTGGGAAGAACCAACATTCAGCAAACATATTGAAACATAAAGGATAAGAATTTGGTTTTTTTTGGAGACAGAGTCTTGCTCTGCTGCCCAGACTGGAGTGCAGTGGTGTGATCTCAGCTCACTGCCCCCTCCGCCTCCTGGGCTCAAGCAATTCTTGTGCCTCTCAGCCTCCTGAGTAGCTGGGACTACAGGTGTGCCCCATCACATCCAGCTAATTTTTGTATTTTCAGTAGAGATGGGGTTTCACCCTGTTGGCCAGGCTGGTCTTGAACTCCTGACCTCAAATGATCCACCCACCTTGCCCTCCCAAAGCGCTGCAATTACAGGCATGAGACAGCACACCAGGCCACAAGGATAAGAAATGTTTTTAATACAACATGGCTCTTTTATATTTTTAGTTACCAGGGTCTGTCATAATGATGATTTAAATTTACTCTAAGTGTCTAAAATATCTGCTACGGCCCAATTCTATATACCCTAAACACATTCAACAACATTCTTTCAGCAAATACTAACATGAGTTAGGCACTACACTAGGTACTAGAGACTCAATAACAATAAAAAAATCAAAACAAACCCCTCGCTTTGGTGAAATTTACATTTTCAGGCAGAGACCAGTAAATTACAACCTGCAGGCCAAATCCTGCCCACCGCCTACTTTTGTTCAGCTCACAAAGTAGGAATGTTTTTTCTATTTTTAAGTGGTTGGGGGAAAAAAATTAAAATACTGCTATTCACGAAAGGTGAAAATTATATGAAATTCTCATTTCAGCACCCATACACAGTGACGCACTGCTCTAATTGAGCCAATAAGCGATCACTCGGGGCCTTCTGTTGGAACTGTTGAGAGAGAAATCTGAGTTGCTGACTCTAAGGCTGAAGCTGCTGATAAACCAGAAACCTACCACAGCTGGGGGAAGAGCATGCTCTAGATTAGGTCAACATTAGGAAAGCAGAACCAAGAGACAGAGCGGCTGACCACTGAGGACACTGAGCACCTGGATCCAGGTGCACCTGAAATCACCAATCCTGGAGGTTTTTTTTCCCCAATAAAATGTTTTCCCCTTGCTTATTCATGTATGTATTGTCAGTGGCTGCTTTCACACTATGACAGCAGAGTTCACCAGTCACAACAGAGACAGTAAGGCCCACAGAACCTAATGTATTTACTATCTGACCTCTTACAGAAACATTTGTTGACTCTTGTTCCAGAGGCGAAAGAAAGGCAATAAACAAATACATATAAAGCATAATGTAGGGTTGTGAAAATATGGAAAAATAAAGCAGGATAAAATAATAATACAGCTATCAGGGAAGGCCTCCTGATCAGGTGACGACTGAAAAGAAACAGAGGGAGTCGAAATGGAGAAATCTAGGGAAAAGCATTCTACCTGAGAAAACCGCAGGGGAGAAGACCGGCTGCAGTGAGACTGGTGCTGGAGGGCAGTAAATGAGGACTGTGTAGGAGATAAGGTCAGACAGAGCAGCAGTGCCCAACCTCTTTGGTACCAGGGACCAGTTTTGTGGAAGAAAATTCTTCCACGGACCTTGGCAGGGATGTTTTGGGGATGAAACTGTTCCACCTCAGATCATCAGGCATTAGAATCTCATAAAGAGCGCACAACAACCTGGATCCCTTACATGCACAGTTCATAATAGGGTTCACGCTCCTTTTGGAATCTAATGCCACTGCTGATCTGACAGGAGGCAGAACTCAGGTGGTAATGCGCTCTCACCCACCGCTCACCTCCTGCTGTGCGACCTGCTTCCTAACAGGCCACAGACCAGTACCAGTCCACAGCCTGGGGGTTGGGAACCTCTGAGATAGAGAACTGCAGGCAGGATCATATGGACCCTTTGAAGGACTTAGTTTATTTGAAACGTGATGGGAAGCCCCCAGGTCCCAAACTGTGTGAACAACGGACCCCAGGGAAGGCACAGTGAACGCAGGAAAACCTGCTAAGAAATTGCTGCAATACTCCAAAGGAGAGGCCATAATTACCTGGGCCAACAAAGGTCCAAAGGAACTGCAGAGGTTGTACAAAGTGGTTGGATTTGGGATCTATTCTGGAGGGAGAGCTGAATAGAATGGCTAATGAATTAGATATTATTAACAATTGTCTCAGCTTGGTCCAGACACAGATATTATAAACGGAATTCCACTGCAGAAACAAGATATGAGTATAAACTGAGAGAACATTTTTGCACATAGCTTATGTAATCAATTGCTCTCTTCCACACATCATTTATTTTTGCATACTCAATAAATCAGGCTATGATTACCTCTTTTGGGGCTTGGACAGAAAAAAACCCAGTTAGGACATCGAGTAAATTAATGCTTCAGAATAACAAATGTAGCATTTGACTTAGGAAAAAAAACCTTCCTGTGACATCATATGACTAAAATGACTAAATCATAAAATGACTATGTACCTATACAACATTGGAAACATGAGCTAACACCAGGAAAATGAAAACTTGAAAATAAAATGGAAAAGTTCTCTTCTTCTTAGGTGACAGGCAGACCAGTAATTTCACCATATGAAAACAAAGCATAGTTACCATTTGTATAACTTTACTATGAGGCCCATCAATGTTTTCAATATTGAAACGACCAGGTGGTGCAGCTGCCATTTCTTTTCTTAGCTTTTCATTTGCCCGTGCCATCTGTGGGAGAAATGTCTGTACCTGGTCCAATACTGTGGAAAGTAAATACAGCATATCAACATTTATGCTAGTAAATTCTGAAACCCAGGATTTCCTATAAACACTTCTGAATTGAGTATTAATAATAACAACCATAATTACATATCTTTTAGTTCCCTTCATTTAAAAACCCTCCATCCTCTTCTGAATAAAACAGTAGGACTACACAATCCAGCAATTGTTTCACAAATGTTTTATGTTTCTCATATATCCCCAGGACTGTAAACTCCTAGAAGGCTGGCATTCAACAAATAGTAACTAAATAGGGAGGCAGTGTGACTTAACAGTTAAGAGCACCAGGTTCTGAGGCTTTAGGGTACGAATAACTAGGTATGTACAGAATCCTAGTTCTACCTCTATCTGAATTACCTTGGGCCAGTTAATTAAGTAGTGGTTATTTCTGCCTACCCAACATACGTTCCCTTTCTTCTGATAATATAACCCTGGCTTTCCTTTTAAGCTTGTGTCACTCTTAGTCACTCTTGCCCCTCACCCCATACATGCCTACATCCTCCATATCCTTGGCCACTGTACCATGCTTTAGTGGCATCACAGTGACACGCTGCTCTAGTCGGGCCAATAATAGATCACTCAGGACCTTTTGTTGGAACTGTTGAGAGAGAAATCTTTCTGAGTGAATGACTGAGTTGGCTGAATATAAGGCTGAAGCTGCTGATAAACTGGCAACTCTCCACACCTGGGGGAAGAGTACGCTCTAGATTAGGCCAATACCCAGGAAAGCAGAACTAAGAGACAGAGTGGCTGACCTCTGAGGACACTGAGCACCTGGATCCAGATGCACCTGAAATCTACTGTGCCTGGAGTATTTTTCCCCCAATAAAAAGAGCCAACATAATTTCTTTTTTTGCTTAAGGCAATCTGAGCTGGATTTTAGTCATTTGCAACCAAGAATCCTAATTAATACATTTAATTCTACCTCTTGAAACCTCAGCGTACTAATCCATAAAAGAGGAGTGATAACTGTCAGTCACTGTGCCAAATACAGAGCAGTCAACAAACAAGGATATTTATTTTCTCTCTCAAAAGAGGCCCAGCACATAACCACGCATATAACAGACTCTCAAAACTTATGTAACTGCTATGGCTACATAACAGATGACTAAAATGTCCAGCGTATGGAAGAAGAAAAGAAAATAGTGGCCAAGGTCAAGTAGACGACCTCTATTTGTAAAATAAGGTGCTGGAAGGACTCCCTAAGAGCATGCACACAAATAAAGCCCGACGTAATAGTGAATGTTAGCTCTCATTCCCCTTCAGATTACAGAAAGAGAAATTACTAATACAAATAAAGGTATTTCTCTGTCCTCAGATTTAAATATATTGCTACAGATAGAAAATCTGGTACTGCTTTTGTTTCCAACTAATGAATCAAGTAGAGCAAAACAAGTACCAAAATGTGCGGCCTGAACTGTGATCCTCAGAAGCCAAATAATTCCGTGGTACTCTAGGAGAGTATATGCTGAACCCTGAGGCTAGTCCAGTCGTGGTTCTTCTAAATTAAATAATACTCAACACACAACACCATAATATTCAAAATGTCCAACATCTAATAAAAAATTAGCAAACATGCAAATAAACAGGAAAACATAATCCATAAAGAGTAGGGAAAAAAGATTCAGAAATGATGCAGACGACAGAATCAGCAATAAGAATGTTAAAACAGCTCTTAGAAATATACTTTGTATGTTCAAGGAAGAAAAGAAAAGCACAAACACAAGGAAAGAAAAAAAGATGTAAACAGTCTCAAACTTCTAGAGATGGAAACTGTATCTACCTTGAAAAAATACATTTGATAGAATTAACAGATTAGACAATATAGAAGAATAGTGAACTCAACGAAATCAGCGATAGAAGCTATCCAAATTGAAACACACAAAACATAAGACCCAAACAAACAATCAATGAGCTGTGAGACAACCTCAACTGGCAAAATTAGGTGTCATTGGAGTCCCTTCAGGAGAGGCGAGACAGGAGCAAGCAACAACAACATCCCTAAAAATTTCCCAAATTTGATAAAAATTATAAACCCATAGATCCAGTAAGTTCAACAAACCCAAGCTCAAGACTCACAAAGAAAACTACAAAGGGCACATCACCATAAAATCGGTAAAAACCAGTAATGAAGGGAATCTTAAAGGCAGCCAGAGAAGAAAAGAAACACCATATTCATGACACAAAATGACAGTAGACACTGGCGTCAGAAACAATGCCACTGAAAAGAAAGTGTAGTGATGTCTTTAAAGTACTGGAGAAAACAGAAAAAGCAAAAAACCACACTGTCAACCTAGAATTCTAAATCCATTAAAGCATCTTCCAAAAACTGAAAGCAAAATACTTTCTCAGACACACAAAGGCTGGTAAGTCTATCTCCAGCAGAGCTGCACTATCAAGAATGATGTTTACAATAAGAAACCTGATTTTTTAAATGTGTTTAAGATTTGAATAGGCACTTCACCAAAGACATACAAATAGTGACACATGAAAAGATGCTCAACATTATTAGCCATTAGAAACAAATTAAGATCACAACGCGATACCACTATATCCACACTAGAACAGCTAAAATTAAAAAGGCCATACCACATTTTGGTTAGGATGTGCAGCAACTAAACTCTCATACCTTGCTGGTGGAAATGCAAAATAGCAATTTCTTCTTCGTAAAAAAAAAAAAAAAATTACACCTTCTATATACCCGCAATTCCACTCCTAGGTATGTAATCCCTCAAAACAAAAACCTATATCCACAAAAACTGGTTTTTGGATGGGCAGCCACCATATGGTCATTTCAGCTATTGTAGATTTAGTGCTACAGTAATGATGCTACAGTTAAATTCTCCTTTCAGAGTACTCATGATTTCTTAGTTTATTGATGTGATACCTTCATTACCTTCATGCTTATTTACATTGTTTTTATTGAATTTTTGCCTTTTTTTAATATTAAGAGTGAATTACATAGAGGGCATTCGTGTAATAAAGTCTGAGTGTGGGACATACTTATGAATGTGCAGTACAGCAATACTACAGAATAATAAAGAGAACTGGCCATTATGCTGTATTCTAAGTAATATTTATCATTTAAATAATTGTGTCCAATTCAATGGGATGTGGTTGTGGTTTTCCATCCATATATATTAAGTTTGAGGCTCAGTAACCTCTAAATAAATTTGCCATGGAGATTAACAATTGTTTTTGACTTCCCAAAATTCAACCCACAAGCAATTTTTCACGAAAAAGTTACCCTCTTAAAGTAGAGAAATAATGTAAGAAGTTCCATTCTGTGTACTGACTTTATCATGTAAATCCCAAGTAGGACTTGTTCCACTGGACTATCTGTGGTTTGATACCTGACAATGAAGGCAGAGACCGTCCCACAGCTTAATCAGACAAAACTCAGCATTAGAGAGGGTGAGAGAGGGGAAGAGGTACTTACAGGGACTCCTCTCTATCCGAACTGTTTGAAGAGTGGAGGTCTTTCTGGACTTAGGTTGGGAGTTGATGAGCAACCTGTCCCATATACCTGAAAATACAGACACACAAACACCCTTAATTTACTACAGCATAAAAAAACAAAGGCCCATCAGTAAGCCTCTCACATGACCAGTCTTAAGACTTGACTGTCCACACTCCCCCAAAATTTTTTTTTTAAAGGAGAACTCCAAGCTCCATTACAACATTTTAATTCTTTATGTACAGCCAGCCACCTCTCCTTTCTTACATCTGTCTCATTCACCTCTATCACCAATGGCAGGTAATAAATGCACACCAATCTGCACTTTTCTGGATCAGAAATTCATTAGCAGACAAACGTGGGTCTGCAATGACAGAACGGAGGAAACAGTACAGAGCATAACAATGGTTAAGTGAAGCCAGAAATGGTTACTAGTTGTGTAACACTGGGCAACTTACCTGATCTTCAAGCATTTGTTTCTTCATTAGTAAAACATGCTTGCCTGGTATTTCCCCTTCCCTGAAGACGTTCAACCCAAGGAAAGCAGCCTTTTGGGGATTTTGTCACCCACTCTACCTTTCCAGCCTCATTTCTCACTACTCAAATCATCCCAACTCTCTATCCCATCAGAGTTCCAAGAGGGGAACGTACAAAACTCAAGGCTTTGCACACCCTATTTCTAATACCCGGAAAATCCCTTAACTCTCTGGTTAAAAAACAAATCCTGTTCACCTGCAAAGCAGAGCCGCAACAAACATCCATTGAATGCCTACTACTTAAGGCCTACTGGATTCGTGATCAGAGCACAGAGTCTGGAGCCAGACTACTTGAATTCAAGTCCCAGTTTTGCTACTTTCTAGCCACATGATCTCCAGAAGGTAAATTACCTGTATGATAAATCATGTCTCAGGTTCCTCAACTATAAAACAGAGATAACAGATTTTCTGCAAAGGGTTGTTGTGAGGATTAGATGAGTTAGTTTCTGGGGCATACATAGTAAGGACTACATAAGCTTTGGTTATCATTATTATACTTCCTTCGGAATCTCTGGGTTCTCACAAAACCTTTTCTTCAAGCTAGTATTTACTGACAACATGCCCAAGCCTTTTTAGGCATTCTCCTCCTCACAAAAATTCTACAGGCATTACTACTATCACCATTTTCCAAATGCAAAAACTGAGGCTTAGGGAATGAAAATAACTCTAAGTCCCACCAGTTAATTACTAGTGGAGCTGGGATTCGAACTCGTGCTTTTAAATTCTACCTATAGTGTCTGAAATGCTGTGTGGATTTCCTGGATGCATGTCTCCCTCTACAAGACAGCAGCACTAAGGGGTGGTCTGTGTGGGTGTGAAAGAGGTAGGGACTGTTAGCATAATATTACTCCGCTTCCCCCTATCAGCCAACTGCTCCGACCCAGGCAGCCAAACCAAAAGCCCTCCCTTCCCCAAAAGAACTCGAGAGCTTCCCAGCTTCCAGGGCAGGGCAGATGCCTGGCAGCGGCGCCTGGCAGGGTGGGCGCTCACTACCTTGCAGAATATAAGAACCACTAGCTGGGGAAACCATTCCGGGCCCGCAGCCGGGTGCCCGCCCCAAAGCCCCCACCCCTGCCGCGGGCAGGGCACGCCGGAGCCCCGCAGCAGTCCCCGGGGCTCCCCTCGAGGGTACGGAGCCCGGGCAGGGAGCCACCGGCCGGCTCCCAAACTGCACCGGCCGCGCCTCCTCTGCCGCACGTGTGCGGCCCATGCCGCCGTCACCCGTCCGTCACCTCCGCGGCCGTCGCTTCCCGCCGTCAGCAGCTCCTTGGACACTGGGACTCCTGAGGAATCCCGGGTGGGCGACGAACAACTCGGGCTAGCCTTGGGCTTGCCATGGACCTCCATGCTTCCCTCAAGCCTGCACTCTCAGGCCCGGATGCAGGAAAAAGGCTCGGGTAAGGGGGCGGGGAGAGGGCCGCGATTGGAGGAAACTGCGGTGGGCGGAGTAAGGAGCGGAGAGAGAGGCGGGGCGAGCGTGGTGCAGCCTGGAGGCTGCGCGGGAGCAGGGGCCATTCCTACTCCTGGGAAAAAGAAAGGTTCAGACACTGTCATAGGAAAAAACAGCGGGCAAGGCTCGATTTCGCCAAATTCGGGCATAAAGAGCATAACATTAGGCTTCCCTCCTCTTTATCCTTTTTTATTAAATTTTTTTTTAATTGGTGAAAAAACACGTAACAAAATCTACCATCTTAACCATTTTTAGTTGTACAATTCAGTGGTGGCAGACCTCTAGATCATTTTCATCTTGCAAAACTGAAACCTTATACCCATTTACCCCTACTCCAGTCCCTTGGTAACCACCATTCTACTTTCTTCTTTGTTTCTTTCTTTTTGAAACAGCCTTGCTCTGTCGCCCAGGCTGGTGCCTCAGCCTCCCAAGTAGCTAAGATTACAGGTGCACACTACCACGCCCGGCTAATTTTTGTATTTTTGTATAGAGACGGGTTTTCACCATGTTGGCCGGGCTGATCTTGATTTCCTGACCTCGGGAGATCCACCCACCTTGGCCTCCCAAAGTGCTGGGATTACAGGCGTGAGCCATCATGCCCAGCTACCATCGTTCTACTTTCTGTTACTATGAGCTTGACTACTTCAGATACATTATGTAGGTGGAATCATACAGTACTTGCCTTTTTGTTACTAATTTCACTTAAAATAATACCCTCAAGGTTTAGACATGTTGTAGCACATAACAGGATTCTCTTCTTTTTTAAGCCTGAATAATATGCCATTGTATGTATATACCACATTTTCTTACCATTGATCTCTCAACAGGCGTGCTGGTTGCTTCCACCTCGTGGTCATTGTGAACGCTGCTGCAATGAACATGGTGGTACAAATATCTCTTAGAGACCCTGCTTTTCAATGCTTTGGGATACATACCCAGACATGGGATTACTGGATAATAGGGTAATTCTACTTTTTAGGTTTTTGTGAAGCCTCCGTATAGTTTTTCATAGTGGCTGCACCATTTTACATTCCCACAGTGCACAAGAGTTCCAATTTCTCCACATCCTTGTCAATATTTCCTTTTTCTGTTTGGTTGCTTCTTTCTTTTTGACAGTGAGCATCCCAGTGAGTGTGAAGTGATATCTTGAAGTTTTGGTTTGCATTTCTCTAATGATTTAGTGATGCTGAACACCTTTTCATGGGCTTGTTGGCCATTTATATATCTTCTTTGGAGAAATGACTATTCAACTCCTTTACCCATTTTTTAATCTGGTTATTTGTGTTTTTGTTGTTGAGTTGTAGGAGTTATTTATATATTCTGGATATTAACCCTTTATCGGATATATGATTTACAAATATTTTCTCCCATTCTGTAGGTTGCCTTTTCACTCTATTGCTTCCTTTCCTGTTTGTTCTTTTAACAGTCTTTATTGACCACCTGCAGTATGCCCAGACCCCTCTTATATAGGATTCAAAGCAGAAGCAGCAGAAACCTTGGACCAATCTTTTCTGCTTATTTCTGACAGTGCAGAGGCTCCAGAATCAGCCTGGAGTGGATTAAATCCAGTGTCATATTATTCATTTAGTAGCTGTGACTTTGGGCAGATCACTCCCTGAGCGTCTGTCCTTCTCTGCAGAATCAGGATAATAATACTTCATGGGGATGTTATAAGGAATAAAAGAGGAAAAGGAGTAAAATGTATGTAATGGCACTGGTGATACAGAATTATTGGGCTCCCAGCTAAACCCCACTCTAAAGCATGGAACTGTGGCCCTAAGTGACAATAGCTGACCCCATTTTTCGCCCAAATGTTGCCTTTTTAGCCTGCCATTCCCATATCCTGCGCCCATAAAAGGACCAGCTGACAGAGCAATATGAATGGCTAAGTGTTGGGGATACAAGAAGAGACTACAGATAGCTGCGGCCAACTTCAGATGGTGCGACTTCAGGGAAAGATCACCTTCTTCCCCCACCATCCCCTTTCCTATTCCCCATTCCACTGAGAGCCACATCCATTGCCCAATAAAATCCTCCACATATACTACCCTTCAGTCCGTTCATGTGACCTGATTCTTTCTGGACAGCAGACAAGAACCCATGAGGGCAGGGGCTGGGACATTGCTCCAGAGCCCACACACAGCCTGCTCTCACCAGAGAGGAGTGACCGGTGAGTTCCAGCATTCGTATTTTCGCTCTGGGTCCTGCACTCACTTGCACGCTCCCTCTTGTGAGGAGTGACAAGCAGCAGGCTAAGTGAAATGAGCCATTCCAGTTCCTGCCCATGAAGGGGGTCAAGGTCGAGGTATAATACCATCTCACTGGTAGCAGCATTATTATGTTCATCATAATAAATTAACACTATATTATACGAAGTTACAAAAGCTAGGCCACAAAGAATTATGACAGAAATAACAGTAGGCACTGAGGAAGAAAACACTGATTAATGGGCCTGGTGCGGTGGCTCATTCCTGGAATCCCAGCACTTTGGGAGGCTGAGGCGGGCGGATCACGAGGTCAGGAGATCAAGACCATACTGGCTAACAGGGTGAAACCCCGTCTCTACTAAAAATACAAAAAATTAGCCGGGCGCGGTGGTGGGCGTCTGTAGTCCCAGCTACTCGGGAGGCTGAGGTAGGAGAATGGCATGAACCCAGGAGGTGGAGCTTGCAGTGAGCCGAGATCACGCCACTGCAGTCCAGCCTGGGCAACAGAGCGAGACTCCATCTCAGAAAAAAAAAAAAAAAAAAAAAAACTGATTAATGCATTTTAAAAGTTATTTCACTATCTTCCTACTTCCAGTTAAAACCTATTAAATCTAGAGATCCTTTGCATTCCCAGCACTGAGCTTGTAATAGGTACACAGTTAATGATTAATCTGTGTTTGATGAATGAAAGAACAAAAAGAAGATGAACAAATGTATAATTGTTAATTAACTGTTTGATTGATTGACCACCTCAACAAACCTGGATTCTAGACACTGGAAATTTCCTCAAATCACTTTTGTGAATGGTTGGTTGAGATCTGAAGTACCCCACAGGTGCAGCGCCATACAAAATGAGTGGGGCATTTGTATTAGCCTGTTCTTGCATTGCTATAAGGAAATAGCCAAGACTGGGAAATGTATAAATAAAAGTGGTTTAATTGGCTCACCATTCTGCAGATTGTACAGGAAACATGATGCTAGCATCTGCTAAGCTTCTTGGTGGGGGCTTCAGGAAACCAACAGTCATGGTAGAAGGCAAAGGGGGAGCAGGCACATCACATGGCCAGAGCAGGAGCAAGGAAGACTGAGCAAGGTGGCCAGGCGTGGTGGCTCACACCTGTAATCCCAGCACTTTGGGAGGCCAAGGTGGGTGGATCACCTGAGTTCAGGAGTTCGAGACCAGCCTGGCCAACATGGTGAAACCCCGTCTCTATGAAAAACACAAAAATTAGCCAGGCATGGTGGCAGGTGCCTGTAATCCCAGCTACTTGGGAGGCTGAAGCAGGAGGATCACTTGAGTCAGGGATGAAGAGGTTGCAGTGAGCCGAGATCATGCCACTGCACTCCAGGCTGGGCAACACAGTGAGACTTCATCTTAAAAAAAAAAAAAAAAAAGAGAGAGAGAGAGTGAGCAAGTTGCCACACTCAGTATCGTGAGGACGGTACGAAACCATTCATGAGAAATCCACCCCCATAACCCAATCACCTCTTACCAGGCCCCACCTCTAATACTGGGGATTACATTTCAACATAAGATTTGGGCAGGGACACACATCCAAACTATGTCAACACTGCTAGTTTGTAAGAATAGCTTAGAAATGAAGACATTCAGATCTTTCCAAGATAGTGTAGAAAATGCACTGGCAGAATTTAGTCTCCCTTCCAGAAAATTATGTTGTTAACCAAAAGAGCAGTTTTGTAAAATATGAAGGTAAATATAAAACATAGTTTCTCTACTTCTAATCTCTTTAAAAGATAATTGAGTGTTTAAAGCAAAAAAATATGTATCGTGGGGTTTATAACAAATATAGAAGCAAAAAGTATGGCAAGAATAGCACAGAAAATGGAGGTGGTAAATGGAAATAAATGTTGTAAGGATCTTATATTTTATGTGAAGTGTTTTTAGTAGGGTTTGAAAATAGATGGTGATAAGTTAAAATTTTATATTGTAAATACTAGAGCAACTACAAAAAAAATTAAAAAGACCGATATCTAATCAGCCAATAGTGAAGATAAAATGGAGCCATAGGCCGGGCGCAGTGGCTCACGCCTGTATACTAGCACTTTGGGAGGCCGAGGTGGGCGGATTATCTGAGCTCAGGAATTCGAGACCAGCCTGGGCAACATGGTGAAACCCTGTTTCTACTAAAAACATAAAAAATTAGCTGGGCCTGGTGGCATGCACCTGTAGTCCCAGCTACTTGGGAGGCTGAGGCAGGAGAATTGCTTGAACCTGGGAGGTGGAGGTTGCAGTGAGCCGAGATCATGCCACTGTACTCCAGCCTGGGCAGCAGAGTGAGACTCCGTTTCCAAAAAAAAAATGGTGCCATAAAATACATTCAATTAATCCAAAAGAAAGCAACATAAAAAATAAAGAGGAACAAAGAACATTTGGGACAAATAGAAAACAATGTCATAGTACAGGTAAGCGATACTCATTTCAGTAATGACATTAGATGTAAATTGGTGTCTTCCTCCATTTGGGCTGCTATAACAAAATGCCATAAACTGGGTAGCTTATAAATAAAAGAAATGTATTTCTCACAGTTCTAGAGGCTGGAAAGTGCAAGACCAAAGTACTAGGAGATTTGGTTTCTGGTGAGGGCTCACACTCTGATTCATAGAGGGCCCCTTCTTGCTGCATTCTCACATGGTAGAAGGGACAAGGCAGCTTTATAAGGGCATCATCTCATTCATAAGGGTTCTACCTTCATGACCTAATCACCTCCTAAAGGTCCCACCTCTTACATCATCATCTTGGTGGTTAGGATTTTAACATATGAACTTTGAGAGGACACAAATATTCAGACCATAGCAATTGTTCTAAGACGTAAAGGCAAAAAAATTGACAGACTAGATAAAACAAAATCCAACTGTAGGCTCTCTGCAAGAAATTTGCTTTAACTGGAAAGATACGGTTAGGTTAAAAGTGAAGTGATTAAAAAAGATAAACTATGCAAATACTAAACAAAAATAAAGCTGAAGTAGCTATGTTGCTATCAGATAAAATAGATTTCAAAACAATATTACCAAGGATAAAAAGGGACTTTTCATAATCATAAAGAGATACATTTGTCATGATGATATAACAATAATTGTGTTTGCACCTAATAACAGAGCTTTATAAAATAAGAAGCAAAAACTAATAGAACTAAAAGGAGAAACAGACAAATATTATATTACTTTTGGAGATTTCAACACTCTCCTCTCAGAAATTGGTATAGAACAAGTAGACATAAAACCAATAAGTATAAAGAAGACTTACTATCAACCAACTTAACCTAATTGACATACAGACCCTGCAACAGCAGAATATACATTGTTTGAACTGTTCACAGCAATCAATGACATAGATCATATGCAAGGCCATAAAACAAGTCAAAAAACATGAAAATAACTGAAATAATACAGAGTCAACTGATCTCAACTAAACTAAGCTAGAAATCAATAACAAAAAGATATTTTGACAACCTCCAAATATTTGGAAATTAAACAATTCAGTTCTAAAATACTCATGAGTCAAATAAAAAATACAAGGGAAGTTATAAAATATTTTGAGCAAAATTAAAATGAAAACACAAAATATCAAAGTTTGTGTGATAAAGCAAAAGCAGTGCAACGAGGAAAATTTATAACATTAAATGCTTATATTTAAAAAGAAAGTCTCAAAAATTTATCTAAGCTTCAGCATTCGCTAGAAAGGAGCAAATTAAATTCAAAGCAAGTAGAAGGAAGAGAATAATAAAGAGCAGAGTAAAATAAGAAATAAACACAATAGAAAAATATATATAAAAAAAGCTGACTATTTGGAAAAAAATCTGTAAATTGATAAACTTGTATCCAGACTAATCAGGAAAAAAAAAAGAGAGGACACAAATTATCAGTAAAAAAAAAAATGAAAGAGGAATATTATTACAAATTTAGCACACATCAAAAGGATAAGAGAATATTCTGAAAAATTTTAGCAATAAGATTTTTAATTTAGATGACATGTATAAATTCTATGCAAGACACAAACTGCCACAACTCATTCAAGAAATATAGGTAACCTGAATAGCCTCATATCTTCTATTAAAAAGTTCATATTTGAAAATCTTCTCATAAAGAAAACATCAGCCACAACACTGATATGTCAAAGGAAACTTTTAGGAAAGAAATAATAGAGGTTCTACATAAACTCATCCAGAGAATAAAAGAAATGATTACACTTCTCAGCTCATTTTATGAGGTGAGCTTGATATTAAAATCAGACAAAGACATTACGGGAAAACTATAGACCAATATTCCTTATCATAGATGCAAAAATTCTTAACAAAATTGTAGTAAGTAAATTTCTTTATGTATAAAAAAGATAATATTTTGTTACCAAGTATAATTATCCAAGAAATGGAAGGTTGTTTTAACTTTAGAAAATCTATCAGTATGATTTATCCTAATAGCAGACTGAGGCGAAAAAAACTATTTCACCATCTCAGTAGAAGCAAAAAAATCTTTTGACAAAATTCAATACCTATTCATGATAAAAAGCTCTTGGCAAACTAGTAGTAGAGGAGAATTTCCATAACCCAGTAAAGGACATCTATGAGAAATCAACAGTTAACATCATAAATATTTTTCCTCTGATTTTGAGAACAAGGCAAAGAGGTTCACTCTCACCACTTCTAATTAGCAATTAACTAGAGGTCTTTACTGCTGCAATAAGGCAAGAAAAAGAATAAAAGGCATAAAGATTGGAAAGAAGGGATTATAACTGTTTTTATTCACAAATGAGATGATCATCTATATAGAAAATCCTAAGTTTTATCAGTTTTATTGATTTTTTCCAAAGATCCAGCTACAAAAAATATTAGAATTAATAGATAAATATGGGAAGGTAGCATGATATGAAGTCAATATGCAAAATCAACCATTTTTCTATATGCTAACAACAAGCAATGGGAAATTAAAATAACTTTATTCACAATATAAACACAAAATATATAGGGATAGAATTATGAAAATATGTGAAAGGTGATTACAGTGAAAACTATAAGAGCTTCGTTAAAGAAATTAAAGAACAGCTAAATAGAGAAGTATACCATGTTAATAGGTCAGAAAACTCATTACTGTTATGATGTCAATTCTCCTCAAATGAATTCATAGGCCCAATGCAGTCTAGTCAAAATCTCAGCAAGCTGTTTTGTAAAAATTGAGAAACTGGATTTAAAATTTATATGAAAACGAAAAGAACTTTCATTTATATGAAAATGAAAAGGGAAAACATTTCTGAAAGAGAAGAATAAAGTTTTAGGACATAACACTGTCTGGTTTGAGAACATATTATAAAGATAACGAGTCAAAACAGAGTGGTATTGGTGTAAAGACAGACTATTAGATTAGTGGAACAGCATAGAAATCCAAGAAATAGGTCCACACATATATAGTTAATTGATTTTCGACATAGGTATCAAGGTAATATAATTGGGAAAAGGTACTCTTTTTAATAAATGGTCTTGGAATAATTGGATCCATATGCAAAATAATGAATCTTGATTCTTACCTCACACCACAAATGTAATTTAAATCTAAATGAATCAGAAAGGCAAACTTGACCTAAAAGTATAAAACTTCTAGAAAAAAAGAGAAAATACTTGTAACCTTCATTTAGGCAGAGCTTTCTTAGATAAAACATGCTATTATCCTTTCAAAATTCATAGGTTGAAATCCAAGGTGATGGTACTAAGAGATGGGGCCTTTAGAGGTGATTAGGTCATGAGGACAGAGCTCTCATGGATGAGATTATTGTCCTTATAAAAGAAGCCCCAGAGAGCAATCTTGCCCCTTCCACCAAGTGAGGATATAGCAAGAAGGGGCCATCTATGAACCTGAGAGCAAGCTCTTCCTCACCAGACACCAAATCTGCCAGTATCTTGATCTTGAACTTCCCAGCTTCCGGAAACGTTAAGAAACAAATTTCTATTTTTTGGTCATCGGCAAAGTCTGAGTCCTGTCCTTTCGCCTGCCTCCCCAGACACCATGAGCTTCACCACTCGCTCCACCTTCTCCACCAACTACCGGTCCCTGGGCTCTGTCCAGACGCCCAGCTATGGCGCCTGGCCAGTCAGCAGTGTGGCCAGCGTCTATGCAGGCAGCAGGGGCTCTCATTCCCGGATCTCTGTGTGCTGCTTCACCAGCTTCCGGGTTGCATGGGGTCCGGGGGCCTGGCCGCGGGGATGGCTGGGGGTCTGGCAGGAATAGGAGGCATCCAGAACGAGAAGGAGACCATGCAAAGCCTGAACGACTGCCTGGCCTCCTACCTGGACAGAGTGAGGAGCCTGGTGACCAAGAACCAGAAGCTGGAGAGCAAAATCCGGGAGCACGTGGAGAAGAAGGGACCCCATGTCAGAGACTGGAGCCATTACTTCAAGATCATCGATGACCTGAGGGCTCAGATCTTTGCAAACACTGTGGACAATGCCTGCATCGTTCTGCAGATCGACAATGTCTGTCTTGCTGCTGATGACTTTAGGGTCAAGTATGAGACAGAGCTGGCCATGGCCCATGACATCCATGGGCTCCGCAAGGTCATTGTTGACACCAATGTCACTCGGCTGCAGCTGGAGACAGAGATTGAGGCTCTCAAGGAGGAGCTGCTCTTCATAAAGAAGAACCACAAAGAGGAAGTAAAAGGCCTACAAGCCCAGATTGCCAGCTCTGGGTTGACCATGGAGGTAGATGCCCTTAAATCTCAGTGCCTCGCCAAGATCATGGCAGACATCTGGGCCCAATATGACGAGCTGGCTCGGAAGAACCAAGAGGAGCTGGACAAATACTGGTCTCAGAAGAATGAGGAAATCGCCAAAGTGGTCACCACGCAGTCCGCCGAGGTTGGAGCTGCTGAGATGACGCTCACAGAGCTGAGATGTACAGTCCAGTCCTTGGAGGTTGACCTGGACTCCATGAGAAGTCTGAAGGCCAGCTTGGAGGACCGCCTGAGGGAGGTGGAGGCCCGCCACACCCTGCAGATGGAGCAGCTCAATGGGATCCTGTTGCACCTGGAGTCAGAGCTGGCACAGACCCTGGCAGAGGGACAGTGCCAGGCCCAGGAGTACGAGGCCCTGCTGAACATCAAGGTCAAGTTGGAGGCTGAGATCGCCACCTACCGCCGCCTGCTGGAAGATGGCGAGGAGTTCAATCTTGGTGATGCCCTGGACAGCAGCAACTCCATGCAAACCATCCAAAAGACCACCACTGCCGGATAGTGGGTGGCAAAGTGCTGTCTGAGACAAAGGACACCAAAGTTCTGAGGCATTAATCCAGCAGAAGCAGGGTACCCTTTGGGGAGCAGGAGGAAAATAAAAAGTTCCGAGGTCAAAAAAAGATGAAATTTCTATTTGTTATAGTCCATCCAGTTTATGTAATTTGTTACAGCAGCCTGAATGGAATAAGACAAGACGTAAAAGTTATAATCATACAAGAAAAATGAATAAATTTTCTCCAAAAAAATTAAAATCTTTTGCTCTTGAAAGATGCTACTCTAAATGAAAAGGTAAGCCAAGACAGGGAGAATATATTTCCCAAACCTACATCTAATGAAATACAGGCATGCACTGCACAGTAACATTTCAGTCAACAGTGGACCATATATTCAAAGGTGTTTTCATATGATTATAACACCATTTTTTACTGTACCTTCTGTATGTTTAGATATGTTTAGATACACAAATACCATTGTGTTACAGTTGCCTGCAGTATTCAGTACAGTAACATGCTGCACATGCTCCTAGGTTTGTAGCCTAGGAGCAATAGGCTACACGGTATAGCCTAGGTGTGTAGTAGGCTATAGCATCTAGGTTTATGCAAGTATGCTCTACGATGTTCACATGATAAAACCAACTAATGGCACAGTTCTCAGAATGTATCCACATTGTTAAATGATGCATGACTGTACTTGTATCTGAAAAATATAAACACTATTACAATTCAATATTAAGAAGGCAAATGATCCAATAAAAGTGGGCAAAAAAGCTCAATAGATACTTCATCAAAGAAGGGATACAAATGTAAAACAAATAGAAAGAGGTGTAACATCATTGGTCATTATAAAAATGCAAATTAAAGCTACAGTGAAAAAACACTACTATTTCTATTAGAATGGCTAAAACTAAAAAGATTAGAAATACCTTGTTGGTTAGGATGTGGGGCAATTCAGTGGTTTTCAGCTGTGAGTCATTTTGCCCCAAAGGACATTTGATAATTCCTGGAGACATTGTTGAGCATCACAATCAGCAGGGAGCTACTGGCATCTAATGCATAGAGGTCAGGGAGCTATACATTCTACAAAGCAAAGGACAGCTTCCAGAACAAAGAATTATCTGGGTCAAAATGTCAATAGTGCAAAGGTTAAGAAACCTTGAATAAACATACGTGTGCACGTGTCTTTATAGCAGCATGATTTATAATCCTTTGGGTATATACCCAGTAATGGGATGGCTGGGTCAAATGGTATTTCTAGTTCTAGATTCCTGAGGAATCACCACACTGTCTTCCACAATGAAAACACTTGGACACAGGAAGGGGAACATCACACACCGGGGCCTGTTGTGGGGTGGGGGGAGGGGGGAGGGATAGCATTAGGGGATATACCTAATGTAAATGATGAGTTCATGGGTGCAGCACACCAACATGGCACATGTATACATATGTAACAAACCTGCACGTTGTGCACATGTACCCTAGAACTTAAAGTATTATATATACATATATATATATATATATATATATATATATATATATATATGGAATCCTTGAAACAACTGGGAACTCTCATACATTGTGGGAGGGAAAATGAAATAGTATAATCATGTGGGAAAATAGGTTAGCAGTTTCTTATAAATGTACGTGTACCCTATGACACAGAAATTCCATTCCTAGGTATTTGTCATATGGCAGACAGTCTCCAGCATAGCCTCCAGGGATCCCATCTCCTGGTATTTATGTCCTTATGTAATCTCCTCCTCTTGAGTATGGACTAAATATAGTGAATTGCTCCTAATGAATAAAATACAGTAAAAGTAATGGGGTGTTACATCTGAAATTAGACTACAAAGAGACTGTGACTTCTGTTTTTCTGCTTTCTGTCACTCTGAGAGAAGCCAACTGACGTGTTGTGAGTTACCCTGTATGAGTTCCACATGGCAAGGAACTGAGATTGGCCTCCAGTCAATACCCAAGGCGGAACTGAGACTTTCAGTTCAATGCCCACAAGGAACTGAATCCTGTCAGTTCCTTGTATGAGTTTCTTGCGTAAGAGAGCTTGGAGGCAGGTCCTTACCTGGCGAAGCCATTTTTCTTTTTCTTTTTTTTTTTTCTCTTGAGACAGAGTCTCACTCTGTCATCCAGGCGGAGTGCAGTGGCATGATTTCGGCTCACTGCAACCTCCCGCCTCCCAGGCTCAAGTGATCCTCCCAGCTCAGCCTCCCCAGTAGTTGGGACTATAGGCACATGCCAACTATGCCTGGCTAATTTTTTAATTTTTTGTAGAAGTGGAGTCTCACATTGCTGCCCAGGCTGGTCTCAAACTCCTGGGCTCAAGCGATCCTCCTGCCTCTGCCTCCCAAAGTGCTGGGACTACAGGTGTGAGCCACCATGCCAAACCTGGTTGAGCCTTTTGATGAAACTACAGTTCTACCAACAGCTTAACTGCAACCTCTTGAAAGACCTTGAACCAGAGTCACCCAGTTACGGTGGTGAGCATTTTACAGCAGAATTGAGGCTAAACAATGGGAATAAGTTTGAAAGAATAATGTTTAATTGGCCGGGCACGGTGGCTCATGCCTGTAATCCCAGCACTTTGGGAGGGCAAGGCGGGTGGATCACCTGAGGTCAGGAGTTCAAGACCAGCCTGGCCAAAATGGTGAAACCCCATCTCTACTAAAAATATAAAAACTAGCCAGGTGTGGTGGTGGGTGCCTGTAATTCCAGATACTTGGGAGGCTGAGGCAGGAGAATTGCTGGAACCCAGGAGACGGAGCTTGCAGTGAGCCGACACGGTGCCACTGCTCAGTGACAGAGTGAGACTCCATCTCAAAAAAAAAAAAGTATTTAATTTTTGTAGGTATTGATACTGTAGATATAATATAAAAATCAAAAATGGGGAGAAGGCTGAAACTATCTGAGAAGAAAAAATATTGCTTTTAAAAAATGAAATAAAAAGTATGTTACATTAGGTGTTCGGGACAAGGGGAGACAGAAAAGAGGAGTTACTAGCTAATTTTAATACCATTGATAGTAGGAAGATAAAAGACAATATCAAAATAAGAGTAGTCTGAATAGTATCATATAAAGTTATTAGAACAAAATACAAATCTTCCTAAATACTAAAATAAACAGAAGCAGAAAAAGGAGAGCAAATAAAACAGACTTCATAGGAAAGACTTCATATGATTTATAAAGACAAAACTGAGATGAAGCATATCAATTGTATTACTACATGCAAATAGGCTTAACTCATTTATAAGAGAAAAAGAATTTTCAGATTGGATAAGTAGTCGAAATTCAATTCTATGCTGGATAGAAATGACTTACCTAGGCTGGGCACGGTGACTCACACCTGTAATCCCAGCACTTTTGGAAGGCAAGGTGGGCGGATCACCTGAGGTCAGGAGCTCAAGACCAGCCTGGCCAAAATGGCGAAACCCCATCTCTACTAAAAATACAAGAAAAAAAAATTGCTGGGCATGGTGGTGTGCGTCAATAATCCCCAGCTACCCAGGAGGCTGAGGCTGTAGAATTGCTTGAATCCAGGAGGCAGAAGTTTCAGTGAGCCCAGATCGCACCATTATACTCCAGTCTGGGTGACAAGAGCAAAACTCTCATCTAAAATAAAAGATAAAATAGTAAAAATAAGAGGATGATTACATATAAACCAGGCATATGCAAGTAAAAACAAAGTGGAGTACAATTTTGTTATTAGACAAGCAAAAATTCAAAAAGAGACAAAAAGACACATTATGATGCTAAATGACACGATCTAAACAAGGAAACCATCATTCATATTCGTGTGCCTAATAACACAGCAACAACCATTAAAAAGCAGAAAGTAAAAGGAATAAAAAGAGACATAAGCAAAAACTCTAATAATTGGAAGTTTAATACCATTTCTCAGAAAAGAATAGACCCAGTTAGACAAAAAAATTAGTATGGATTTAGAGGAGCTAAATAAAATCATTGATAAAGTAGATCTAGTAAATATATATTGAACACTGAACCCTGATAATAGAGATTAAACTTTCTTCTGAAGTCACATGGAGTATTCACAAAATTGAAATATCATAGGCCACAAAGAAAATCTCAATGAATTCCAAAAATACAAATGATATAAGTTATATTCTGTGACCACAATTAAATATAATTTTAAAATAGTGACATTTTTAATAAAAGTCTCTTCTACCTAAAACTGTAAAAACATATTTCTAAGCAATCTTTGAATCGAAAAGAAATAGTAAAAAAAAACTGCAAAAAAAGCTAATTTTACTATTATTATTTTTGAGACAGGGTCTCATTCTGTCTCCAGGGCTGGGGTGCAGTGGCATGATCTTGGCACAATGCTAATAAGAATCTCATCGGGTATTTTTTCCCTTTGAGTGAGAAAATGGATTATAAAGTTTGTATAAAAAGATAAGACAATAGCCATAAGACAGGCTCTGAACAAGAAGAGCAATGCAGGGGGAAGGGAGCTGCTTCTGGTACAGGAAAATGATATGAAAAAAAGATAAACTGTTAAACATTTTAAGATTTTAAAAAGAATATAAATATAAGAAATTTGTTGGTTGATTTGCATGTATGTTACAGTCATTATTATGGGCAAGCTCTAATCATATGAAACTGAACCTGGACCTTATTGCTGATTGGCTGTTACAATGAATTGAATCATCTTAATTTTTAGTAGTGTTATTGGTATGGTTATTTAAAAACTGCTATATAGATATTCTTAGATAAAGCAAATAAGTAATTATACTAATATTTGGATCTCAGATTTTGTTTTGGGTTTTGTTTGCTTTTTGAGATGGGGTCTCACTCTGTTGCCCAGGCTGAAGTGCAGTGGCACGATCTTGGCTCACTGCAACCTCCACTTCCCCAACTCAAGCAATCCTCCCAAGTAGCTGGGATTACAGGCGTGTGCCACCACTCCTAATATTTTTTGTATTTTTGGTAGAGACAGGGTTTCACCATGTTGCCCAGGCTGGTCTTGAACTCCTGAGCTCAAGCAATCCATTCGCCTAGGCCTCCCAAAGTGCTGGCATTACAGACATGAGCCACCGCTCCTTGCCAGATCTCAGATTTTTTGTACAAGAAAAAAAAAATCAGTAACCGACCCACTCCTGTAATCTTAAATTTGAACTGGCAATATGTGTATAAATTCCTGAGTTTCGTTTCGAAAAAAAAATTGAAACTCTTTTCAGGAAATTGAGGGAAATGAGGTAAAATAAGATTGGCATTTAAAAGTTAAAATGTCAAAGTAACAAACTTGAGTCATAGGCCCAAACTAGCTGAGACAAGGGAAGTGGAATTTTCTGAATCAGGTCCCACTCCTGCAGCTGGCCGGAGGACGGGACCAATCCCACCCAGAAGGCAGAGCTGTAGCTTTAGGGGAGGATGCAAGGAAATCAGGGAGGCACCCACAGGTCTACTACAGACAATAATATTTGCAATGTGTAATTCTGGGGATAATTTTGAGGTTTTTCTAAAAGGTTTTCATCTTTCAGCTTCAGTTTTTATCTTCAGGAGACTATCCAAACTGAGTATTTAGGCTGGTAAGTTTTCAAATTGCTATTACCTGGCCCTTAGGAACAATTATGTATTTAATTTAATTACCTAATTTTGCCAATTAAAACTATTTTATCTCTAGAGACATGTATATTAATGCTGAAAGTTATGGTGTAATTATAGTGCAAATCATTTATTTTGGTTAGCTCTTAACCTATTTTGATCGTATGGATAAAATAAAGCATTTGCGTCAAAGGAATGCTTTGATTTCTAGCAACATAATATTTCCACTGGTGGAGAAGCAGGATTTTATTTCTAGTAGACTACTATTCTGAAGAGTAGCCATCTTAAACTGGACTTAGCTTCATTCTCTGCCTCATGTGCTGGAATTTTTAAATTAGTTTTTTAAGTGTTGAATTTTGAACATAGCGTAGGGCATCATTTCTTCCTCAAAATTTCACCCATGGCATGGCATTAAAAACTGGTGTTCAATTCTGCTAAATATCAATGAATCAGAAATGACAACTTAGTAACAAAGGGTGAAAATGTGCACAGGCAGGTGGGTGGGCAGTGTCTTTTTGAGAGTCTTGCTCTGTTGCCCAGGCTGCTGGAGTGCAATGGTGTGATTACGGCTCACTGCAGCCTTGAACTCCTAGGTTCAAGCAGTCCTCCCGCCTCAGCCTCCTGGGTGGCTGGGACCATGCCTGGCTCATTTTTAAAATTTTTTTTTTGTAGAGATGAGGTCTCACTATGTTGCCCAGACTGGTCATGAACTCCTGGCCTCTACAGATCCTCTTGCCTCGGCTTCCCAAAGTGCTGGGTTTACAGACCTGAGCAACAGCACCTGGTCAGGGGGAATGTCTTACTCTGTTCAAGCTGCTGTAACAAAATACCTTGGACTGGGTAATTTGTAAACAATAGAAATGTATTGCTCACAGTGATGGAGGCTAGGAAGGTGCCAGCAGTTAGTGTCTGGCAAGGGTTCACTCTCTGCTTCAAAGACGGTGCCTTTTTGCTGAGACTTCACATGGCAGAAGGGGTGAACAAGCTCCCTTAGGCCTCTTACATAAGGACACTAATCCCATTCTTGAGGACAGAGCCCTCATGGCCTAATCACCTCCCAAAGGCCTCATCTCTTAATACTATCACCTTGGGGGTTAGGTCTCAATATATGAATTTGAGGTGGGGGGACACAAAGATTCAGATTTATAGCAGGGGAGAACAATTTCCTATAATTCATTGTTTTTTGATTAACAGTATTTGTTCCATTTTAATCAATTTTAGTTATTTTTATTCCCGTGTAGTTCTTCTCCAGGATCTTGTTCTAGCAAAACAAAGTATATCGGGCTAGGTCACTAGCATTTCCTCAAAACTATTTAGGAGACATAGGAATAATTAGGCCGATGTCTATGCATTCTGATGATTTGTTTTATGACAGGTGTACAATCTGATAGAAACTATCAGAAGAGAGACTACATAGAAGAATTAATAATGGGAGAGGACTGCAAGGAAACTTTCTTTTTTACATCAGTAAATTGTGTACAGTTTGTACTGTTCCTTTTTCCTCATCCTACACTACCTGTTTTTTATCTATTTCATGTTAAGAACATTTTGCAAGTTTACATATTCTGATTACAAACCGTTACAGGGCCCCTAGTTGCTCTCTGGGACAGAGAGGTCTCAATTATTTCAAAATGAATACTTTCATATAGTCACAACAGCTGTCTTTCCCTTTGAAGCTGCCCAAACACACCACCTACACACTGCCTATCAGTTCCTGATTTATTTAGCCAAGAATACGGGGAATATGGGAAAAAGGGGTGGCTACAGAGAACAGGAACAGAAAGGGCATATCTTTGTAGGGCTTTTACCTCTTCGCATTGGCTTTTACCTTTGTAGGGCTTTTACCTCTCTGCCCTGCCAAAGTAGCTTGCTATGTGCCTGTCCCACTTTTTTTTTTTTTTAATTTTTTTTTTAGAGATGGAGTCTTGCTCTGTTGCTCAGGCTGGTGCAGTGACACGATGATAGCTCACAGTAACCTCAAACTTCTCAGTAGCTGGCACTACAGGTACCCTATTTTGTACCTTTTTATTTTGATATAATTTCAAATTTACAAACAAGTTGCAACAGTAGTATAACTCCTGTATACCTTTTACATAGATTAAAACATGGGTACATTGTGCTCCATTTTTTTTTTTGCTTTATCACATCTCGTTCTTTCTATCTCTTTCTTCCTGCTCCCAAACTTAAAAAAAAAAAAAAATTCAAGGGCAAGTTGTAGACTGTATGCCTATTTATCCCTAAATACTTCAGTGTATAAATTCTAAGTACAACAATATTCTCATATACCTAGAGAACAATGATCAAAAGCAGAACATTTAACATACAGTACTACTATGGAATCTAGTGTGTGTTTCCAAATTTCAGTTGTCTCAATAACGTCATGTACAGCTTCATTTTTTTTCCAAGTACAGGATCCAACATAAGATCGTGCATTGCACCCAGTCTTCTCTCATCAATCTGTGACAGTGCCTCAGTCATTTTTGTCTTTTGGGGCTTTGACATTTTTTAAGAGGATAGGCTACAGAATTTTTAGAATGTCCCTCAGTTTAGGTCTGTCTGCTGTTTCCTCAGGATTAGATTCAGATTATACGTTTTTGCCAAGAACACCACAGAAGTGATACTGGGTCTTTCTCACTGTATCATACCAGGAGGCCCATGATGTAGATTTGTCTCATTACTGGTGATGTTAACTTTAATCACATGGGTAGGGGTGATTACTATTAATCACCCCTGAACTTGAAGGGTGACCCTTACTGGTGATGTTAACTTTAATCACATGGGAAAGGGTGATTGTTACAAATCACCCTTGAAAATAATAAGGAATGGCCGGGCGCGGTGGCTCACACCTGTAATCCCAGCACTTTCGGAGGCCGGGGTGGGTGGATCATGAGGTCAGGAGTTCGAGACCAGCCTGACCAACGTGGTGAAACCCCGCCTCTACTAAAAATACAAAAAAAAAAATTAGCTGGGTGTGGTGGTGCACGCCTGTAATCCCAGGTACTCAGAAGGGCTGAGGCAGGAGAACTGCTTCAACCCGGGAGGTGGAGGTTGCAGTGAGCCGAGATCGCACCACTGCACTCCAGCCTGGGCGACAGAGCAAGACTCCATCTCAAAAAAAAAAAAAAAAAAAAAGAAAGAAAGAAAGTAGTAATACTTTCCTCTTTGTAATTAACAAGTATTTGTGGGGATATATGTCAACATCCTGTCCCTTACCAAACTTTCACTCCTGAATTTTTCTGTCTACTAATGATTTTCTAATGCTTTTATTTGTTCTTTATGTATTAGTTGATATTCTACTGTGAGGCAGAGCTTTCTGTTCTCCCATTTACTTATTTATTTGTATCAGTTTTGAGACATGTATCTTTATTTAACGAGCTTTAGTCCATTACTATTACATTTGATATAACAGTAATTTTATTATACTTGATACTAAAATTGTCCAAGTAGAACTTGTTCACTATGCAAATATCTCCTTTTTATATATGTCCATCATTCTTTCTTTTTGTTTTTCTTTTTTGAGACGGAGTCTTGCTCTCTCACCCAGGCTGGAGTGCAGTGGCACAATCTTGGCTCACCGCAACCTCCGCCTCCCGGGTTCAAGTGATTCTCCTGACTCAGCCTCCTGGGTAGCTGGGATTACAGGCACACCACCACCTTGCCCAGCTAATTTTTGTATTTTCAGTAGAGCTGGGGTTTCTCTATGTTGGCCAGACTGGTCTTGAATTCCTGACCTCAAGTGATCCACCCTCCTCGGCCTCCCAAAGTGCTGGGATTACAGGCCTGAGCCACTGCACCTGGCCAATGTCCATCATTCTTTAAGCACTTCCTTAATTTCTGGTGCAATCCATTATTTCAAGCTCCTTTTGTACTTTTCTATTATACTCCAGCCCTGGAACTAGCCTTTTCCCCAAGAAACACTGGTTCCTTTTCAAGTGGAGAATGGTATGTAGAAAGATACATCTGGAAGCGAAATGTGCACCTGCTACCAATATGTCCTAGCTTTTAGGTCCTCTTATTGCAGAGGGAAAGGAGGCAGACAGATACACACATGCACACACACACGCACTCATCTCCTCATAGATCTATATTTCTATATCTATTTATGCATATTTTAAAACTTAAACGATGAGAAATCTGCAGTGGTATGCCAGTTTGAATCAGCTCATAGGGCTGATTACTAAAGATTTGTAATTTTGTGAGCTGGTTTTGAAATCAGCTATGGGGCTATTTACAACATAGCAATTAGCAAATGCTACAAATCAAGGTGTGTGTATGTGTGTGTTCTTTTTTTTTTTTCTTTTCCCCCAGAGAGCCAGTTTAGCGGTACACCACTGGAAACCTTACTTTCATTCGGCGTACTCAGAAACTAGTTTCAGACCTGCTCACACATAGCACTATGAAAAGCAAATCTAGAGATCAAGATTTGTTTACAGTTCTCTTTTTTACAGGTATAATTTACATACAGTGAATTGCACAAATCTTACACGTAAAATTTGATGAGTTTTGATAAATCCATGTGCACATTTAACCCACATGCCTCTAAAGATACAGAAAATTTCCAATACCCAGAAAGTTCCCTCATGTGCCTTTCTAGTCAATTTCCTCCCACCTAAAGGCAATCACCTTTCTTTTTCTTCTCTTTCTCCTTCCCCTTGCCCCTCCCCACTCCCTTCTCCTGGTCTCTTTTTTCTCTTCTTCTTTCCTCTTTCTTCTTCTTCTTTTTTTTTTTTAAACCACAGCTGAGTTTTGCCTTCTCTAAAAACTTAATGAAATCACACAGTGTGGCTGGCATAATAATGCTCCCTACAATCCCCAAATAAGTACCTGTCCTGATTCCTGGAACCTGTTATGTTACAGGGCAAGAGGGAATTAAGGTTACAGATGAAATTAAGTTTGATAATGGCTTTAAAATAAAGATTCCTGGATTATCTGGGTGGGTCCAATATAATCACAAGGGCCCTTAAAAGTGGAAGAGGGAGGCAGGAAAAGAGAGGCAGAGAAAGATGTGAGGATGGAAGCAGGCTCAGAAATGCTACTAGGCTGGTGCAAAAGTAATTGCGGCTTTTGCCTTTGAAAGTAATGGCATAAACCGCCATTACTTTTGCACCAACCTAATACATTGCTGTCTTTGAAGAGGTATAAAAGGGGCCACAAGCCAAGGAATGTGAGTGGCCTCTAGAAGCTGGAATAAAGTTCTCCCTTAGAACCTCTACAAGGAATGCAGCCCTGCTGACACCTTGATTCTAGTGCAATGAGACATGTATTAGAACTTCTACCCTACCAAGCTGTAAGATAACAAATTCGTGTTACTTTAAGCTACTAAGTTTGTGATAATTTGGTACAGAAGCCTAGTATTTTTTTTTCTATCAGGGCCTTCTCTCTTTCAGAATGTTAGTGAGATTCACAATTTTGTTAAGCATATCCCTAATTTGTTTCATTTTATTACTGAGTAGTATCGCATTGGATGAATATACCCAAGTTAGTTTTTTCATTCTCCTGTTGATGAGCTTTTGAATCCTTTCCAGTTTTGTACTACTATGATAAAGCTGCTATCGGCAGTCTTATGCAAGTCTTCTTGTGGATAGATGAGCCTCCATTTAACGGAATGGTAACAGATAATTGAGTTTCCATAGTCCTTAAACCAAACAGTGTAGGGAAGGGCACACCCTCATCCCCCAGAAGAGCAGTCAATGCCTATATGTTCCTGAAAAATATCTTAGCCTTCAACATCCCAGTGTTGTGGAAATCCTGCCTCCTGGCAAAAACCTAACAAAATCAGGTTAAGAAAGCCAAGATACTGTAATATACAATTAAGATTTTAAAATAAATTAATAATTCTGCTAGAACCAGAATAGAAAATCAAAATGCCAGTAGCAGCACCACTAATAGTAAAGAGAGATAAATTTAAATGTATCCATTCATTGATTGCAGGGGGAAAGTTATTGAGCATTCACTTAGGGCTAACAACATCATGCTAGCCGAGATATAAAGAAGCTGTTGATAACCTAGTAGAGAAATGGACAGATAAGCAAACCTTTATGACTTGGTATTTTTAAGAGTTGATCATATTATTCAATGGCTGTTATGGAAACAAAGAGGACTGAGACCCTTAAATCCACCTGGTGGGTGTGGATCCGGGAAGATTTCTGGGAGAATAGAATGTCCTAGTTAAAGAGAACAGCAAGTCTAAGGTCTGGAGGCAGGAACTCGTGGGCATGGTTGAGGAACAACAGGGACCCAGTGAGCATTCAAGGACAGTGGACTTCTGCCTTCTCAGAGATACATTGTAAAGACAGCAGAAATAGAAATCCCTTGAAGCACTGTTGACAGCTGTTTTGAAACCTCATTTCTTGTCTTCTTAGTTTAAAAGAATTTAAACAGGAGACACATGGCATAGAGTAATTTCTTGCAAAAGAAAAAGAATATTTTGAAAGTTACATGCAGAATAGACAGCACATCCTGAGAGAGAGAATTCAGGGTGGGCTGCTTGTAAGGGTGGGGCAGCGTTGATTATTGCTGGAGAAACTCCCAGTCTTACATGGCTATTCATAAGGAGGTTGGAAGAAGTGTTACTAGTAAGCATGTTCTGGGTGGTCTTCTGGGTGCACATGCACAGTAGCTGTTCATGCTTGTTCATATGTCGCATGTCTCATTAGCATCTTAAATCTCCACCCAGGGGTTTTTTACTATTATACCGAGCAAAGGGTCAGTTTGAGGACAGGTAAAATCAAAATGTGCATGCTCTTTAGAAGGCAAAGTCCCTACTGAAGATAGCTTTGCTTGAATGAACTCAATTCCAATGCGAATACTGAGGCTTACTGTGTTGGCTGTACGGTCACCATGGTTGCTGCATTCTGAGAACATGGTCGTTTCCTTGACTACGTATCCTGCCTCAGCATTACCATGTACTTGTGGAGAAAAACTCTCAGCAGGGACCAATCAATAAGGTGCTCTGAGAGAGTACAAACATTGCACTGAAATCCTTTCAATTACTAAAAATCGCCCCTCTTTTTTTTCTGTACAAGCAGTTACCTCTTCCTGGAATACTCTTTCCTTCTTTTCTTATCCCTAGTCCTAAAATTTCTCTTAGCACGTGTCTTAGTTTAAGTTGCTGTAACAGATTATCACAGACTGGGTAATTTATAACAAACAGAAATTTATTTGGCTCACAGTTCTGGAGGCTGGAAAGTCTGAGATTGAGGGGCTGTATCTGGTGATGGCCTTCTTGGTGCTTCATAAAATGGCAGAAGGCATCGCAAAGGGGTGTGTGTGTGTGTGTGTGTGTGCGCGTGTGTGCATGTGCACACATATGTGTGTGAGAGAGAGAGAGAGCAAGCATGCATGTAAGAGAAGGCGGAACTCAGTTTTATAACAAACCCACTCTCGTGATAATGAGCCCACTCCCAAGATAACAACATTAATCTTTTCAGGAGGGCAGAACTCTCATGACCTAATCATCTCTTAATCACCCACTTCTCAACACTGTTGTATCAGGAATTAATCTGCCAACACATGAGCTTTGGGGGACACATTCAAACCACAGCAGCATGACTATTGATTCTTTAGCTTTTAGTCTAATATTACATCCTCTTAGAAGTCTTCCCTGATGTTTTTCTGCCCCTACCCCCAAACTTGGAAAGATGCTTCTGCTTTGTGTAACTATAGCCCCTCAGACTTTCCCTACCATAACTGTAGATTATTATATTGCTTATCTAATTGTCTGGCTTCCCCGATAGGCAATGCAACTGTAAACTCTGGAGTACTATTCTCATTTTACAGACGTGGAATCTGTGGCACATTGTAGGGTAAAGCCTCAATTCCGCATCTATAAAACAGGAATGAAAATAGTACCTATCTTAGAGAGTTGTCGTGAGTACTGAAGGAGTTCATAGAGACAAGGCAGTTAGAACAGTAAACCCCACTAGGTGATCTCATACCTGCCTCAAGACTTTATTCTCACAGCCGTTTCCACTGCAGCAAATGGGAATTCCATTCTTCTAGCTGCTTGAGCCAAAAACCTTGGAGGCATCTTTAACGCCTCTCTTCCTCTTAAACTCTACATTTAATCCATTAGGCAATCCTGTATTTCAGCTCTACTCTCAAACAAATGTATCAGAGTCCAGTGCTTTTCCTCTGTGCCCACCTTGGGCTGGGCTACCATCCCTCTCATCGGGATTATCACAAAAGCCTCCTCAGGGGTCTTCCTGCTTCCGCCCTGGCTTCCGCACTTGGCTCTCCACAGTGATCCCACTGAAATCTAAGTCACAGGGGGCCACTTCCACTGAGATCCTTTTAGTGGCCCTCACCTTGCTCAGAGTCAAAGCCAATGGCCTGCAAGCCCTGCCCCTAGCCACTTCTCTGACTGCATCTGCAAATCTAATTTTTTCTTTTTTTTCCCTGGAGTCTCACTCTGTTGCCCAGGCTGGAGAGCAGTGGTGCAATCTTGGCTCACTGCAACTTCCACCTCCCGGGCTCAAGTGATTCTCATGCCTCCTGAGTAACTGGGACTACAGGCATGCACCACCAGGCTCGGCTAATTTTTGTATTTTTGGTAAAGACGGGGTTTCACCATGTTGGCCAGGCTGGTCTCGAATTCCTGACCTCAAGTGATCCGCCCACCTCAGCCTCCTAATGTGTTGGGATTACTGGCGTGAGCCACAGCACCTGGCCTGCAAATTTAATTTTGCTTCATCTCAACCACTTGATTACTTCACTACAGACACAGGAGACTCCTTGCTGTCTCCTGAACACAACATACACACTCCTGTCTTAGGACCTTTGTGCTTGCTGTACTTTCCCCAGGTATTATTACTGTTCCCTCACTCCTTTTTGTTCAAGCCATCAAGGTCTCCCTGGATTAGTTTATATAAAACAGTCCCCGCTCCTCTCCACACCTTCCCCACCCCGCCCCCAAACTCTCTAACTCTTTAACTCTATTTCTTTTCATAGTAGTTATCACCATATACCTAGATATATATATTTGCTTATTTGTTTATTAGTTGTTTATTTTCTTTCCCCATTTGAACATGAACTCTGTAAGGCAGGCATTCCTTTATGTTGTTCAATACTGTATTCCCAGAGCATAGGACAAAATGTGGCATTTAGCTAAGTGCTCAAAAAATATTTATAAATGAATGAATGATGATTTATATTTGGCACAAAAGAGGCCCACAATAGCTACCTGTTGAATGAATGAACAAATGAGTATTGCAGAGATTCCCAGGAAGGGCACTGATAATGGGGGTAGGGGCAGAAACTAGCACATGTGTCTGGAACATTGGCTGCATGGGCTGCATGTCCCCTGAATGATGGTTTTTCTCTAGTTCTTTTTCTTTGTGGGCATTTATATGGTTTGTGGGACCACTTTTAAGTAGGCCACATGGTGGTTCTTGAGCCTCAGTGATCACCAGAAATATCCATAGAGATTCTTATTTAATGGGTCTGAGGTAGGTCTTGGGAATTTGAGTAACTTTGAGCAAGGATTTAACCCTCAGTTTCCTCGTATGTAAAATGGGATTATAACATCATTTTATAGAGTGTCAAGATTAAAGAAAATCATCTGTGCGAAGTGTCTCACACATAGTAAATATTAGATTCCCTTTGCTTCTGCTCAGGTTTTTGTTTTTGTTTTTGAGATGGAGGCTAGCTCTGATGCCCAGGCTGGAGTGCAGTGGCGCAATCTTGGCTCACTGCAACCTCCACCTCCCAGGTTCAAGTGATTCTCATACCTCAGCCTCCTGAGTAGCCGAGACTACAGGTTCACGCCACCACACCTGGCTAATTTTTGTATTTTTAGTAGAGATAGGGTTTCACCATGTTGGCCAGGCTGATCTCCAACTCCTGACCTCGAGTGATCCACCTGACTCAGCTTCCCAAAGTGCTCGATTACAGGCATGAGCCACCACACCTGGCCTGCTCAGGTTTTCTCTGAAGTTTAGAGGTTAAATCTTATGAACAGTTCATATTATGTGCTCTCCTAAAATTTAGTTTTGATTCACCTCAATCCAGATCTCTACTCTGAGTTGCAGTTTTTCAAACATAGAGTCAGTATCTTCATTTGAATGTCTCATAGGGGTATCAAACTCAACATATATAAAGCAACTCAAAATTGTCCCCTTCTGATCTCCTCCTCCACATTTCCCAAATCAGGAAATGGCATAAACTCAAATTAGAAACTTGGGAGTCATTTTTTGACACTTTTTCGCCTTTACCTTCCATGCATTTGATCAAATCCTTACAGTTCTAACCCTGACCTATATCTTCAATCCACCATCATCTCCTAATCTCCATTGCCTGCAAACTGGTTGTCACACATCCTCTGTTGCACCCTTCTTATTAATTCTCCACTCTGCAGCCGGAATAATCTCTTTTTTTTTTTTTTTTTTTTTTTTTTAAGAGACAATGTCTCACACTCTGCTGCCCAAGCTGGAATGCAGAGGCACGATCATAGCTCACTGCAGCCTCGAGCTCCTGGGCTCAGTCAGGTGCGTGCCACCAAGCCTGGCTAATTTTATTTTATTTTTGTAGAGATGGGGGTCTTGCAATGTTGCCCAGGCTGGTCTCAAACTCCTGGCCTCTAGTGATCCTCCCACCTCAGCCTCCCAATGTGCTGGGATTACAGGTGTGAGCCACTGCATCCAGGATCATCTTTTACAAATGCAATTTTTCATGTCCAGATAGGACCTTTTCAACTCTTCATTGGCTTCTTTTGTCTTTAGGATTAAATCCAAAGTCCTTAACCTGACCCTCAAGGGCCCGCCCACCTCTCCCTCCCAGGTAGCTCTCTCAGTCTAAGCACAGTGGCCTTTTCCCAAAGCCTTCACAGACAGAGCCTCTTCCTACCAAAGGGCCTTCAAACCTGCAGTTTCCACAGCTAAATGCACTGCCCACCCCACCCCCTTCTCTATGTTGCCTGCCCTAACTCCTCCTTATTCTTCAAGGCTGAGATTAAATGTCACTTCCTCCAGGAGATCTTTCTTACCCCCTAGCACAGACACGCTCCTTTGTTATACACTCTCATAACTCTCAGGCTTTTTTCCAGCAATCACAACAGCATCACCACACAGCCTCAAGTCCAAGCCACTTGCTTCACATTTGAAGTTGCCAGCTGTCAGACGGGAGATGAAGTAGAAATGGGATTGTTGTTGTCTGCACCCATTAGGACCCAGTTTTTTACAAGGGGGCATTTCCTCGCCCGATTCCAATGTGAGTTATTTTCAGGGCTGAAATTTGATTTAAATTTGGATTCCAACTTGAAGCTTAACATATCTCCAAAGTACACACTACTTTGCGGTACTGAATGAAGAATGTAAGTAGAAGGTTGCCTGCCACATGCCATGTAATGCTCTGAAGGACGGTAGAAACCACCAGCTCTCTCAGAAAAAAATGGTGGAAGAATTTTCAAAACCAAGACAGGCTGGCTTCTGTATATGCTTTGTGTAGAAATCTTGAAAGACTACACACTCAGGGGAGGAACACATATTGGGTGGAACTTCTGCCAAACTTTCAAGAGCAGCTACTTTCTAATGATCTGTAATTCAAAAAACAACCAGAACAAAAACCAGCTGGAAATGCAGTCAAAACACTGCTTTTCCATATTCCTTGCAATTATACTTTCATTTTTAGGTGGTGAGGAACACCAGGATGAGTCATTATAAAAAGCATGACTGCAGATGGCCAAGAGTGATACCGAAGCACCCTTCACCCTGAAGGTTAAGGTTAAAGCTCAAAGTCTGATCGCAAAGCATAAGGAAAAAAAAAAAGAACATGGATAAATGTATGCTGGTGTCCTTCAGCACCAGAAAAGCTGCTACTAAATCACTGGTGTGGCTTGGAATTGGTAGAAGCTTTGATTTGAGGAAAAGAGTATCATTAGCTGTGTAATTTTGAGTTGTTGTTTTAGAGACAAGGTCTCATTTTGTGGCCCAGACTGGAGTGCAGTGATGCGATCATAGCCCGCTGCAGCCTTGAACTCCTGGGCTCAGGCGATCCTCCCACCTCAGTCTCCTAGCCACTCCAGGTCTCGCTGTGTTTGCCCAGGCTGGTCTCAAATTCCTGGCCTCAAGCGATCCTCTCGCCTGGTCCTCCCGAAGTGTTGAGGTTACACGCATGAGCCACCAATCCTGGCATTATGGCATTAGCTGTGTAATTTTTAAAATAACTGTCTTCGGACCAACACCTTTCTTTTGTTCACTGGAGTATCCCTGGGGTGTGTCTCATTCCCTGAATCATACACAGTAGATGCTCAATAGTTTTGTAAATAAAATAAATGAGCTCTCGGATTTACATGCAGACTTTGGATCAGTTTGATCTAGGTTTAAAAGCAAGTGTGGGGAAACTTGAAAAGCCTGGCACCCCAGCCAACTCTTCAGCGCCCCATGCGCTTGGCGCCTACACCTGCCTGGCACGGGGAGGGTGCTATGGGGCTGCCCTAAACCTCACCCCCTCCTGCGGTGGTTCCTGCCCGTCTCGGCTCCTGCACCGCCCACACTATGCGCTGCTGGGCCGAAAGACACGTGGTTCGGTTTTAACTCCAGTCTGCAAGAAACATGACCTCAGCCAAAAAGAGGCCGCTGGTCTGAGAAGAGAAATCATGAGTCATGGATTCGGGGGTTCGGACCTTGGAGCAGGCGGTGAAGTGGGCGTGCGTGGGCTGGTGGGGAAGAGGGATGCCGAAGGAGGCCACAGCCCTTCTCTCCTGGGCAGGCTCCCCAGAAAACTGCCCCCTTGCCGTCATCCAGCGCCCCCGTTCCCGACAGCTGTCTGCCAGGGCGCGGCCGGGGTCCGGGCGGGGCGGTGCTGTCGCTCCGGGTCGCCGCCCCGCGGGCCACATCACCAAGGCCCGGGCTTCCCCGGCGGCGGCGCGGCTGCGCTTGCGCGGGGCTGCCGCGCGGGGGCGGGGCGGCGGGGAGTCAGGGGGCCGCGGGCGCCGACGGCCGGGCTGTCAGCTTGGGGCCGCAGCCGCGCGAGGAGGCGCGGGAGCAGGAAGGAGCTGTGGGCTGGGAGCCGCTGTCCTCCCCGCCACCACCGGTGCCGGGCACCAGGTGAATGCCCCTTCCATCCCCCGCCCCTGGTGTCTCGGTCTGGTCTGAGGAGACGGGGACCCTTCTCACACCGGCCGCTGCCGCCGCCGCGCTCCGGAACAGGTGACCATGGAGGGGAAGTCTCGGCTTCGGCCGCGGCGCCGCGTTCGGGCGCATCAGGTGCGGGAGGGAGGTGGGGCCGAGAGGCCTGGGCTCGGGACCCGGCGGCGGGGGCGCGGGGAGCAGAGGGAGCGGCCCCGCCCGAGCAGCCGTGCCCCCTGCGGACGCCTCTCCGGGCCGCCGGGCAGCGCCCGAGCCCAGGCCCCCGCGCCTGCCCCACCTCGGGCTGAGGGAAGCTGTTCCGCGGCCACCGCGGACAAGCGGTCCCGGGCGCCCAAGGCAGGGACAGGCGGCGGGTGGTGTATGAGTGATGGCTGAAGGTGAGCTGGGATGGAGATGCTGCGAGGCTGGCTCGGGCACACCCCAGATGCCTGTTCAGGGCTCCGCGAGTGCCCCGTCACCCTTTTCTTTCATTCTTCTCTTTATATACACGGAGCATATCTCAAATTTAAAAGCCCAAATGCTCATTTACAGAGAGAGATGACACATATCTATGTGTTACCGATATACATTGATGTGTATATTACGTATATATGTCATCTTTTTTTTGTAGTGACAATTTTTAAATTGAGATATACATCACATGCCATAAAACTCATTCTTCTAAAGTGTGGCTTTTAATATATTCACAGAGTTTTCCAAATATGACCACTATCCAGATCATCATCCCCAAAAGAAACCCTGTCTCTCTTAGTAATCACTCCTCATTTCCCCTTGACCCCACCCCACTAGCCACCACTAATCTACTTTCTGTTTATATGGGTTTGCCTGTTGTGGAAATCTCATATAAATGGAAGCGTACAATATGTGGCTTTTTGTGTCTGGCGTCGAAAGACATACTGTAATGTTTTCAAGTTTCACTCATGTAGTATGTATCAGTACTTTACTTTTTATAGCATATTAATATTGTTGTATCAGTGTACCACATTTGTTTATTCATCAGTTGATGTACATTTGGGTTGTTTCCAGTTTTTGGCCATTGTGTGTAATGCTGCTATGCACATTTGTTTACACGTTTTTGTGGACATGTGTTTTCAGTGCTCTTGGGTATATACCTAGGAGGGCAATTGCTCCGTGTTTCACTTTTTGAGGAACTGCCAAGCAAAGCAGCTGTACCATTTTACTTTCCCACTAAGCAGTGTATGAGGGTTCCGATTTCTTCACATCTTCCCCAAGGCTTGTTACTTTTTTACTGGTTATTTTTTATGATAGCCATCGTAGTGAGTGTGGAATGGTATCTCTTTGTGGTTTTGATTTGCATTTCTCTAATGATTGGGGATGCTGAGCATCTTTTCATGTGCTTATTGGCCATTCATATATTTTCTTTGGAGAAAATGTTCATATCTTTTACCCATATTTTAATTGGGTTGCTTGGCTTTTTATTTTTATTTATTTATTTATTTATTTATTTGGAGACTGACTCTCAGTCTGTCACCCAGGCTGGAGTGCAGTGGCACAATCTTGGCTCACTGCAACCTCCACCTCCGGGGTTCAAGCGATTCTCCTGCCTCAGCCTCCCAAGTAGCTGGGACTACAGGCACACACCACTATGCCCGGCTAATTTTTGTATTTTTAGTAGAGACGTGGTTTCACCATGTTGGCCAGGTTGGTCTCCAACTCCTGAATTCAAGTGATCTGCCCACCTCGGCTTCCCAAAGTGCTGGGATTACAGGCATAAGCCACCACGGCCAGTCTGGGTTGCTTAGCTTTTTATTGAGTTTTATTGTTCATTTATGGAAAAAAATTTCTGTTAATAGGTTTGGATACTGGCACTGACTTGAAAAAATCCAACCAATCTGATACCGAAAAACTTAATGCTTATTCTTGGGTAAAGGTTGAATAAGTGCCACTTCATTCTTTAAGAATACCCTACCTGTTCATTCTGGACATCTTACTGACCCCTTTACATTTACTGCCCTGGTATTTTGAGCAAAGCTACAGAAGGCATATTCCTGACTGGAGTCAAGAGAGACCACCCTTAATTGGTATTTTCATATATTCTATGCTCAATTTGAAAATCCCAGTTATCACTTTAATTACAAAAAATTTATATTAGTGGCCAGCTGAACAAACTAACAATAAATGGCAAGCACAAATCACTCAAAAATTTATGTTTAACTTCTCAGTAAAGTGGAGAATCTTGTTTTCTTAAGTTTGTGCAGTGTAGTTTTTATTACAATTATGTTCATGTGTGGGTGGTAAATAAATATTTTTGATGGCACTAAAGTTAAGAGCCACTTACAGCTAAATGAATGCTGCTGTGCTTATTTCATGGTTAATTTCCGAGCGCACACAAATTCAGCATCAGGTCTTTCATGGCCAAAAAAAAAAAAACCACTAAAAAGACCTGATGTTACCTCCCAGGAATTCAAACTCAATTTTCCACTGATCTAATATGATTGTTGTTAAAGAAAAAGATTATTCGATGATACTTGTTAAAATGTGGTAAAAAAAAGTCTATTCAGGACCATTGTGATAGGTAAAGGGACCATGGAATGGGATTTTGCAGTTTGGGAGGAAGACTAGGCTCAATTCTGAATACGGTGTGGGCAAATGGGAATTTATAGCCAAGGAGCAGTGTCATGGTCAGTGGACAGAAAAGTACTGAGAGGAAACACCGGGGGTAGTGGATATTCAGACCAAACCAACCTAACAGGATTCTTGCTGAAGACAGGCCAGAGTGATCAGACACCACCTGGGGGACAGTGGAAGCTGAGGAACCTAATCAGGTTGTGAGGGTAATCAGGTAGCGAGGGTAATCAGAAAGCGAGGGCCAGCTGGGTGCAGTGGTTCATGCTTGTAATCCCAGCACTTTGGGAGGCTGAGGCGGGCAGATCACCTGAGGTTGGGAGTTCGAGACCAGACTGGCCAACATGGTGAAACCCTGTCTCTCCTAAAAATACAAAAATTAGCCTGGTGTGCTGGCGGGCACCTGTAATCCCAGCTTCTCAGAAGGCTGAGGCAGGAGAATTGCTTGAACCCAGGAGGTGGTGGAAGTTGCAGTGAACCGAGATCACGCCACTGCACAGAGCAAAACTTCGTCTTAACTCAAAAAAAAAAAAAAAAAAAAAAAAGCAAGGGCCAAGAGTCAGGGGCTGTTGCTAAACTCACTTGACGAGGTTCTTTGATAAAACTGCATTTTACAAGGAAGTGCACAAATGGGCCTAGAAGGTTCAGGGGCCTGAGTAAAATTTCGTCAAGAAAAGAATCTTTCTCATTGTTGGAAAGTACACTTCCCAATTTCCAAAACTTTATAGAAAATACAAGTAAAGGTTTCCAAATGGAAATAATAGATAAGCAACTGATAAAAAGCATGTGAAGCATAGCCTAACTCTGCTTCAACCTATACATTACAAAATGATGGATATATGAATTAACCCTTTTATGCCACTGCCTTTATTTAGAAGAATGAGGCTGGTAATTTCGGGTTTATAACCCAAAATGTGTTTTTACTTTGTTTTAACTAATGAAATTATTATCAAACGTATTGAAAATATAAACTATCCAACCTAATATTGATTGTTACCAACTTACCCAATGGATATACAAATATCCTGCAGCTACAGATGTTTTCTCTGCCCGCTGGGGTTTTTAGTGGCGCTTATTGGGAAGGACTGAAAGTAGAGGGCAGTGACAATTGGGAATCGCTATGGAGATATCCCTGAGAAGTGATGGTCACAGCTGACCTGTCTCCTTTATGGTAGATGAGGGTAGGGACACTTTTTCTTCTCTCTGAACGTACTGCAGTTAGATTTATTTAGCTTAAAAATAACAAATACAGAAATATTTAGATGGAAATGACTAGAACTGTCAGTTATTCTATTTTAATGTGAATGGATTTAATCAGATTGCTTTCTTCTTGGTTAGCTACACTAAGGAAGTGGGAGTTTTGACTTGAGGAGGGATAGTAGATGTAAGTATTATGAGATCGTGGAACATTTTGGAATATTGGGCAAAGTTTGCCCTACTTCTAAAAGTGAGGATGTTAAAAAATGGAAAGCTTTAGATAGCATGAGGGATCTGAAAGATGAGAAAAGAAAAGCAAGAATGAAACAATTTGGAAGGAAAGATTGTAGGATATAAAGACAGATTCGACTTATTTAGACATTTTTGCCCAAGAAAAATGTCTAAATAGGAAAAGTGGAAACCTTTTCCTTCATTTGATCCCTCTTTCCTTTTGCCCCACCTTGCTGCTCCATGCTAACTGTTCTCCTAGGACCCAGAAATCAGACTGGGATTACTGTTGTTCATGTTGAAGCTTTCAAGTGTGCTAGTTACACCCCTTCTCTCTCCATATTCTAGTCAAATTGAGATCAGACTCAAGCCAGATAAGAATTTAAATACTATTAAAATAATAGTGTAATTTTCATTTCCGGTAAAGCTGGATTGGAGAACTGAGCTTAGACCCATGCTTACTGTTCTTTCTTAATTTACCTACCCAGATGAAACTGTTGCACCAGGAAATGGAAGGGAAAGTCCTGTCCTAAGGAGCTTATCTTATAGCAGTTAGAATGGAAAGGAAAACTTTCTCTCCTTGAGGGCACAGCAAGTCCAAGAAAGCCAGTGAGAGCTCACGGGTGGAGCCTGTCTGAACAGTTGACCTTTATACCTATCCTAGCAATTAGATAAGTCACTTTCCTGTGGGAGGAATTAGTGATGGGGGTGGAGAGAAAGAAAAGTGTTCCTTTAATCTTGTTTTCTCCTACTTAGAGGAGTGAAAGTTCTGTTGTCATTGCAGAGAGAAGTAAACAGCCATCCTCTCATAGTTAAGTATGTTATGGGAAATAAATAGTGTTTTGTAGGCTAGCCTAGGAACTAATTCACCATTTATAAAAATGAACTGACTGTATATTTTCCTTGGAAATAACTAAATCTCTTAGACACTTTTGAGTGATTATTTTATTGTGTAGTTAAATATATAGATTATTCAAGTCTATTTCCTTGTTTTACCAGTACTGGTTAAATATTTATGGAATGTCTAATACGTGACAGGCACTGGGCTAGGCTTTGGGATTCAGTGGTGAACAAGAATGGGTCCTTGCTCTAAGAGTTACAACCTAGAAAAACAGTTAGTACAAGTACCATTACGATAAAGCGTAATAAGCATTGGTTAAGTGTAGAGTGCTTTGGAACCACAGAAGAAGGAGAACTTATCTATGAGGGCCAGGGACATGGATGTTAAAGAGCTGAGATCTTAAGCTGAATAGGAAGTAGCTAGGTAAAAGGGAAGAGTGAGGTTGAGCAGAAGTGTTTTGAGCAAAAAGAACATGTGGAAAGGCCAAGAGGTGTGAGAATGTGGTACACTAAAGTGACATTTTTTTTCTTTAACTGCAGGCACCTACTAGTAGATTGTGAAAGCAAATTAGTGAGTTGTAATCCACATGTTTTTTAAAAGGAATACAATAGAAAATGAGGGTGTGCCACTCATAGATACTTACTGGATTGTAGGGGTAAGTAGGGGTGTTTATGCAGGATTTAGTTAACCTTATTAAAGAAGTTGGATTTATCTTAGAGGAAATGACAAATCATTGAAAAGTTCTAATCGGGGCCTGATTAGAGATCTTTAGAAAAAGGTCTCTTTGGGTACCTGGTCTTTCTTAACTCGGATGTAAACTTCAAATTCATTGGCCCAGCATTACAGGTATTCCAAAACCTGGTTCCAATCTATTTCTTGTAAAAAATCTTCCCACTATTTTTGTTATTGGAATTTCCCAGTTCATAAAGATTCGTTCGCCTAAGTACCTTTGCACCAAGACCAAAAGGTCTGTGAGAACAGATTTCACTTCTGTCCTTTAACATTGAGTCTCTGGCAACTAGTATAGTGCCTGGCTCACAATAGAGACTAAGCAAATCTTCGTTGATAGAGTCTAAATACCTTTAATATTAGGAACATTATGCAGTAGTAGACATGACGTTGCTGTTTCTGGTAATGTCTGCTTTGGGACAAAGAAAAAGTTTTCATTCAAATTTTTTTTCTCAGTTGAAATCATGTTAATGATAGAACTGCATACATTTATTAAAAAGATAATTTAACAGAGGGCATTCTTACATTGAAACAGTAGTAGAGATAATAAAAAGAACAATAAACATTGTGGTTTTGATGTTTTCCCAGGGAGTACAGTGACACAGATTGCTCACAGGAGCAGCCAATCCAGAAATCATTTCTGTTTTGTTTGAACTTAGAGGCATTCTCTGAGCACTCACCCAAAGGCAGTGTTAGAAAAATGGCTAAGGACAAAAGGAATAAATTATTAGGTTGGTGCAAAAGTAAGTGCAGTTTTTGCAATTAAAAGTAATGACAAAAACTGCAATTACTTTTGCACCAACCTAAATGGATGAAAATATATCAATCATATGAGCTTAATGAAGAATCAACAGAAAATAGATTTTGTTCTTACAAATGAAAATAGAACATCCATATACCCTAAAGAATTTACAAATAAGAATTTAATGATGTCAGTTTGTTGCCAGAGCATGATTCTACTGTCACAGTATTATGACTTCACAGAATTAAATTGTGAAACCCAACCATAAAGGAAAAATTCTTTCAGTGTTTGGTTCCGATCAGTGGTAAAAGAAGTTACGAACAGTTCATAAAAGGTAAGGAGATTTCAGTTCTGATTCAAATTTATCTTACTAAATTTTTGATTTGTGAAAAATTTTGCTCGTTAGTTTTTAAGTTAGGGTTTATGTATCTTAAACTGGAATGCCAAAATCAAATTTTGCTAATATGAGATGGCTTTTAAAAAGCACTCAGAGAATTTTATCTTTTTATATTCCACAGAGTCTTAATTTAAGTAGTACATTGTAGAACTAAATGGAAACTGTTAACTTGTATAAGTTTATCCTAAGGAAATAACTCTAAATATGGGAAAGTATTAGGCACAGAGATATTCATTTTCATTGCAATGTAATTTAGCCAAATAATGTCCTGCTATAGGGAAATTATTTACTAAAATATGGGAATCCATTTGAAAAAGTTTAACCATTAAAAATACTTTTTTAGAGCAATAGTTTCTTCCTGTTAATTACTTTTTAAATTAAAAAGTAAAAAGTACTCAAACAAAAGTTCAAATAATATAAAAATATGTAGAATCAAAAAAAGTGAAAATGATATTTCAATCTTGCTTTCTATTACTGCTTACCCCTCCCCCAGCCACCTCAATCTAGGCATACCCAGTTCCTTAGAGGTAAATGCTTTGAGCACTTTGTTATTAGCCTTGCAGATCTTTTTCTAATCCAGTGGTTTTTAAACCGAGAAGGAGTTTCAGGGTCTTCTCAAGTTGGGTAATATGGGGACCCAGTGGGTGGAAACCAGGGTGCTTCAATGGGTACTGCTTTGCTTTTACAAAACTGTTTTATATATTGGGATTTCACATAGGGTTTAATTTAAATAAAGGGTTCCTCTGCATTAAAAATAAAGGCTTAGCCAGCCACAGTTCCTGTAGTCCCAGCTATCTCAGGAGACTGAGGTGGTAGGGTGGCTTCAGTTCAGGAGTTCGTGACCAGCCTGGGAAAAGTAGTGAGACTGTGTTAGTCCGTTCTCACAGTGCTATAAAGAAATACCCAAGACTGGCTGATTTATAAAGGAAAGAGGTTTAATTGACTCACAGTTCCACATGGGGAGGCCTCAGGAAACTTACAGTCATGGCGGAAGGCGAAGGGGAAGCAAAGACCTTCTTCACATGGCAACAGGAGAGAGAGAAGTGTGAGGAGTGAAGGCAGAACAGTCCCTTATAAAACCATCAGATCTCATGAGAATTCACTCAAAATCATGAGAACAGCGTGGGGGAATCCAACCCCATGATCCAACCACCTCCTACCAGGTCTCTTCCTAGACACGTGGAGATTATGGGGATTACAATTCAAGATCAGATTTGGGTGGGGACACAACCAGAGCATATCAGAGACCCTGTCTCAAAATTAAAATAAATGAATAAATGGAAGTTATTTATTCTTCCTCATTTAGAACTGTCCTCATTTAGAAAACAAAGTCCTAAGCCCCATAGTCAGGCATTCCATGTCTTCCCCAAGTTTCTCATTTTGCTGCTTGGTCATATTGAATAGTCTACTCATACCTTCCCATTTTCCCATCAGTTTTCTGCCTGATTACCATTCACCTTGTTGAAAGGCACTTTTCCTTCTCTCCCCTCCCCACCTCCCCTCAATTTCTCTAAATCTTACCTGTTCTTAAAGGTTCAGTGCACCAGCCAGGCACAGTGGCTCACACCTGTAATCCCAGTACTTTGGGAGGCTGAGGCAGGCGGATCACCTGAGGTCGGGAGTTCGAGGCCAGCCTGACCAACGTGGAGAAACCTCGTCCTTACTAAAAATACAATATTAGCCGGGCGTGGTGGCACATGCCTGTAATCCCAGCTACTCAGGAGGCTGAGGCAGGAGAATTGCTTGAACCCAGGAGGCAGAGGTTGTGGTGAGCTGAGATCGTGCCATTGCACTCCAGCCTGGGCAACAAGAGCGAAACTCCGTCTAAAAAAAGAAAAAGTTTAGCTCACCATCATTTTGTTCATTCCTCCTTTCAACTTGTAGTTGGTGAACACTTACATTTTGTCTAATACTGTGTGGATAATTTGCAGAATTTGGTAGCAAAAGCTACAAAATTAAAGGATGATCTTTATGTAAATCTGTATGTAAATCTTTGTGTAAAGGATGATCTTAATGTAAATAAGTGAAATAATGTGTTATAAAGTAAGAGCATTCTGGGAGCAGGTACTAAAGTTATAAGTGTTCCCTTATTTCTTCCACACTGTTTTTTATATTGGTACTTATAAACAAGGCAATTTATGATATGATTACTTTTCTGGATCTTCAGAAAATATTTGTTCATTTATTTTACTTATTTATTTATTTATTTGAGACGGAGTTTCGCTTTTGTTACCCAGGCTGGAGTGCAATGGTGTGATCTTGGCTCACCGCAACCTCTGCCTCCTGGGTTCAAGTGATTCTCCTGCCTCAGCCTCCCAAGTAGCTGGGATTACAGGCATGCACCACCACCATGCCCCACTAATTTTGTATTTTTAGTAGAGATGGGGTTTTTCCATGTTGATCAGGCTGGTCTCGAACTCCTGACCTCAGGTGATCCACCTACCTCGGCCTCCCAAAGTGCTGATTACAGGCATGAGCCACCACGCCCAGCCGTATTTGTTCATTTATTGATTGAGTAACAGAAGATAGTGCAGAGATAGTTCACCTATGGATCAGAGGTGAAACCTGTGAAGGAGCTGTTTCCATTCTTGAGCAATAAACTGTGTTCAAAAATAACTTGAATCCAGTTTACTGGGTTCTAGTGTTTGGCATGAAAGGAGCTGAGAGGGAACACTGATGATACACCTTGGTTCTATCATCCTTGTGCCCATGGCTGTGTACACTGGCGCCAGAGGATTATAACACAGAGAAATGTCTACAGGGGCTTCCTTATCATTAACTGGTTAGTCAGAAAGTCATGAACTCAAGTCCTGTGTCTTTATCTTACTAACGTTGTAACTTTGGGCATATTATTTAACCTCTCTGAGATGCAGTTTTCTAAACTGTAAAGGATGAACATACTTATCTTCAAGGTTTTTTTTACAAAAGATAAAATGAGGTCAGTATATATAAGAGAAAGCAATTCTTTTTGCTTTAAATAGTATTGATGTAGATAGAATGGGTGATCTCCTTTCCTTTAGGTTTAAGTTTTTATATATTTTTTAGGACTTACTGATTAGAGTTTAGTTCTTTGGAGCAGTGCTTTTTAAGTCTGAGAGTGGCATTTTTATAAGCTATTCATATTCCTGGTAAGTATAAATGATGTAGGAAGCAAATTAGGCCAAAGGACAACTTCCTGGGGAAATAAACATTTTTTTCGTCATTATCCAGTGTATTCTACTGGGACTTAGTGAAAGGCTACTGTTATAAATATGACAAAGAAAGCAAAATTTTTAGGGATCCCTAGCTCCCAAAAGCTCAGCTGCTACATTATATCTACTACATTAGCCTGTCTTTTAGATAAGAAACAATAAAGAATTTCCATAATAACAATTTTAATTATTTCCGAGAAAAGTCAGCAAACTCTTTTGTCACATTTCTAGATTAGTGGAATTTCAAAATGACCCCAGGCAAACTCATGGTGGATTCTAATGCTTTCATGAGTTCTGGTTGAGTAGACTTAGTTCATTAGCCCAGGATAACCCTTATTGTATGATTTAAGATAATCTGGTTTATTTGTAAATTATAAAAATGTTATTTAGATGTCCTTTGTAAATTAAAATATATATGAGATATGATATTTAAATTAAAAAACAGTATTAGGGCTAGTTCCTTATCCAACTTTCATTGTCTTTTTTTCCTTTTAAAACATTGTGGTTCCCTGAAGACTTGTACTTTTTGGTATATATATGTACCGTTTAGTATGTATTTATACTGGTCAGTGCATACATATATATATGTAAAATATGTATGTAATTTAAAAAATATACTGGCAATTTAATTTAATGAAAAATAGGATAAGTTATATAAAATATGAATATTAAAATCCAGTTGATTTTTTAAATAGAAAATTAGAACAAAATAGTTCATCTTAAAATTAAAAGCCAATGGCCAGGCATGGTGGCTCACGCCTGGAATCCCAGCACTTTGGGAGGCTGAGGTGGGTGGACCTGAGGTCAGGAGATCCAGACCAGCCTGGCCAACATGGTGAACTTTGTCTCTACTAAAAATACAAAAATTAGCCGAGCATGGTGGTGCGCACCTGTAGTCCCAGCTACTCAGGAGGCTGAGGCAGAAGAATTGCTTGAACCCAGGAGGTGGAGGTTGCAGTGAACCGAGATAGCACCACCGCACTCCAGCCTCGGTGACAGAATGAAACTCTGTCTCAAAAAAAAAAAAAAAAAAAAAAAAAAGGACAAAAATAAAAGCCAGAAATTCAGTACAGCAGCGTACAACATTTTTGTGATTGTATGACATAGTATATTTCATTGGTAAGAGGAGAAAGAGGTGGGAAGTTAGGTTTTGAGCCTTTTTAAAAAATGTGTAATAATAGTGATGAATAATGATAATATTAGCTAACATTTATTGAAGTTTGTTCTAAGCACTTTATATGTATTAAGTCATTTAATCCTCACCATAAACCAGTGAAGGAGATGTATTTACATGAGAAAACTGAGGTATAGAGGCATAGGTCCCACAGTTAGTGAAAGTCAGGATGTAAGCCAGTTTGACTCTGAAGCCCTAGCTCTTAACTGCTCTCATTATCATTAGTGTGTCGACACTTCTTGACAGTTAATTTTTGGAAGCAGATTATCTCTCTTAATTGAAGTGTGAAGATTTGACAAATAAGTCACTTGAAATTCCCCCGTAAAAATCACTCAATACAAGTCATCTTTCATTGAATGAAAGCATTGCAAACATCTCAGTAAAATTTGTACAGTTTCAAACATAGCATAAAGTACTTGCCGTAAAGATTCCATGTGAATAATACAACTTTAAATAAGCAGTTAGTATTCTCCTTTTAAAATGTGCCTGGGCCAGATGTGGTGGCCCATACCTGTAAACTCAACACTTTGGGAGCCCAAGGTGGGAAGATAGATTGTGGCCAGGAGTTCAAGACCAGTCTGAGCAATGTAGTGAGACTGTCTCCACAAAAAAATTTTTAAAAATTAGTTTGGTATGGTGGCATGCACCTGTAGTTCCAGCTACTAGGGAGGCTGAGGTGGGAAGATTGCTTGAGCCCAGGAGTTCAAGGAAAAAGTGAGCCAGGATCACACCCTGCACTCCATCCTGTTCCTCCTGGGCAATAGAGTGAGACAATGTCTCTACAAAAAAAGAAAGAAAAAGAAAGTGCCTGATTGAAATTTGTAAACCCAGTTATGGGATTTTGATTGTGTATGGATTTTATAACTTGAATTTAAAACTCCTATGCTACTTCTTAGAATAAAAAATCTATTCCTTTCTCAATCCCTGGGAATAATGCTTAATATGCAGTCGAAGCATGTTTGAGCACTAGAAAGGGTCGCCAAAAAAGATAAAAAAATTTTAATGTTTTATCATTTTTTAAAAACAATGAAGTAGAATTCATGGGGGAAAATCATACCTTTTTTGACTCTTATACTTGTTTTGTTTGGCGTTATTTTCATTTTGAATTATATGTGATGGATTGAAGGGGAGATACACCATGGACTTGGTGTATCACCTTGCTTCACCTTGGAGGTTGATGGTTCATTTGTAGTTATTTATTCACAAGTGTGTAACCCATATAAGATATAAGTGAATTATGGCTATGAAAAAATGGAGTACAGCAGAATTCTGAATTGTCTGAAAGTATTTAGGATGTATTAATAGAATGAAGGCTGTTGCCTTTTACTTAAAGATAACTGTAGAATATTGATTGAGACAATTTTTTGGATATGTTATGAAATGGAAAAAAGCAGGATGCAAAGCAGTATGTCCAATATGAGCCTATTTTTGTCTTAAACATATATTTGGAAAAAATATAGTAAATTTATATATACCAATATCTCTGGATGGTGGATTTTCAGGATAAACAGTTTTTGTGTATCTTTTGTGGTTTCTTTTTCTTTTCTTTTTTTCTTTTTTTTTGAGGCGGAGTCTCGCTCTGTCACCCATGCTAGAGTGCAGTGGTGCGATCTCGGCTCACTGCAAGCTCCACCTCCTGTGTTCATGCCATTCTCCTGACTCAGCCTCCTGAGTAGCTGGGACTACAGGCGCCCGCCACCACGCCCGGCTAATTTTTTGTATTTTTAGTAGAGATGGGGTTTCACCGCATTAGCCAGGATGGTCTCAATCTCCTGACCTTGTGATCTGACCCCATTGGCCTCCCAAAGTGCTGGGATTACAGGTGTGAACTACCGTGCCCAGCCTTCTTTTCTTTTCTTTTCTTACTTTTTATTTTTATTATTTTTTGTGTGTGTGATGGAGTCTTGCTCTGTTGCCCAGGCTGGAGTGCAGTGGTGTGATCTCGGCTCACTGCAACCTTGCCTCCTGGGTTCAAACGATTCTCCTGCCTCAGCCTCCCGAGTAGCTGGGATTACAGGTGTGCACCACCACGCCTGCCTAATTTTTGTATTTTTATTAGAGACAGGGTTTCACCATGTTGGCCAGGCTGGTCTCGAACTCCTGACCTCACGTGATATGCCCACTTTGGCCTCCCAAAGTGCTAGGATAATAGGCATCAGCCACTGTGATGCCTGACCTTTTTTTTTTTTTTTACATTGAATACATATTACTCTTATGAAAAAAATTAAAACAATAGAAGAGAACTCTATGCCAGTGGATATTAGAAACACACTTTTAACTAATCTGGGAAAGAAGGGTAGTTGGGAATTTTTATGAGCAAAGATCACTATATGACAGCTAAATTGGCTTTTGGGGTGGTTTTGAGAATAGTTTTAGCCTAAATTTCAAGCTGGGCTTAGAACCCTCCAGAAGAAAGTTCTTTTGAAAACAGACAAACTCACAAACTGGTATTTGAATAAAATAGTGCTCAGCCCTGACCAAAGGGTAGAAGAGAAACTTGATTGCAGGAGTAAAGAACTCAGAGTTAGGTCATTGTTTCAACTTGATGCCAAGATAATTGAGTAACATGATACTGTGTACCTGTGATTTACGTAATCTCAATTTAGTTTCTTGTGATTAGTTGGTGCACTTGAACTGATTTACGGAAAGTGCAGTTTGGAGAAGGTAGAAGCTTGGCCTCATCCCTTGGGTGGTGCCATTACGAAGGTGTCCCAGTAAGGGAAGGTGATGTTAGGCCACCACCTGAGGAAGACCTTGGTGTGGAGGCTGTCCTGCACTGCCCATTTCATAATCTAATGGGAGGTAATGTGCTTCAGTGCCACCAGTTCATGGCAGAATGCTACTTCTCTCTGGGGATAGGGGAAAGAGAAGGCCTTGTGGATGAGTCCTCCAAATAAGTATTTAAGATGTGATAGCCATGAAAATTATGAGATATTCGTGGTCTAAAATTGTAGAATAAAAATGATAACCTTACAGATGGCAAGTAATTTTTTTCCTTTTCCTTTTTTCCCTTTTTTTTGTAGTTGCAAGATTTAATAGAGCGAAAACAGAGCTCCCATACAAAGGGAGGGGACCCAAAAAGGGTAGCCGTTGCTGCCTCGAATGCCTGGGTTTATATCCCGATCATTGTCCCTCCTGCTGTGCTCTCAGGCGATAGATGATTGGCTATTTCTTTGCCTACTATTTTTGCCTAATTAGCATTTTAGTGAGCTCTCTTTACTACCTGATTGTTTGGGTGCGAGCTAAGTTGCAAGCCCCGTGTTTAAAGGTGGATGCGGTCACCTTCCCAGCTAGGCTTAGGGATTCTTAGTTGGCCTAGGAAATCCAGCTAGTCCTGTCTCTCAGTCCCCCCTCTCAGCAGGAAAACCCAAGTACTGTTGGAGAGGTTGGCCGATGACCGCTCTAACTGCTTCCTGCTGAATTGGGGCATAATAGGGGTTGTGCAGTTGAGATTTCCTCAGGAGAGGTGCCTTCGATGTCATTAACATCGGAGTATGGGCTAGCAGGCTGGTCCAGGGGTCCGTGGTAGATCTTAGTCATGGACTGCATCTGGAGCTCCATTTGAAGAACCATTTGTAGCTTTACAGCTTCGATTCTGGAAGAAACAAACTTAACAAGGAGGTTAAAGATACAGGGTCGAAAGAGGAGGAGCAATATTATAGCTGCTAGAGGTCCTAAGAAGGGGAGACTCCAGGGCATCCATTGGCTGAGGAGGCCCCAGGGTCTGGTGTTTTGAAGCTCCTCTGCTCTACGTTGTATTTGATCTCGAATTTCTTTAACTTTCTCGGTGATGATTCCAGATTGTTTAGTTTTCTTAAAAAGATAATTTTGTTTTTCTTCTAAGCATTGATACATTGGCTCCCTTTCTTCCTTTCTCTTCTCTTAAAAAGAAGGTTTTTGCTTTTTTTCCTTTTAAACTTTAACCCATTGGCATCTTTTCTGCACCTTAAAATTCTGGAAGCTTTTAACTTTCAGTTTAATTATACAAAGTCAAGTGTGTATTTTAATTTGGTCCTTGAGTGGGTTTTGCATTTTAAAAATTGAACTGTGAGAGTATAAAAATGTGTTAAGGATAAAGTATGGAAGTATACTTTTGTATGAATCCTGAATAACAATTTCTACTCATTTGAAATGCTAATGAACTGCAGTTACTTAGTTTCTAAATTTAGCTATTTCAGATTTATAAGTGCCAGGGAACTCATTATTTCGTGTAGGTATTTTTTATAAGCTGACTCTGTGTAACAAGATAGAGTACGTAAGAATAAAACATAAATAATACAACTTACAGAGTACCAGAGAAAATAAAACTAGGAGTATAACATTAGATGAGTAAATCAATTATAAAATTTGAGTTTCAGACGTAGCTGTAAGTTTCCTCACTGCTAAAGTAAAAAAAGCTGGCTCAATTTTTATTGAAGAAAAGCAAAAATACTATTTTTAAGTAGCAAGACCTTCTATAGCTGTAATTTCTAAATAAACGTTCCTGTGACTGTATAGGGGAGGAGGTGCTGAGTGATGAGGAGGTAAAGTTCTCTGAAATCATTTGCAGGAAATTAATGAATTTAACATGGTTTTTTTTTTTTTTTGGACAAGATCTCACTCTATGGCCCAGGCTGGAGTGCAGTGATATGATCATGGCTTACTACAGCTTCGACTTCTCAGGCTCAGGTGATCCTCCCACCTCAGTCTCCAGAGTAGCTGAGAATACAGGCATGAGATACCATGCCTGGCTAATTTTTGTATTTTTGTAGAGTCGGGTTTCTGCCATGTTGCTCAGGCTGGTCTCAAACTCCCTGGCTCAAGCGATCCACCTGCCTCGGCCTCCCAAAGTTCTAGGATTACAGGTGTGAGTCACTGTGCCCAGCCACATGTCAATTGTAAGAGAGAGTCATTAAGTGTTTGGTGGTTTTTTAAAAATAAGATACATGTAAGAAATGTTTAAGACAGAGTAGGGGGAATAAATATACCTCTTTTTTTTGTTGTTTAAAAGCACTTTCTCAACTTCAAAATAGAGTTCTCTAATTCACCTTGTTTGCCATCCATCTACTGGTTGACTTGTCTCAAACAGCAACACTAATACTTTTGGTAATTGTTTGAATGAATAAAAACTGTTTATTCATTGCTGTCAGTTTAATCATAATTCCAAATTAAATGACTGAATTATTTTTCACTTTTTAAAATTTAATTTTACTTTAAGTTCTGGGAGACATGTGCAGAATGTGCAAGTTTGTTACATAGGTATACGTGTGCCATTGTGATTTGCTGCACCCATCAACCCATCATCTAGGTTTTAAGCCCCACATGCATTAGCTATTTGATATTTTTCACTTTTCAGTTGCCTGGTTTGATAGGAGCTAGATATAATCTAACTGATAGAATGAACTGTACTCTGTTTATGCAATCCACTTAGTTCTTTGGACACATAGCATATTTATTCTGTCAACATTTTCTCAGTTAAGAGTTGGTTTAACTGGATTGTGTTTGAGTTGATTCATTGGCTTGCTTTTGATATATCCTTCTTCCAAATAAAAATTCCTTTAAAAAATTTATATTAACTTTTTTTGGGAGGCGAGAGTTGAGGGTTGTGATTCTGAGAACAAAATCCGTGGCTCTGGGTCTGGTTTTATTTGAAAAATTATTTGCGATGTATTGAGGATTTATTATATAGAGGATTTATTCAATGGATCCATTATTCTGTAGGCTTAAACAAATGCTTTACAAATGTTTAGTCATGTAGAAACTTTAGGATTGATAAATGTTATGACATTATTCTTTTCTGTCAGTGGGCAACCCTAGAAATGAGCAATTGTTTTATGGAATCAGCTAGCTCTGGGGTATCAGTAGCAAAATTGTGTCTGTGATGTCTCAAGCTCTCAAGCTTTTGTGTTTGTGCAGATAATTCAGGAATACCCATTTTATAGCAATTTGGTGTTACCGACATGACAGTTGATTGTCCTTTCACCTCTCTTCCATGTTCCCCAACTTGTTAAGAAAGTTTGATTTCACTCTCTGTTCCCTAAATGAAACCTATGTGAGTTCTTGAATTCAGTTTCAGTGGAAAGTTTCTAGGTTAAGCCAAAAAGTCAAGATTTTTCTTCGGAGCTAACTTTTTTTTTTTTTTTTTTTTTGAGGCAGAGTCTTGCTCTGTCACTCGGAGGCAGGCGGATCACCTGAGGTCGGGATCACCATGATCTCGGCTCACTGCAACCTCTGCCTCCCGTTTTCAAGTAATTCTCCTGCCTCAGCCTCCTGAGTAGGTGGGACTACAGGCGTCTGCCACCACACCCAGCTAATTTTTTGTATTTTTAGTAGAGATGGGGTTTCACCCTATTGGCCAGGCTGGTCTCAAACTCCTGACCTCAGGTGATCCACCTGCCTTGGCCCTCCAAAGTGCTGGGATTATAGGTGTGAACTACCATGCCCGGCCAGGAGCTAACTTTATGTATTTTAGCCAAAAAAAAAAAGGAGATAAAAGGGAGATACTTTCAGATACTTTCATTCCATTTTAGAGGTGAGCCTTTTTTTTTTTTAGCTTATATTTTATTTTTTTATTTTTTTGTTTTTTATTATACTTTAAATTTTAGGGTACATGTGCACAACGTGCAGGTTAGTTCCATATGTATACATGTGCCATGTTGGTGTGCTGCACCCATTAACTCGTCATTTAACAGTAGGTATATCTCCTAATGCTATCCCTCCCCCCTCCCCCCCAGGTGAGCCTTTTTAAAAAAAATAAAAATAAAAATAATAAGGCTGGGCTCGGTGGCTCACTTCTGTAATCCTAGCACTTTGGGAAGCTGAGGCAGGTGGATCACCTGGGGTCGGGAGTTCAAGACCAGCCTGACCCACATGGAGAAACCCCATCTCTACTAAAAATACAAAATTAGCCGGGGTGGTGGTGCATGCTTGTAATCCCAGCTACTCGGGAGGCTGAGGCAGGAGAATCGCTTGAACCTGGGAGGCAGAGGTTGCGGTGAGCCGAGATCACGCCGTTGCACTCCAGCCTGGGCAAAAAGAGTGAAACTCCGTCTCAAAAAAAAAATAATAATAATAGGAAACAGAAACGTAGAGGAGGTATACTTTAAGAAAAAATTAAAAGAACAAGGTACCCTTGCAGAGTGGCAAAAGTAAGAATATATAATAACCATAAAATAAGTCTATTTCTAGGTGTGTCTGTATGTGTGTATGTGTGTCTGATAGTACTGTGGATCTTAGTATGTTTATATAAATATACATATCTGCTCAACAAGTTCTGGGATATTCAACTAAATGAAATAATTACTGGTAATAGATTGCATTAAAACTTTTTCTTTTATTGTTGTGGGAAGAAAACAAAATGTTAAACTCTGATTTAATACCATCCTTAGTAATTAGGAATGACCTGTGTCTCCTGACTTTCAGCTCTACTGGATTTCCTAAGCATTGTTATTTAACTTTTGCAATGGAACAGAATGCCTCTTTCAGTACGATAGGCAGAGTTTCTCCAATATTCTGGTTTGGTAAATCCACATACATACAATATACTTTGTTTTCTTTATTTTTAAAAATAAGCAATTTTATGGCTGGGCATGGTGGCTCGTGCCTGTAATACCAGCACTTTGGGAGGCATAGGCAGGAGGAAGTGATCACTTGAGGCCAGGAGTTTGAGACCAGCCTGGGGAACATAGCAAGACCCTGTCTGTACAAACTATTTAAAAATTAGCTGGGTGTGGTGTCCTGCACCTATAGTCCTAGCTACTCGGGAGGCTAAGGTGCAAGGATCACTTGAGTCCAGGAGTTTGAGGCTTTGGTGAGCTATGATTGCAACACTGCACTCTAGCCTGAGTGACAGAACAAGACCCTTTTTTATTTTTGTAAGTAAAGTTGAATTCATAAGGAGTGTCTGGTCTTATTTTCCTTTAAGTCAATGATTCCCTGACATGACTCTATAAACCAGTGGTAAACTATGACAAAGGTCTCACAGGAAACATGAAATGAACTTTTCCATAAATCTAAATGTGTTCAGTGAAAAGGACTGCCCTTTAGTCTGAGATTTTGTCCTTTCTACATTTTTGGTGTTAAAATGTATACTTATTTTTTAGGAAAAGATTGTTTTTAACTTTGTAAAATTTTGGGAGGAAATTTTGGTTTTTGAGATTCAAATGTTTGGAAGCCAGTGTTTTAAAACTCCTTGTCCATAGACTGCAATCTTTAAGTGCTCAGTATATCAGAGAGACTCTCCTAAACTAAAATGGATAGGAATTTGTGGGTCAGATTACTTTTTAAAACATATACTTTTTAAGTTAGCTTTTGTTAGGTCATGCTGTGATAATAAACAATTCCAAACTCTCAGTGGCTTTCTGGGACAAAGCTTTATTTCTTTCTCCTGTTATGTGTACCCTGTTGATTGCTGTGGGGTGGCTGTGGTTGCTGTATCTCTCCATCTGTCGTTGTCTTGGGACCCAGTCTGAAGAAGCAGCAACTGCCTAGGACATGCCATTCTCATGACAGAGGGAGCAAAGAGACATAGCTGAATTGTTTCTGTTTGTAAGTGTTGCTGCTGCTCTTATTCTGATGGCCAAAGAGAGTCCCATGGCCAAACCTGATGCTAATGGAGATGAGGAAGTAGAATTCTCCTACAGTCCTTGCAAATAACATGGCAACAGGTAGAGACGAGAATCCTCCTGTAGGAGGGGACCAATAACGGGGAGTAATAATAACATCCATCACAGTATTAATCACATCGAAGCAGTCTTGTATATGCACAATTTGAAGAACAATAATAAACACTAGGTATCCACCACCAAGCTTAAAAAATATAACCAATACCTTTGGAACCTCCTGGGTGCTTTTGTATCACTTCACCAAATGTAAGCACTCTTGAAATGTGTGTTTGTCATATCCTTATTCTTATATTCCATTGTATAGATATGCCACAATTTATCCTTTCTCATGGATTAATTCCATTTTTTTTTTTGCTAGTATGGATAATGCTACCAAGAACATTCTTTCATGTGTCTTCCGGTGTACAGTGTGAATTTCTTTAGGGCAGGGATTTAAGGATGGAAATGCTGGACTGTGGGGCACATGCCTCTCAGTTTTGGTAGATAATGCCAAATTGTTTTCCAAAGTGCTTTTGGCAGTTTATACTTGCACAAGTAGGGCTGTATGCATTACCACTGCTTACATCCTTGTTCACACTTGAAAGCCTGGTAATATCAAATGATTCCTTTTTGAATGTATTGGGAGGTGCTTCTCAAAGTAACACAAATCCTTTGGGATACCATTTAAAGTACAGACTTTGATTCAGGAGGTTGAGTTGGGATGGGAGCTGACTGAGGTCCTGCATTTCTTAGTCTCCCAGTTGATGCCATGCCACTGGACCCAAGACCACACTTTGATAACAAGAATCTAAGGCACTAAATACAGTCATGCATCACTTAATGAAGGGCTTAATGATGGGGATAAATTCTGAGAAATGTGTTGTTAGATGCATTTCATCATTGCGTATCATAGAGTATGCTAACACAAACCTAGATGGTAGAGCCTACCACACGCCAAGGCTGTGTGGTATGGCCTATCGCTCCTAGGCTACAGTACAGTAACGTGTTATACAGGTTTGTATAGCACATTACTCTACTGAATATTATAGGCAGTTGTTACACAATGGTAAGTATTTGTGTATCTAAAAATAGAAAACGTATAGTAAAAACACAGTATAAAAAATAAAAAATGATACACCTGTATAGGGCATTTACCATGAATGGAGTTTTCAGTACTGGAAGTTGCTCTGGGTAAGTCAGTAAGTGAATGGTGAGTGAATGTTAAGGGCTAGGACATTACTGTGCACTACTGCAGACTTTATAAACACACTTAGGCTACACAAAATGTACAAAAATATTTTTCTTTGTTAAACTATAGCTTACTGCAACTTTTAATTTTTCATTGTTTCAATTTTAATTTAAAAAATTGTTTAGAGGCAGGGTCTTGCTCTGTCATCCACTGGGGTGCAGTGCACAATCATAGCTTACTGTAATCTTGAGCTCCTGGACTCAAGGAAAACTCCTGCCTTGGCCTCCCAAAGTGTTGGGATTACAGGCATAAGCCATTGCACCCAGCCTGTAACATTTTTACTTTATAAACTTTAAATATTAAAAATATTGACTTTTGTAATAATACTTAGCTTAAAACACACACACATTGTACAGCTGCACAAAATATTTTCCTTCTTTGTTTCCTTATTCTATATACTTTTTTCAATTTTTGTTTTTTTCTTTTACTTTTAAAAACCTTTTTATTAAAATCTAAGACACACACTGATATAGTTTGGCTCTGTGTCCCTACCCAAATCTCATCTTGTCGCTCCTGTAATTCCCACATGTTGTGGGAGGAACCCAGTGGGAGGTGACTGAATTACGGGGGCAGGTGTTTCTTGTGCTGTTCTCATGATAGTGAATGGGTCTCATGAGATCTGATGGTTTTAAAAAATGGGAGTTGCCCTGCACAAGCTCTCTCTTTGCTTGCCACCATCTACGTAAGATGTGACTTCCTCCTCCTTGCCTTCTGCCGTGATTGTGAGGCCTCCCCAGCCACATGAGTCCAACTAAACCTCTTTCTTTTGTAGATTGCCCAGTCTTGGGTATGTCTTTATCAGTAACATGAAAATGGACTAATACACACACACATTAGCATAGGCCTCCATAGGGTCAAGATCATCACTATCACTGTCTTCCACCTTCACATCTTGCCCCACTGCAAGGTTTCCTGGGCCAGTAGCACACAAAGGAGCAGGTATACATGCTAAAATAATATAAAAAGTATAGTATAGTAAATTCATAAACCAGTAACAAAATCATTATTTATTATCATTGGCAAATATTATGTACTACATATATGTAACTGTATGTGTTATACTTTTATATGACTGGCAGCACAGTAGGTGTATTTATACCAGCATCACCACAAACATGTGGCTAATGCCTCATGCTATGACATTTTTACAGCTATGATGTCACTAGGCAACAGGAATTTTTTTTTTTTTTTAAGACAGTCTCGCTCTGTTGCCCAGGCTGGAGTGCAGTGGTGTAACCTTGGCTCACTGCAACCTCTGCCTCCTGGGTTCAACCAATTCTCATGGTTCAGCCTCCCGAGTAGCTGAGATTACAGGTGTGTGCCTTCATGCCCAGCTAATTTTTGTATTTTTACTAGAGACAGGGTTTCGCCGTGTTGGCCAGGCTGGTCTCAAACTCCTGGCCTCAAGTGATCCACCTAGCATGGCCTCCTAAAGTGCTGGAATTACAGGCGTGAGCTCTCTGCACCTGGGCTGGCAATAGGAATTTTTGAGCTCCATTGTAATCTTATGGGACCACCATCATATATGTGGTCCATCCTTGACCACAATGTTGTTAGGCAGTACGTGACTGTAGTCAGAGTGGCCTTTGTGTTGTTTGCCTGTAGCACCTAAAGAGTCTTTGGAACAAAACCAGTAAATAACAACATTTGTTACATCCAATTTAATCCAGGATTTTTGAGTCATGCTTGATATTTTTATTGACAGTACATGAACAATTTCAATAATTCTTAAATTTTATTTATTTTTAATAAATAATAGCTATATATTTATGATATGTAATGTGATATTTTGATCTACGTATACGTTATAGAAAATATTCAATCAAGATAACTAACATATACATCACCTCACTGACTTTTTTTTGTGGTGAGAATATTGAAAATCTATTTTTTTTTGGCATTTTGAAACATAGAATACATTATTAACTGTGGTCAACATACAGTGCAATAGATCACCAAAACTTACTCTTCCAGGCCGGGCGTGGTGGCTCATGCCTATGATCCCAGCACTTTGGGAGGCTGAGGAGGGCAGATCACCTGAGGTCAGGAGTTTGAGACCAGCCTGGCTAACATGGTGAAACCCCATTTCTACTAAAAATACAAAAAATTAGCCGGGCGTGGTGGCATGCCCCTCTAATCCCAGCTACTTGGGAAGCTGAGGCAGGAGAATTGCTTGAACCTGGGAGGCGGAGGTTGCAGTGGGCCAAGATCGTACCATTGCACTGCAGCTTGGGCAACAAGAACGAAACTCTATCTCAAAACAAACAAACAAACAAAAAAAACAAAAACTTTCTTTCCCAGTCTAACTGAAACTTTATACCTTTTGAGCAACAACTTTCCTTTCCCCATTCCTCTTCCTCCCCACCGCCCATTGTAACCACCTGTCTACTCTCTGTTTCTAAGAGATCAACTTTTTCAGATTCCACATAAGTACAATATTTTTCTTTCTGTGCCTAGCTTATTTCAATTAGCGTAATGTCCTCCGGTTCCGTCCATGTTGTCAAGAATTACAGAATTTTCTTACTTTTTAAAGCTGAATAGTATTCCATTGTAGTTTATAAACCACATTGTATTTATCGATTCATCTGTTGATGAACACCTAGATTACTTCCATATCTTGGATATTGTGAACAATACTGAAATGAACATGGGAGTGCAGATAGAATCCCAAGCCATGATTTTAACCACTCTACTTTCTGTACCTGTTGTAGATGCTCTTTTTTTTTTCTCTAAACGTCTGTCTTGTACAAATATTGGCCATTAAGGAATTAAGTAGTGGATCTTTTCATCTAAGCATTTTGTTGCTTTATAGTTTACAAAGAGAGTCCAGAATTTAAACCTAAGCCATCTAAGCTTCTGAATAGCTTATACTGAAGTAAGAATCCTAGGAGTTTTAAAGACACTGGTTCTTCCCAGCTGTGCTACTATTAGATTAGCATAACTTATTAAAGTAGCTAGAGATAAATATCCCAATGGCACTCTTTAAGCACAGTAAAGCCAGTGGAAACTGCCCAATTTTATTTCTTATTTTTTTAATTTACTTTTTTTTCCATTCATTGATGGATTGATGGATAACAAATATAGAACAAATGATTTAAATTTTGTGGTATATATGCACAATGCCCATTTTAAATCGACCATAAAACTTAAACAATTTTTTTTTTTTAGTAGCTTTATGAGTACAAGTAGTTTTGGGCTACATGGATGAATTGTATAGTGGTGAAGTCTGGGATAGCGCACCCATCACCCAAGTAGTGTGCATTGTACCTAATAGGTGGTTTTTGTCCTTTACCCTCCTCCCACCCTCCCCCTTTCTGAGTCTCCAGTGTCCATTATACCACTCTGTATGCCTTTGCATACCCATAACTTAGCTCCCACTTAAAACTAAGAACATGCAGTAGTTGGTTTTCCATTCCTGAGTTACGTCACTTAGAATAATGGCCTCTAGCTCTCCATCCAAGTTGCTGCAAAAGACATTATTTTTTCTTTTTTATGGCTGAGCAGTATTTCATGGTGTATATATATGGGTGTGTGTGTGTGTATGTGTGTGTGTGTATTTATTTTCTTTATCCTCTAATTCATTGATGGGCACTTAGGTTTGTTCCATATCTTTGCAATTGTGAGTTGTGCTGTAATAAACAGATAAACATACGCGTGCAAGTGTCTTTTTGATGTGATTACTTCTTTTCCTTTGGGTAGATACTCAGTAGTGGGATTGCTGAATCGAATGGTAGATCCACTTTTAGTTCTTTAAGAAATCTCCATACTATTTTCCATAGAGGCTGTACAAATTTACATTCCCACCAGCAGTATATAAACATTCTCTTTTCACCACATCCATGATAACATCTATTGTTTATTGACATTTTAATAATGGGAGTTTTGGCTGGGGTTAGGTGGTATTTCATTGTGGTTTTAATTTGCATTTCCCTGATGATTAGTGATTTTGAGCACTTTTTAATATGTTTGCTGGCCATTTGTATGTCTTCTTTTGAGAAGTGTCTATTCATGTCATTTGCCTACTTTCTGATGGGATCATTTGTTTTTTTCTTGCTGATTTGACTTCCTTGTAGAACCTGGATATTAGTCCTTTGTGGGCTGCATAATTTGCAAATGTTTTCTCCCATTCTGTAGGTTATGTTTACTCTGATGATTGTTTTTTTGGCTCTGCAGAAGCTTTTTCATTCAATTATGTCTCATTTATTTATTTATTTTTATTGCATTTGCTTTTAGGGGTCTTGGCCATAAATTCTTTGCCTACACCAATGTCCAGAAGAGTTTTTTTCCTAGGTTTTCTTCTAGAATTTTTATGGCTTTAGGTATTAGATTTAAGTCTTTAATCCATTTGGAGTTAATTTTTGTATAGGGTGAGAGATAGGGATCCAGTTTCATTCTTCTACATGTGGCTGTCTAATTTTCTCAGCGCTGTTTATTGAATAGAATGTCCTTTTCCCAATTTATGTTTTTATGTGCTTCTTGAATATCAGTTGGTTGTATTTGGCTTTATTTTTGGGTTCTTTATTCTCTTCCTTTGGTCTATATATCTACTTTTATACCAGTATCATGCTGTTTTGGTTACTATATCTTTTTTTTTTTTTTTTTTTTTTGAGACAAAGTCTCACTGCGTCACCCAGGCTGGACTGCAGTGAGGCAAACACAAATCACTGCAGCCTTGACCTCCCAGGCTCCAGTGCTTCTCCCACCTCAGCCTCCCGAGTAGCTGGGACTACAGGTGCACGCCATCATGCCCAGCTAATTTTTGCATTTTTTGTAGAGACAAGGTTTCGCCATGTTGCCCAAGCTGGTTCCAACTCCTGGGCTCAAGTAGTTCTCCTGACTCGGCCTCCCAAAATGCTGTGATTGCAGGCATGAGCCACTGCACCCTGCCTACTATATCCTTATAGTATAGTTTGAAGATAGGTAATGTGATGCCTCCAGATTTGTTCTTTTTGCTTAGGACTGCTCACAAAGCTATTTTGATTGTAATTCATTATTCAGCGAGAAGAGTTTATAATAGGTGATTTATTTAGTTAAAGGAAGAAAGTTTAAGGAATCATTAAGGAGATAATAGACCTTGTCAATAAGCAAGCATTGAAATAACTGATAAGTATTCATTAACCAGATAAAAAGAAGGATAAAATTTTAAAAGGCCCACATTTTCCTCAATGCATGATGGTGATATGTGGTCTGTGGCATATACTTGTATCAAGGTCATTCCTGGCACTTTCAAACTATATTATTTAAAAACACACACACACAAAAACAAAAACAGCTGTTAGGACAGAAACACCACTCAGAGTAGCTTAAGCAATGAAGAAGATTTATTGGCCTATAGTTGGGAAGAACAGGAATGGAGTGGGTTTTAACTAAATGGTATAGAGATTCTAATTATGTTGTCAGGACTCTCTTACCGCCTAGCTCTGATTCCCTCTTTCTGTAGATCCTCTTCTCATGTAGACGGCTTTCTTCCAAGTGGTGGTGATGATGGTGGTGGTAGAAGGAGCTTTGTGAGGAGGAAGACACAGTGACAGAAAGTTTCAGAATTAAGTCATTCCAAAGGAAAGTCTTCCCCCAAAGGCCTTCCCCTCTGAAATAGCCCTGTAAGTCATTTATTCTTTGTTTAATCAACTGTTTCCTCCATAGCCTTTATCACAAATTATCTCTTTTATTTATGTGCTTACCTGATTATTGTTTTTCCTTCCAATTACAAGGTAAAATCCATCAGAGCAGTAACTGTGCCTATTTGTTTCATTACTGTAGCCCCAGCATCTTGTAGGCACTCAGGAAATAGTAAGCAGCAAATATATAAAATTCCAGGAAGGGACTCAGATCCTCCTTGAGCCATTTGTCATTATTGTGGTCTGCAGGGTAGGGTACTGTGATTGATATACCTACTAGAATCTCATGGAATAGGGAAATGGATTTACCATAGGTAATGGAGATACCATTAGCTAAAGGAATTGGGAAAAGATGCTGAGCAAACAACAACAAAAAATATCTGTCTAGCATATATGTTTTTTGTCTTTTAAGCACAGTTTCATATTTTACCCAACTGCCTAGTCTGATGTGTAAGGTTATGCAGATTCTGCACTGCATGAAGGTACTTGCTGAGGGGACAGAGCGTGGGCTAAAATCCAGCCCAGAGCTCCATTTACAGGGCTTCCTTTTTCCAGGAGGCACTCTGTTTTTAATTTTGTACACATTTGGATGGTCTCTGTGTATGGTATACCTGGTTGAGTATCCATCTCTGCATCTAAACTTCTGGATAGCTTATACCGAAGTAAGAATACTAGGAGCAAAAGTATGACCTGGATGTGTCTGTGCATCTGGATCCCCCTGGCCAGTTCAGTGTTGACTATGTGCTTAGCCACGTTCTGCACATATTCTGCGAGATGACTGATCTTGGGAAATTCTGAGATGACTGGTCTTGGGAAATTCCCCCTTGTTTTCTTTCTCTCCTCTCTATTTTTCTACCTAGTTTTGCTATTTGGTCAGGTTTTCAAAGCACAGATTTTGAGCTTTCTGAACTTTAGAATGGCTGAATGGTGACACTGTCATCTCTCTTTCTTGTTTACCTACATTTCTCTGCATTTCCATTTTGATCATCCTGGTAATTCTGCATCAGGAGGGAAGTTTCCTATCACTGGTCCTCCTATGGAATAGACCTGTCTTATAGCTCAATCTCTTTGGGGTTTGTTTTGCATTTTATTTGATTAAAGATCTATTGGGGCAGTGAAATACTCACTACTTTTTAAAAAGGTAGATGAGTTGAAGGAACAGACACCCACTCAATCTAACTCATGTGAAGCTGAAGGGAATCTCCTAAGTTCCAGATGTATAGCTCAGCCTTTCATTACCTGGAAGGCTCTCTGCCCTTTTCTCTCTTTCGGGGACTACATCGTTTTATCTCTGCTTCACTCTGGCCATTGGTTTCATTAATCTGATTTTCTTTAAACACCAACTTTCTGTCTATACTGGCCAGCCTATAAGTGGCAAAAATGGGAACTAGTGCTTAATCTACTCATTGCAAGTCCACAGGAAGTCTGCACCATAATCATCACATGGAAAAGTTAAAAATAAAAAAGATTTATGGGCCTCAAACACACACATTCTGAGTCAGTAGGTCTGGTGTCCTGGAATCTGTATTTTAAAAATGTTCCTCAGAAGGAATTCCCAGATCCCAGACCCCTCTGTAATCACAAGAGAGAGGAAAGGAAAGTGAGTGAGTGATGGAATTGATGAACCAGGCCCTAACACCCACTTACGTCCTACATAGCCCCTTCTCTTTCTCCCTTTGCCATTCCTTGCTATTGATCTTCCTATCCAGAGAGGAGATGGATATTCTAAGACATTGGAAACAAATACTGAGGAATATAGTAGTTTTCATTAAAAGCAGCAATAGTAGCAGCAACAATTCTCAGTCTAGCTTGGCAGGAACGCAGTCCAGTTAGGTTTTGGGGCCACCCATCCCTTATCAAATCAGTGCCATTTTTTTGGTCTTAGATGCTCTTGGAAGTATAAGACAGGCCTAGGTGTTTCTGAGAAACACCTGATAGCTTGGAAAGCCTTGCCAGCTATGGCAGCAATTGTCAGGTTTTCTTCCTGGTCAGGTCGTGGGTGACCTTGCAGCTTCAGTGCCCATCACTCTTTGATGTGCCACAGTTATGTGTTTGTGTCTCTTAGTTCAAAGTCTTCAAAGAGACTCTAGTCACTGAGTGGCCAGCCAGTCAGGGTTCTACCCTGGGATTATGGGCCAGAGCAGACTGAGAACTATGAATGGACAGGGCAGGGCATAAATAAGTGCGTTACAAGCTTTCTTCTGGCTGGTTTGCAAATGGAGGTTTAAGTGAATATTTGTAATTTCTTTTTAGTTTTGTTATTCCTAAATGAAAGAAGGTTTATATTCCTAAATCAATTATAATGAGCTTTTATATCTCAGAACTACAAATATGACTCCAGCCTCATTTTATTTGTGAAATAAATGCCCTATATAGTATTCAGGATACCTACCAAGTGTTTTTATAGTAAACATCATCCTTGTCTCTTCATATCTTAATAATAAAATGTATATTATATTAAGTTGTAAATAAAGTAATATGGTTTATTATTTAATGTTTAAAGTATAATGCCATATATCTTTTGTTGTGTACTGACAGATGCAAAGGGTATAGCAATTTGATTCTGAGTCCTTGCAATAGTAATAAAAGCCATTACTTTATTTAAAACATTTGTCCACTGTGGGATTTCAAGAGGCAGTTGAAGACCTTACGTGGATATTGATCACATAAAGTATGCAAAGATAAGAAATACTTTTAACCAAGATTGAGCACAAAAATAGCTCTGTATTATATTTCTGTACACAAAGCAGTTGTGTGGCACAAAACAGTTATGTTTTAAGCCCACAAAGTATAGTATCAGTACCGTAGGGTTGGTTTAAGAACATGTGTTTTTAATACCTTTATAAGAATTGAAGTATCTATCTTGATACTGAAACTATCTTGTTTCTCTGATTTTTAAAAATTATTTTATTTTTCCAGATCCAGTCCTTCTGTGGAACTTCTGAACATCTTTTATTAGTGGAAATATTTTCTACACAATGAAGTCAACAACTTAATTTAAACCAGTGTTTGTGCGGTTCTGATTCATCTGCTGTGGTTCCCGAAGCTTGAGATCTAAGGAGTACAGGGTCTTTTGTGATGACAATATGACTAATAGTAAAGGAAGATCTATTACCGATAAAACAAGTGGTGGTCCAAGTAGTGGAGGAGGTTTTGTAGATTGGACTTTACGTTTAAACACAATTCAATCCGACAAGTTTTTAAATTTACTCTTGAGTATGGTTCCAGTGATTTACCAGAAAAACCAAGAAGACAGGCACAAAAAAGCAAACGGCATTTGGCAAGATGGATTATCAACTGCAGTACAGACTTTTAGTAATAGATCTGAGCAACACATGGAGTATCACAGTTTCTCAGAGCAGTCTTTTCATGCCAATAATGGGCACGCATCATCAAGCTGCAGCCAAAAGTATGATGACTATGCCAATTATAATTACTGTGATGGAAGGGAGACTTCAGAAACCACTGCCATGTTACAAGATGAAGATATATCTAGTGATGGTGATGAAGATGCTATTGTAGAAGTGACCCCAAAATTACCAAAGGAATCCAGTGGCATCATGGCATTGCAAATACTTGTGCCCTTTTTGCTAGCTGGTTTTGGAACAGTTTCAGCTGGCATGGTACTGGATATAGTACAGGTGGGTTTTCATCTTTATTTAACTTTACTGTCTTTTTTTGTTATTCCATTTCTGTTTAAAATGCTTTATGTAGGTTACTACTCTCAAACATTCACTTTAGATTTAATTTATCCCTTGGTAAAATGAACAGATGCTGACTCTGGGAGAGAATCTATTTCTAGGTGGGAGTTTTTCTTTTTTCCCCTTTAGAAATTCTGAAAGAATAGTTATTCTGACTGTAAAGTAACTCTTCTCTACAGACCTTGGAAGAGCTTGGTTAAAAGAAAATCTTCCCAAAATGTTATATTTAAATACTTTCTTACTTTTAAAATAAAAATTAATATATACTCATTAAAATGACTTCAAACATTAGAGGGTATTAAATAAAACATGAAGTTTCTCCTATTCCTTATCTCCGAATCAAAACTCTCCTCCTCTCCAGAGATTATCATTGTGAAGTGTTCGTTGTATACACTTGCAGCCTCTTTTCTATGCTTACATATATACATATGAGAGTTTTTCCAAAAATAAAAATAAAATGTTGCATATATTTTTCTGCAACTTATTTTCATTGCTTAATAATACATCTCTCCAAATTGGTATACAAAGATTTTCTGCATTTTAAACTGAGTGCATGATATTCCATTGTATGTATATACCAAAATTTACTTACTCATTCTTCCTTATTGGTGCTGTAATAACTATCCTTATAAGAATATATATTCATATAGTAATGTTTTCATAGGATAGATTTAAAAACAGCATTGTTGGATATTAGGGTATGAATTAATATCTATGTTTAAAATTTTGTAGATACTGTCAAGTCGCATTCCAAAAAATTTGTATCAATTTATACTCCTACTGTCAAAATAGAAGTACTTTTATTTTTTCATGTCCCTATCAACATTGGGTATTTATTTTATTTTATTTTATTTTGAGACAGGGTCTCGCTCTGTGGCCTAGGTCACTACACCCTCAACCTCCTGGGCTCAAGTAACCCTCCCACCTCAGCCTCTTGAGTGGCTGGTACTACAGGCGCACTACACCTCACTAATTAAAAAAAATTTTTTTTTAGAGACAAGGTCTTGCTGTGTTGCCCAGGCGGGTCTCAAACTCCTGGGCTCAAGCAATCCTCCCACCTTGGCCTTTCCAAAGTGCTAGGGATTGCAGGTGTGTACCACTGTGCCCAGCCAACACTGGGTCTTCTTGATCTTTTTCATATTTGCCAAATGGCAGGAAAATGTTATCATGTTTTAATTAACATTATTATTAATGTTTAGCATATTGTCATGTGTTTATTGGCCATTCTTTTTCTGTGAATTATTTTTTGTATCTTTTATTTATTTTTAAAATTTATGTGCTACTTATTGATTTGTAGGTATTCTCTTTTTTTTTTTATTTTTTTTAAGGCGCAGTCTAGCTTTGTCACCCAGGCTGGAGTGCAGTGGCGTGATCTTGGCTCACTGCAATCTCCACCTCCCAAGTTCAAGTGATTCTCCTGCCTCAGCCTCCTGAGTAGCTGGGACCACAGGCTCACGCTACCATGCCTGGCTAATTTTTGTATTTTTAGTAGAGATGTTGGTTAGGCTGGTCTCAATCTCCTGACCTCAAGTGATCCGCCTGCCTCTGCCTCCCAAAGTGCTGGGATTACAGGCATGACCCACCATGTCTAGCCGATTTGTAGGTGTTCTTAATGCCTTGTGGTTACCAAATACCTATTATATAATTATCTTTCTAAAGTAATAAGTTGCCAAAATGTGACATTTTGTTCTGTCAGTTTTTGTTTATCAGTCATAGAAAGGTTGCCTCTGGGAAACTATTAGATATATTATCTTATAATGTGCTCTTATCTTTCATTGTTTGTTCCCTAAAGGAACCTCAGGTTATTTGTGACTCTAAGATGCTATTCAAGAGGTAACATTTTTATCTAAATGGAAAATATACATAAATAGAAACATTTTTCCACCATCAGTTGGAGAAAGGATATGAGAGGAACTATATTGCAGTACATTAAAGTTTTAAATAGATAATAATACCAAAGAGAGAGCAAACCTACATCCACTTGAAATATAATTGTTTTAGGTTCTTATAGTAGTATCACAGCTGCGACAATAAATAGGCTGGTTTTGGTTTGGATTTTTTCTTGAGATACCAATTATTCTGAAGAAACACTCAGTATTTAACTATAGAATGGTAACATCTATAGGACTAAGGTGTTAGAGTACAGCTTAGCAGAATGTTTATATAGCTCATTATGTATCTGGAGTAATGTTGACTTACTTCCTGATACTGAGAGAACAGCACGCATATAATTGGAAAAAGTTCCTTTTATGATTTTATGAACTTTTACAGTGCTAGCCCTAAGGACTTTATAATGTTAAACTTTAGTGTTAAACATTGTAGAAACGTAATATAAATTTTTTTTTTTCTTTTTTTGAGATGGAGCCTCGCTCTTTCACCCAGGCCGGACTGCAGTGGCGCTATCTCGGCTCACTGCAAACTCCGCCTCCCGGGTTCATACCGTTCTCCTGCCTCAGCCTCCCAAGTAGCTGGGACTACAGGCGCCCGCCACCGCGCCCGGCTAATTTTTTGTATTTTTAGTAGAGATGGGGTTTCACCATGTTAGCCAGGATGGTCTCAATTTCCTGACCTCGTGATCCGCCTGTCTCGGCCTCCCAAAGTGCTGGGATTATAGGCGTGAGCCACCGCGCCTGGCCGATATAAATATTTTTAAAGACTTTATTTGAATGTGCTCTTTTAAACTTTTTAATTGAAATGTAATACATCTAGAGTATATAAAATAAAAAATAGAGACTCTGGATTTTCGTAATATAAACAACCATGTAACTATCAACCAGCTCAAGAAATATAATTTTGCCAGTACTGCTTCTTTAGTCCTCCTTGTGCCTTCTTCCAATTGCTGCCCTTTTTGTCCCCATCACCAAAGGTAATCACTAATCTGATTTTCTGGTAAGCACCTCTTTGCTTGTCTTTATAAGTGTGTATCCCTAAACAACATAGTTTGGTTTTACTTGACTCTTTTTAAACTATATAATGGAAGTATAGAACATGGTTTTTTGTGTGTGTGTGGCTTTTTTTCCCTCAACATTATATAAATTTCATGAAACTGTAGTTTATTTCCATTGCTGGATAGTAATCCATTATATGAATATACTGTACCACAATTTATCTATTCTGCTATGAATGGACATTGGGAGGAATGGTGCTTCCAGACTCTTTTTTTTTTTTGAGACAGAGTTTCACTCTTGTTGCCCTGGCTGGAGTGCAATGGTGCAGTCTCACCTCACTGCAACCTCCAACTCCCAGGTTCAAGCGATTCTCCTGCCTCAGCCTCCCGAGTAGCTGGGATTACAGGCATGTGCCACCACACCTGGCTAATTTTGTATTTTTAATAGAGATGGGGTTTCTCCATGTGGGTCAGGCTGGTCTTGAACTCCCGACCTCAGGTGATCCGCCTGCCTCAGCCTCCCAAAGTGCTGGGATTACAGGCGTGAGCCACCACACCAGGCTGCTTCCAGACTTTTGATGCACATATGCATGAATTTCTTTTGGGTATATATGTAGAGATGGAATTTCCAGGTCTTAGGATATGGAGATACTCAAATTTAGTAGATGTCATATGATTTTCCACATTGGTTGCACCAATTTACAGTCTAATTAGCAGAGTACAAGAGATCTCAATACTCTATATTCTTATTTCTACTTGGAATCAGTAGTCTTTTTATTTTTAGAAATTCTGGCACATGTGGAGTGGTACCTCATTGTCGTTTTAATAGAGATTTCTGTGATAACTAATGATGTATATTTGGATATTACTGGTAAAGCTTTCTTTGTCCATCTTTCTATTTGTTTTTCTTATAGATTTATGGGAGCTGTTATTTGTTTTTCTTATAGATTTATAGGAGTTACATTTTGGATATGAGCCATTTAGTGCTATATATTTAAAACATCTTTTCTCTCCTCTGTGGCAGAAGTTCTTAATTTTGAAATAGTTCTTTTCCTCCTGCTTTTTCATAGTTTGTGTTTTATGTCTCTCGTCTAAGAAATCTTTCCATACCCTGTGGTAATTAAGATATTCTATTACATTACTTTGTTGAAGCTTTGCTGTTTTGCTCTTACATTTAGATCATTCCCTCCCTGGAATGGATTTTTGTGTAGAGTATGAAATGGGGCTTATGTTTGGTTACTGGTTTCTTGAGGTTTTCTATTTCTTCATGGTTCAATAGTTGTATGTGTCCAGAATTTATCCTTGTTGCATGTTTTCCAATTTGTTCGTGTATAGTTGTTCATAATAGTCTTTGATGATTCTTTGTATTTTTGTGGTCTCAGTTGTTATGAATCCTTTTTCATTTCTAATTTTACTTATTTGGGACTTCTCTCTTTTTTTCATAGTCTAGCTAAAAGTTTGTTGATTTTATCTTTTCAAAAAATAACTTTTTGTTTCATTGATCTGTATTTTTTTAGTCTGAATTTCATTATTTCTGCTCTGATCTTTATTTAATTTCTTTTCTTCTACTAATTTGGGGTTTGAATTGTTCTTGCTTTTCTAGTTCCTTGGGGTGCATAGTTAAGTTGTTTATTTGAAGTCTTTCTATTTTTTTTTTTTTTTTTGAGATGGAGTCTCACTCTGTTGCCCAGGCTGGAGTGCAGTGGCACGATCACGGCTCACTTCAAGCTCCGCCTCCTGGATTCACACCATTCTCCTGCCTCAGCCTCCTGAGTAGCTGGGACTACAGGCGCCCGCCACCCCGCCTGGCTAATTTTTTGTGCTTTTAGTAGAGACGGAGTTTCACCGTGTTAGCCAGGATGGTCTCGACCTCCTGACCTCGTGACCCACACGCCTCGGCCTCCCAAAGTGCTGGGATTACAGGCATGAGCCACCGCGCCCGGCCTCTATTTTTTGACATAGTATTTATTGTTATAAACTTTCCTCTTAATACTGCTATTGCTGTATTCCATAGATTTTGACATGTTGTATTTTCATTTTCATTTGTTGCAAGAAAATTTTAAATTTTAAATTTCCTTCTTAATTTCTTCATTTCATTGGTCACTCAGGAGCATGTGGTTTAATTTCTATGTGTTTGTGTAGTTTCTGAGGTTCATCTTCTTATTGATTCTAGTCTTATTCCATTGTGCTCTGCAGAGAGACTTGATCTGATATCTACTTTTTTGAATTTGTGGAGAATATTTTGTGGCTTAAGATATAATCTATTCTGGTAGAATGTTCTGCGTGCTGATGAAAAGAATGTATCTTCTGTAGCAGTTGGGTGAAATGTTCTCTAATTATCAGTTAGGTCTGTTTGGTCTAATGTGTGGTTTAACTCCAGTGTTTCTTTGTTGATTTTCTGTCTGACTGATCTGTTCATTATTGAGAGTGGAGTGTTGAAGTCCCCTACTATTACTGTATTGTAGTCTATCTCTCTCTCTTTAGATTTATAAATGTTTGCTTTATATACTTAGAAGCTCTGGTGTTGGGTGGATATATATATATATATACAATTGTTATGTCTTCTTGCTGAATTGACCCCTTTATCATTATATAGTGGTCTCTTTTTCTCTTTTACTGTCTTTGATTTGTAGTCTATTCTATCTAGCATAAATATAGCTATTCTTTGCTCTTTTCTTGGTTTCTAGTTGCATGGAATATATTTTTCTACTGCTTCACCTCCAGTCTAGGTGTGTCTTTATAGATGAAGTGGGTTTCTTGTAGGCAGAAACCTGGGTCTTGTTTCTTTACCCATGTAGCCACTCTATGCCTTTTCATTGGAGAATTGAGTAATTTACATTCAGTATTATTATTGATAAGTAAGGACTTACAATTGACATTTTGTTGCTTATTTTCTGCCTGTTTTGTAACTCTTCCTTTCTTACTGTCTTCCTCTGTGATTCGTTTGTGATTTTTCTCTAGTTGCATGTTTCAATTTGCTGCTTTTTATTTTTAGTGAATAAGTTATAGATTTTTACACTGTGGTTACCATAAGGCTTAAAAAAAAATCTTATAATGTTATTTTAAAGAGATGACAACTTATCTTAGATCACAAAGAAAATAATAGAAACAAAGAAAAAACTAAGAAACTCTACACTTTAACTCCACCCCCTCCATTTTTGACCTTTGGTTATTCCAATTTTCACATTTTTATATTGCCTATCTCTTAATGGGTTGCTGTAGCTATTATTGTTTTTGATAGATTTGTGTTTTAGGCTTCATACTAGAGTTATGAGCGGATTGCACACCCTAATTACAGTATTAGAGTATTCTTGGTTTTGCTGTGCACTTAGTTTTACCAGTGGATTTTTTATCTTCAACTGTTTTCTTTTTGCACATTAGTGTGTTTTTCTTTCAGGTCAAAGAACTCCCTTTAGTATTTCTTATAAGACAAAACTAGAGGTGCTGAATTCTCCCAGCTTTTGTTTGTCTGGGATAGCTTTGCTGGTTATAGTATTCTTGGATGGTAGCTTTTTTTTTTTTCTTTTCAAATTTCTTTCAGCATTTTGAAAATGTTATTTCACCCTCTTCTGGCCTGTATGGTTTCTGCTGAAAAGTCTGTTGCCAGATGACCTGGAGCTCCTTCACATGTTATTTCTTCTTTTTCTCTTGCTGCTTTTAGGATTCTCTCTCTTTGACTTTTGAGATTTTATTATTATATGCCTTGGGGTAGTCTTATTTGGGTCAGATCTGGTGTTCTCTGACCTTATTGTATCTGGATATTTATAGCTTTCTCAAGTTTTGGAAAGTTTTCAGTTTTTATTTCTTTGAATAAGCTTTCTATCCCTTGCTCTTGCTCAACTCCCTCTTGAATATGAATAATTATTAGATTTCGTCTTTCAAGGTAGTTTTTTATAGCTTGTAGACAATCTTTGATCCTTTTTTTCCTTCTTGTTTTTTTAAGAGACAGGGTTTCTTTCTCCCAGACTGGAGCCCAGCTTCAAATTCCTGGGCTCAAGTGATCCTCCCACCTCAGTTCCTAAGTAGTTGGGACCACAGGCATGTGACACCATACCCAGCTAATTTTTTATTATTATTATTATTTTATTTTATTTTATTTTTTGAGACAGAGTCTTGCTCTGTCACCCAGGCTGGAGTGCAGTGGCATGATCTCAGCTCACTGCAAGCTCTGCTTCCCAGGTTCATGCCATTCTCCTACCTCAGCCTCCCTAGTAGCTGGGACTACAAGTGCCCGCCACCACACCTAGCTAATTTTTTGTATTTTTAGTAGAGATGGGGTTTCACTGTGTTAGCCAGGATGGTCTCGATCTCCTGACCTTGTGATCCGCCTGCCTCGGCCTCCCAAAGTGCTGGGATTACAGGTGTGAGCCACCACGCCCAGCCCATATCCAGCTAATTTAAAAAAAATTTTGTCGAGACAGGGTCTTGCTTTGTTGTGCAGGCTGTTTTTCTTTTTCTTTTTTTCTTCTCTGTGTATTTTCAAATAGCTCACCGACTCTTTCTTCTGCTTGATCCATTCTGTTGAGAGCTTTCAATGAATTTATCAGTTCAGCAAATGTATTTCTCAGTTTTACGATTTGTTTTCTTTTATTTTTATTATTTCAATCTCTTTGTTAAATTTCTCTGATAAATTTCTGCATTACTTTTCCTTGTCATCTTGAATGTTTAACAGAATTCCCTTTTAAATTCCAGCAAGACTTTTTGTAGATATAAATAAGATTATTCTAAAATTCATATCCAAACGGAAAGAAAATAGGATAGCTGTAACAATTTTGAGACAGGAAAAATTTCAAGAATTATTATATGGTTTAATAATCCAGACTGCATGATATTAGAGGATGGATAGACACAGAGATCAATGCCACAGAATGGACAACCTAGAGAGAGAGACCCACACAAATACATCCAACTAATTTTTGACAGAGGTGCCAAAGCAATTCAGTGGAGGCAAAAATAGCCTTTTCAGCAAATGGTGCTGGAGCAATTCAACATCCATAGGCAAACAAATAAATTTGACCTGAGTCTCGTGCTTTATAGAAAAATTAACTCAATATGGACCACACACTTAAATATGAAATGTAAATGATAAAACCTTTAGGGAAAAAACAGGAGAAAATCTCAGGATTTCAGACTAAGCAGAGTTCTTACACTTGACACCAAAAACATGATCCATAAAAAGAAAAATTAATAAATTGGATTTCATAAAAGAAACAGTTTACTCTGAACAATGCTAAAAGGATGAAAAGACAAGCTACAGAGTGGGAAAAAATATTTTCAAACCACCTATCTGACAAAGGATTAGTATATGTAAGAACTCTTAAATCTCAACAGTTAAAAAAAAATTAGAAAATTGGCAGAAGACCCAGAGCAGTTCACTGAAGAACATATACAGATGGCAGATAAACACATGAAAAGAAGTTCAACATCATTAGCCATTAGAGAAATGCAAATGAAAACCACAATGAACTATCACTACACACCTATCAGAATGGCTAAAATAAAACATAGTGACAACACTGGATGGAGTTAGCATGTAGAGAAAGGATATCATGCATTGCTGTTGGGAATATAAAATGGTACAGCTGCTGTGGAAACACTTTTGCAGTTCTGTAAAAAAACAAACCCTAAATATTAACTACCATGTGACATAGCAACTGCATTCCTGGGCATTTATCCCCAGAGAATGCAGACTTATGTTCATACAAATCCTCTACAAGAATGGTTATGGTAGCATTATCCATGGTGGCTAAGAACTGGATACAACCGAAGTGTCCTTCAACAGTTGAGTTAAACTTTGGTAAATTCATATGATGGAATACTACTACCCAGCAACAAAAAGAAATAAACTATTGACACATGCAACAACCTAGATGAATCTCCAGAGAATTATGCTGAGTGAAAAGCTAATCTTAAAATATTATAGATTGTATTACTTCATTCATACAAAATTCTCTGATTGATAAAATTATAGAAGTGGAGAACAGATTAGTGGTTGCCAGTGGTTAAGGAGGTATTAGTAGTGGAGAGAAATGGCTCTAAAAGAGAATTAGGAGAGCTCCTTGTGGTGATGGAAATGTTCTATATCTTGACTGTATCAATGCCAATATCTTGGTTGTGATATTGTACTGTAGTTTTTGCAAGATACCACTGGGGAAAAATGGGGTAAGGGTTACATGGGATCTCTCTGTATTAGTTTTTTATAACTGCATGTGAATCTACAATTACTTCAAAATAAAAAGTTTAATTTAAAAAAAGTAATATGTGTACCTGGTTAAGCATATTTAAGCAGTATGAAAGAGTAAGTGATGGAGAAAAAAGTCTGTCCTCTGCTGTATGCACCCTTAGCCCGGGCCCTTCCTTAGAAATGACTGTTTTTAGTTTTTTTTTTTTTTTTTTTCATGTATCTCCTTCAACAGACATGAAATGAATGTATTTGCATTAATATATATATTTTCTAAAAAACAAAAACTAAGTAACACTCTATAATGTTGCTCTTCACTTTGATCTTCTTAATTTGTCTTAGAGCTCTTTCACTGTAGGTACACACAGATTTACCAAATTCTTCTCAGACAGATAATGCACTAATACAAGGATGTATCATAATTAATCTGCCGAGTTACCTTATGAAGGGGATTTTAATTGCCTCAAATCTTTGGCTGTTATGAACAATGATGAAGAAGAGTCATTATATGGGTGTGTTTTTGAACTCATATGCAAGTTTGTTTATAGGTCAGATTCCTAGAAGTAGAATTCTGAGTCAAAATTTTGGTCATTTTACATTTGATAGGTATTACCAGATTCCACCAAAGAAGTTAAACATTTACGTTTTCACAAGCAGTGCAAAAGAGTGCCTATGTCCTTATACTCTTAGCAAAAGTGTATTTTCCAACTTTTTGATCTTTACCAATCTCATCAGTGAAAACTTTTCACCTTTTCATTTGTATTTCTATAATTATGATTGAAGTTGGTCATTTTGTCATATGTTTAAAAGTGAATAGGTTTATTTTCTTTTTATATATATATATTTTATATATATATTTATTTTATTTTATTATTATACTTTAAGTTTTAGGGTACATGTACACAATGTGCAGGTTAGTTACATATGTATACATGTGCCATGCTGGTGTGCTGCACCCATTAACTCATCATTTAGCATTAGGTATATCTCCTAATGCTACCCCGTCCCCCCTCCCCCCACCCCACAACATTCCCCAGATTGTGATGTTCCCCTTCCTGTGTCCATGTGTTCTCATTGTTCAATTCCCACCTATGAGTGAGAACATGCGGTGTTTGGTTTTTTGTCCTTGTGATATTTACTAAGAATGATTTCCAGTTTCATCCATGTCCCTACAAAGGACATGAACTCATCATTTTTTATGGCTGCATAGTATTCCATGGTGTATATGTGCCACATTTTCTTAATCCAGTCTATCATTGTTGGATATTTGGGTTGGTTCCAAGTCTTTGCTATTGTGAATAGTGCCGCAATAAACATACATGTGCATGTGTCTTTATAGCAGCATGATTTATAGTCCTTTGGGTATATACCCAGTAATGGGATGGCTGGGTCAAATGGTATTTCTAGTTCTAGATCCCCGAGGAATCGCCACACTGTCTTCCACAATGGTTGAACTAGTTTACAGTCCCACCAACAGTGTAAAAGTGTTCCTATTTCTCCACATCCTCTCCAGGACCTGTTGTTTCCTGACTTTTTAATGATTGCCATTCTAACTGGTGTGAGATGGTATCTCATTGTGGTTTTGATTTGCATTTCTCTGATGGCCAGTGATGGTGAGCATTTTTTCACGTGTTTTTTGGCTGCATAAATGTCTTCTTTTGAGAAGTGTCTGTTCATGTCCTTCGCCCACTTGTTGATGGGGTTGTTTGTTTTTTTCTTGTAAATTTGTTTGAGTTCATTGTAGATTCTGGATATTAGCCCTTTGTCAGATGAGTAGGTTGTGAAAATTTTCTCCCATTTTGTAGGTTGCCTGTTCACTCTGATGGTAGTTTCTTTTGCTGTGCAGAAGCTCTTTAGTTTAATTAGATCCCATTTGTCAATTTTGGCTTTTGTTGCCATTGCTTTTGGTGTTTTAGACATGAAGTCCTTGCCCACGCCTATGTCCTGAATGGTAATGCCTAGGTTTTCTTCTAGGGTTTTTATGGTTTTAGGTCTAACATTTAAGTCTTTAATCCATCTTGAATTAATTTTTGTATAAGGTGTAAGGAAGGGATCCAGTTTTAGCTTTCTACATATGGCTAGCCAGTTTTCCCAGCACCATTTATTAAATAGGAAATTCTTTCCCCATTGCTTGTTTTTGTCAGGTTTGTCAAAGATCAGATAGTTGTAGATATGTGGCGTTATTTCTGAGGGCTCTGTTCTGTTCCATTGATCTATATCTCTGTTTTGGTACCAGTACCATGCTGTTTTGGTTACTGTAGCCTTGTAGTATAGTTTGAAGTCAGGTAGCGTGATGCCTCCAACTTTGTTCTTTTGGCTTAGGATTGACTTGGCGATGCGGGCTCTTTTTTGGTTCCATATGAACTTTAAAGTAGTTTTTTCCAATTCTGTGAAGAAAGTCATTGGTAGCTTGATGGGGATGGCATTGAATCTATAAATTACCTTGGCTAAAATGGATTCACAGCCGAATTCTAACAGAGGTACAAGGAGGAGCTGGTACCATTCCTTCTGAAACTATTCCAATCAATAGAAAAAGAGGGAATCCTCCCTAACTCATTTTCTGAGGCCAGCATCATCCTGATACCAAAGCCGGGCAGAGACACAACCAAAAAAGAGAATTTTAGATCAATATCTTTGATGAACATTGATGCAAAAATCCTCAATAAAATACTGGCAAACCGAATCCAGCAGCACATCAAAAAGCTTATCCACCATGATCAAGTGGGCTTCATCCCTGGGATGCAAGGCTGATTCAATATACGCAAATCAATAAATGTAATCCAGCATATAAACAGAACCAAAGACAAAAACCACATGATTATCTCAATAGATGCAGAAAAGGCCTTTGACAAAATTCAACAACCCCTTATGCTAAAAACTCTCAATAAGTTAGGTATTGATGGGACATATCTCAAAATAATAAGAGCTATCTATGACAAACCCACAGCCAATATCATACTGAATGGGCAAAAACTGGAAGCATTCCCTTTGAAAAGTGTCACAAGACAGGGATGCCCTCTCTCACCACTCCTATTCAACATAGTGTTGGAAGTTCTGGCCAGGGCAATCAGGCAGGAGAAGGAAATACAGGGTATTCAATTAGGAAAAGAGGAAGTCAAATTGTCCCTGTTTGCAGATGACATGATTGTATATCTAGAAAACCCCATTATATCAGCCCAAAATCTCCTTAAGCTGATAAGCAACTTCAGCAAAGTCTCAGGATACAAAATCAATGTACAAAAATCACAAGCATTCTTATACACCAATAACAGACAAACAGAGAGCCAAATCATGAGTGAACTCCCATTCACAATTGCTTCAAAGAGAATAAAATACCTAGGAATCTAACTTATAAGGGATGTGAAGGACCTCTTCAAGGAGAACTACACACCACTGCTCAATGAAATAAAAAGAGGATACAAACAAATGGAAGAACATTCCATGCTCATGGGTAGGAAGAATCAATATCGTGAAAATGGCCATACTGCCCAAGGTTTATTTTCAAACTAAGTTTAAATGACAATAAAAATTTTTTCCATATATAAGGATTTGGAGTATGTGTTTTTTTAACTGCATAACCTTCTTTTACCAATTAAAAAATGTTCTCTGTCATTTTAAAGTTAGGAGTCTATAGATGTGTTCTTCAACTTATTATTTTGAATTTTCATTTTTGTTTATTCTTGTGGATTTAAACAGATTTTTAGGTTTTGAGTCTATTATTTATGTAAGTAATCTGACATTATGTTTGACTTGTAGATGTATACCTCAGTTTCTGCAGTGATGCATGTGCAAAGTTAGGTATGACAAGAAGTCATACTTTACGGCAGGTTCATAGCTCCAGAGCACATACTGGATCATGGTAAAATTTGTAAGTAAGTGAACATTATTTTTGGCACTAGCTGCTTCAGCATTCCCTCTCTGGACATTTTCTGCATTATGTCCTCTTGACAGGAAAATTAACTGATAATGCATCCTGGTCTTACAGCTAATAAACACTCAGTTAATTACTATGTGCAGGCACAGTCCTGAGCAGAATCTTCTGAGGTGGTACAAGTATGTCCATATTTTAGATGCAGAAAGTAAAGCATAATTTTGCCCAAATCACACAGTAAGTAGTAGAGTCAGAATTTCAGTGAAGGTGATCTGACTCTAGAGCCCTTGCTGTTGACCCCTGTGCATACTACTTCATACTCTTCTCATAGTTCCCAGTTGTGTGTCAAGACACTCCAGGGTTACTGTGGGATATTTTAAGTTTTTGAGGGAAACACAATGATGTCTCCTGGATGCACTGTAGACTACTAGCTCAAGGTGGCTTAACATTTCAACATTAGATCACACTCCATTTCTTTGGATGGTATGTCTTTTGCAGAACTGGGTTTTCAGTAGTGCTGTGATAAAAAGCAAGAGTCACACAAAAATCAATATAAAACAGGAAATGAAGGTGATAGTTTCCAATTCCAACATTTGAGAAGTTATGCAGTGCCAAACAGGTACTTATACCCCATTAGTAAATAATTATGGTTGTAAAAAATGACATTAAATACTATTTTTTCTTTCAATTTACCTGTATAAGTTCTTCAAATGGTTACTAAAGTGTTAGGAAATAAATACTTACTAGGTTGTTCGGACCTAACTACTTAATACATAGGATTGTTAGGTATTCTTTTTGTCCTAAGGATGCTATGAAAATATTTCTCAGATACTAAGCGTGCCGTGAACTGAGAAAGTTTGGGAACTTCTGCAAGCACATCAGGTTGTGTTAACTTTTTTTTTTCTTTTTTTTGAGATAGAGTCTCGCCCTGTCACCCAGGCTGGAATGCAATGGCGCCGTCTCAGCTCACTGCAACTTCTGCCTCCTGGGTTCAGGCGATTCTCCTGCCTCGGCCTCCTAAGGAGCTGGGATTACAGGCACTTGCCACTATGCCAGCTAATTTTTGCAGAGATGGGGTTTCACCATATTGGCCAGGCTGGTCTCGAGCTCCTGACCTCAAGTGATCCATCTGCCTCGGCCTTCCAGAGTGCTGGGATTACAGGCGTGAGCCGCTGCCCAACCTGGTGTTAACTTTTGAATGATGAGGTACATAAATTTGGAAAGGAGAGCTTTATATTTCATACAGGGTTGCAGCCTGCAAGGTGGCCATTCTGACAGTCTGGGAAGCATCGCCTCTAGCCAGAAGCCAGAAACAGACACTTCAAAGGAGGGGAAAAAGGAAATAGGAATTTATGCTGGGTGGGGTGGCCAAATGTACGTATTTAATATGCTATAAGAGGAGTCATGAGTATTTGTGAAAAGAGAAACGTGCATGTGCAGTGGAACTTCATACCCCTTCATGAGTCCCATGTAGACTGGCCAGAACCACTCTGTGATCACTGGTCTCTTACCAGGAAGGAATCCTGGTCAGTTGTTTTGCTGAAACTACAAAAGAGGGTGGGAGCAGTCAAGATCAGCAGTGGAGTCTTTTGAAAAGGTTGATTTCTGTGTAGCCCTTAGGGAAGAAAGCCTAATGGCAGTTAACAAGGGTAAAGGGGTATAATGGGGTGTGGTTGATCTCCCATGCTGTCCTGGCCGAGAACTCAGTTTTCAAGGTCACGCTGTCCTCTTGGCCGTAAGAGTGTTCTTTCAGTTGGTTTTGGGGCATTTGGATTTTTATTTCTCACTAGTATGGAAAAAATAATGTAGAATTTTTTGGCACAAGATAGGAGATCAATAATTCATAGCTCTTATTGTTGTCACACCAATGCTGAGGTGTTAAGTATTTCATAGTAATTCTCCCATAAGTATTTCATTTGAGTTGAATGTGGAAAGAATAACCAAAGGGAGTAACCTATAGGCGTGCATTCCAACAGGTCTAAAGCATGATGGCATGTGATGCTTTCATGTTGCAACAACCAACACAGAAGACTTCTGTGACCAAATGTGTGGGGGTTTTACCCTACACACCAAGCAAGCAGTCAGTTCTGCAGCAGACACTGGCTGATGCAGAATTAGTGTTCTCCAATTCAATTCTGACATTATCCAGAGGTAGCATCAGATCCCACAGGTTGAGGGCTCAGTCCAAAAGACTGTCCTCCGCTTGAGATACCAGATGCAAGTCCTGGCCTCCAGAATTTCTGACCAACTGGCTTTAAGCTGGGGTTCCGGTGATCTCCTCTTCGGGCTTGATTGGTCTGCTGAAGCTGCTCACAGAACTCAGGCAAACACTTAACTCTACCTGTTTCTCATTAAGGTTATTACAAAGAATACAGATGAAGAAATATGTAGGGCGAGGTATGGGGGCAGAGACACGGAGCTTTCATGCCCTCCCTGTGTGCTCCCTCATCCAGGAACTTCCAAATGTTCAGCTGTGTGGAAACTCTCCAAACCAAGTCCTTTTGGACTTTTATGAAGCTTCATTATGTAGGCATGATTATTAAACCCCTGGTCATCGGTGATCAACTTAACCTTCAGTCCCTCCATCCTCCCCAAAGGTGTTTGTGTGGGTGGGGGTGGTTTGAAAGTCCCAGTCCTCTAATAATGCCTTGGTCTTTCTGGTGACCAGCCCCTATCCTGAAGCTACCTGGGGCTGCCAGCTGTCATCAATCAGCATACACAAAGACATCACTTTGTGTATCACTAAATTCTAACGATTTTAGATGTATGCCAGGAAACAGGGTTGAAGACCAAATATATGCTTCGCAGTATCACAGCAAGTGTCATAAAATGATGACCTAGGTAAAAGGTATTCTGAAGTATATCCGGGATCTGATAAAAATCATACCTATCTCTTAGGTTTGTTGTGAAGATTAAGTGAGTGAGTCTAAAGAACAGTGCCTGGAACATAACGATCAGTGAATGTTAGATATTATTAATATTTGTTATTATTATTATCTGTTATTCATCATTATCATCATTGCTACCAATGTCTTTGAAAGATACATATTTCATTAGCACATCAGAATTGTTAGCCCATCATAAAACATGGACAAAATCGTTTGCTGGTTAGTTTTTAAGACTAATAATCTGGGGTGCCATTGAACCCCCCCCACCCAGTGCTTTCTTAGGCCCATCCTTAATTGGCTTGAACCCAATTAGAGGGATTTCCCTTGTGAACTCTTTGAACCAGGATTTTACAGAAGACTGATCTGATAAATATTTTCTGAGGTCTCTTTAGGCCCCCCAGTTCTACATCTGTTTGGAACAGCCTAGGGAAAGTTTGGGAACAAATCAAAATTTTCCTTCATTTATCTGATAGATATAAGTTTTACTTTTCTCATCTGTCTTGGTATTCATGACATGTATATTTTTGATACTTTTTGATATAAAGTTAATATGCCTAGCTCATAAAATATCTTACTGGGATAATCACCTCTTAATAGCACTTGTAAAATGTCACTTTGTGTTATTAAGATATTTGTATCTTTAATATCTTTATATATATCTTTAATATCTGTTATTTTAATATCTGTTATTTTCATTATCATGTGTAAACCAAAATCATCCAAGACAGGCCTCAATTTAGAAGTTTATTTTGCCAAAGTTACGGATCATGACCTGTGATACAGCCTCAGGAGGTATGGAGAACATGTGCCCAATATGGTTGGGTTATAGCTTGATTTTGTACATTTTTTGGGGGACAGAAGTTACAGGCAGACATCGATCAATACATGTAAGTTATACATTGGTTTGGTTCAGAAATGTGGGACAACTTAAAAGTGGGGGCTTCCAAGTCATAGGTGGATTCAAAGATTTTCTGATTGGCAATTGGTTTAAAGAATTAAATTATTTGAAGACCTGGAATCAATAGAAAGGAATATGTGGGTTAAGATAAGGGGTGTGGAGACCAAGGTTCTTACTATGCAGATGAAGCCTCCAGGTAGCAGGCTTCAGAGAGAATAGATGGTAAATGTTTCTTATCAGACTTAAAAAGTTGCCAGACTCTTAGTTAATCTCTCCTGGATCAGGAAAAGACCTGGAAAGGGAAAAAGTTTTGCTACAGAATGTAGATTTTCTCCACAAGAGACAGCTTTGCAGGGCCATTAAAAATATGTCAAAGAAATATATTTTGGGGTAAAATACTTCAGTTTCATTCAGGGTCTGCTGTCATGTGATGCTATACTAAAGACTGTTTGGAATTTGGTATCTCATTGCTACAAAGAGTCTATTTTGTCAGTCTTAAGATCTCTGTTTTAATGTTAATGTTGGTCAGTTATGCCTGAATTTTAAAGGGAAGAGGGTATAATGAGGCATGTCTGACCCGCCCCCTTCCCATTATGGCCTAAGCTAGATTTTAGGTTTACTTTGGAATGCCCTTGGCTGAGAAGGGGGTCTATTCCATTGGTTGGGGACATTAGAAGTTTATTTTTCATTTATACATGGTATTTCTCCAAAGACTAGATAGGGTGGATATTATTTTCATTTAATGGATGAAGAAATTGAGATCAGAAAGATACATGACTCATCCAGGATCATGAAGCCAAGTTATGACAGATCCATGGCTAGAAGCACAAACCTTATTTCCAGTTTAGTGCTGTTTTTATGAACCTCTCTGCCTCACACCTTAAAATGGGGATTAAAACATGGGATTACTTAGAACTCCTGGGGTCAACTCTAGGTCCCATCTTTTGATCTTGGGGAAATAATTTAATCTCTCTGAGTCTTTATTCCTTCATTTGTGAAATTAGGTAGTAATAGCACTAATTTTCCAGTGGGTTTGTTTTAATTAGTATTGGAAGCAAGATTCAAATCAATTGTCTGATTCCAGAATCTGTGCTCTTAACCACTAGCCAGTCTAACGATTGTCATCATAAAGGGATAAAGTAAAACCTTTAGGAATATAAGGGTTGTGTAACAAGTAGATGTAGAATGGGTTGTAGCAACATATCAGCTGACCCCCAACTCTAACAGCATCTTTTAAAGTGACTCAGAGCTTCAGAGCTCAGGAGAATGGAGTTAAGCTAAGTGCTCGCTGATTACATGAACTGTGTGGTTATTCAAAATGTAGATGCCAAGTTGGGAAAAAGGCTGAGATTTTTAGAAATGTCTTTGTTCTAAAGTATTTTTTAAAGAGTGCCAGAAAATTTTATTTTATTTTTTTTCTTACAGCACTGGGAGGTGTTCAGAAAAGTTACAGAAGTTTTCATTTTAGTCCCTGCACTTCTTGGTCTCAAAGGGAACTTGGAAATGACATTGGCATCCAGATTATCCACTGCAGTAAGTTTTTTCCTACCTCAAATTATGTGTATTACCTATCCTGTTTCTCTCTGTTAAGGGGAACTTGTATCAGGAAAATATTTCTTTCTCTGATATGCTTCTGCACTTCAGGGCTGTGCTAAGTAGTTATGCCTGATATCATATTCTGAAATATTGTCTCATCTGATAATTATAGGCCCTCTTTTATCCCAGGAAGTAGTTACTTGCCTCCTTTGATGCCAGGACATTCTGGCATTTATCATCAATGCTTAAGGCATGGGGTAAATCAGATATTGAGATTCTTTGTGGTTCGATGGTTGGTTGATTGGTATTTAAACTTTCTGTAATTGTAGAAGTAATACATTCTTATTATAAAAACTACAGAAAAGGGAACAATATAAAAAAGAAAATCTAAAGCTACCCCTAATTATCCACTTAGATATAACCTCTACTAATATTTTGGTACAGATCCTTCTATACCTGCATATCTATGCTTATATATAGTTAGGTATATCATAATGTAAATGCATACTGTGTATTCTAAAAAAGAACTAGAATTCTATATATTCTCATTTATAATCTGTGATCTCCATTTAAAAATACATCATGATCATCTTTCCATATCAGTAAATGTAGATCTGTGTCGTTATTGAATATGTACTTTTCTGTTGTATAGCTCTACTACAGTTTACTTCATCATCTATTATTGGATGTTTAAACTCCTTCTAACATTCTTCTATTATGAACAATGTTGTGATGAATATTCTTGTACATACATTTTTCCATTCTTATTTTTTTAGGGCCTGTTCTAGGATTGTAATTACTATTCAGAAAAAAGAAATCTGTACTTTTAAGTCTTTAGCTACATATTGCAAAATTGTCATTCGAAAAGCATAAACATTTTAAAAAATACTGCCAGTAGCAGAGTTCTGAGTTATTTTCAGAAGCTCAAAAGGACATTGTTATCTTATTATAATATGATTTTGGGGTTTGCCATTGTGGAACCAAGTTATGGTTAAAACCACGTAGCTAGTGAGGTTCACTTCAATGAGCTATCTGCCTGTGAAATGCTAGCCAAAACTTAACTAAGTCACCAGATGATATTACTAACTGAAATTCCTTTAGTATATAAAGTTTTTTTCCTTTAAAGAAGATAAAGCAAGATAGAGTTGATCCATGTATCAATTAGGAAAAAATTTATGTATCTAAAGGTAATCAAGAAATGGGAACTGAACAACTGTGCTGTTGATGGGAGGACTCTCCACCCTCTGTCCCACTTCTCCTCTCCCCCTTTTCCACCCAGGCAACTGCCAGTTTCCTAAAGTTTCTTGAGTAAAGCAGATGCTTGGAAAGAAAATGCATAAAATAATGTTTTATTAACATTACTAGTTTGCTTAATTTTTTATTTTTTTTGAGACGGAATCTTGTTGTTGCCCAGACTGGAGTACAGTGGCGTGATCTCAGCTCACTGCAGCCTCTGCCTCCTGGGTTCAAGCAATTCTCCTGCCTCAGCCTCCCAAGTAGCTGGGATTACAGTCATGCACCACCATGCCCAGTTAATTTTTGTAGTTTTAGTAGAGACGGGGTTTCACCATGTTGGCCAGGCTGGTCTCGAACTCCTGACCTCAGGTGATCCGCCTGCCTCTGCCACCCAAAGTGCTGGGATTACAGGCGTGAGCCACTGTGCCTGGCCTGGTTTGCTTAATTAAGGGAAAATGGCTCATGTACCCTACAGAGCTTTGTAAGTTCCTTCCTTATATAGTATATAAAAGGTCATATAGCTATATCTGCAGAGGACAATAATGAAATATCTGGTATTAGTGAGCTCTTATTATATGCCAGGTCCTTTGCTAACTGCTTTCCAGTGATATCTTATACCAACCCTATGGAATAAGCACTATTATCCTGCTTTGCAGAGTAGGAATTGAGGCTTAGAGCAGTTGAGTAACTTTCCTGAGGGCACACAGCTCTACATATAGTGGAATAAGTCACATTCCAGAATGTTCCTTTTACCTGCACAGGGTAACTCTGTCAGAATTTATAAAACCAATAAATAACAGCAGTAACAAAAACCTAATAGCTTCCCCATGTACTTTGTAAGAATGATCTGCTAAGGTCTTGGTCTTAGCACCAATACTTTTGGTACTTAATATTTAAAATATTTAAATGTTATTTCAAACATTATTATTTACAGATATAATGCTTTTCCATGTAGTTAGTTGGTAAACTATAGATGATGTTTGGGGGTATCAGTCAGCCACTTAGGTAGAGCCAAACTCATGGAGTAGAATTACTTTAGTAAATTCACTTTAGTCTATAGTATGTAGCCATTGTAATTATTGAACATTAAAAGGACTGAAAAAATAATAGGAGCTCCTTGGGCTGAAGCAGAAAAGTATACAATGAATCTCGAATATCTTGTGGTGCCAGAAAGTAAAGAAGTGCTAAAAATGAAAAAAAAAAAAAAAAGATGGGGACATGACAAAAGGATAACGAGTGACATACTGGCCAGATCTTGGAAAATTGGAGCCATACAATAGATAATGACAGTTACAGATTATATATAACCCATGGAAAAAAATAAGAATCCATTAGTCTATACATGAATAACAAGGCAGGCAAGGTCTCTGCTGTGATGGAATTTGCATAAATTTGGATATCGGTAAGGGAAGTAAAGAAAATCAAACAGGATAATGTGATGATGGATGATTCCTGAGGGCTATTTTACACAACGTGGTCAGGAAAGACTTCTCTGAGGAGGTATATGTAAGCTGGAACCTGAGTAGTAAAGGTGAGTCAGCCATATCGGAATCTGAGGAAAAATCAATCCAGGTTACTATTGTATTTAATAAATGTAACAATGTCAAATATTTATAAGCATTCTAGACAGCTGGGCTTTTAACATGCTTTTTAAGCATGTTAAATGCGTTCGTCGTTAAAAGCATTTTAAATGCTTTTTAAGCATTTAACAGCTAGGCTTGGGGTAGCAATACAAATGGAGACCTATATAACATATGTCTACATAGTTTAAAATTATACAACAAACTTACACACTTAAATATTTTCTCTTTCTGTGTACCTTGACAAATATATCCTTAGGAATACCTGGAAGTCCAAGATCAGATTTAGAATTTTTGGACTTCTTGGGTTCTGTTTTGGAACATGGTGTTGTAGAGAGAGCCACTGAGCCACCCCCTGGTCTGAGGCCTGCCCCAATTCCCTTCCCACCTTTGGTAATAGGTACTGCATTTTGAAAGACCTCACACATACACCAGGCCCCATGTCCAAGCTCCATCTACACCTCCAACAAACACCCACCCCTTGGCGTTCCTGGGGTTCATTGGCACCTAATGGTGGCATGGTCTGCCTTCAGGAACACTAACTTGAGATACCTTGGTCTCAGGTATCTGGAGCATATAGTCTAAGATTTATATTGGTTCCTGTATCCCAGTATTTCCTTATATAATGGTGACATTTGGTGTCAGCTGAATGTTGATTTCAACACTTGACCATTTGGCATACAGCTGCAATGTGTGTCAAGTATATCTCTAGCTTTTATCTTTAAGAAGAAAAAACAAAAAAACTTTTATGTAGTCTTGAGAGGTGACAGCGTGCTGGCAGTCCTCAGAGCCCTCGCTTGCTCTCGGCACCTCCCCTGCCTGGGCTCCCACTTTGGTGGCATTAGAGGAGCCCTTCAGTCCCCCCACTGCACTGTGGGAGCCCCTTTCTGGGCTGGCCAAGGCCGGAGCCCACTCCCTCAGCTTGCAGGGAGATGTGGAGGGAGAGGCACGAGCGGGAACCGGGGCTGTGTGCGGCGCTTGCGGGCCAGCTGGAGTTCCGGGTGGGCGTGGGCTTGGTGGGCCCCGCACTCGGAGCAGCCAGCCAGCCCTGCTGTCCCCGGGCAATGGGGGACTTAGCACCCGGGCCAGTGGCTGCGGAGGGTGTACTGAGTCCCCCAGCAATGCTGGCCCACCGGCGCTGCGCTCGATTTCTCGCCGGGCCTTAGCTGCCTTCCCACGGGGCAGGGCTCAGGACCTGCAGCCTGCCATGCCTGAGCCTCCCACCCACTCCATGGGCTCCTGTGCGGCCCGAGCCTCCCCGATGAGCGCCACCCCCTGCTCCACGGCGCCCAGTCCCATCGACCATCCAAGGGCTGAGGAATGCGAGCACAGGGTGCAGGACTGGCAGGCAGCTCCACCTGCAGCCCCGGTGCGGGATCCACTAGGTGAAGCCAGCTGGGCTCCTGAGTCTGGTGGGGACGTGGAGAGTCTTTATATCTAGCTCAGGGATTGTAAATACACCAATCAGCACCCTGTGTTTAGCTCAAGGTTTGGGAGTGCACCAATCGACACTCCGTATCTAGCTGCTCTGGTGAGGACGTGGAGAACCTTTATGTCTAGCTCAAGGATTGTAAATACACCAATTGGCATTCTGTATCTAGCTCAAGGTTTGTAAACACACCAATCAGCACCCTGTGTTTAGCTCAAGGTTTGTGAGTGCACCAATCGACACTCTGTATCTAGCTGCTCTGGTGGGGCCTTGGAGAACCTGTGTGTGGAAACTCTGTATCTAACTAATCTGATGGGGACGTGGAGAACCTTTGTATCTAGCTCAGGGATTGTAAACGCACCAATCAGTGCCCTGACAAAACAGGCCACTCGGCTCTACCAATCAGCAGGTTGTGGGTGGGGCCAGATAAGAGAATAAAAGCAGGCTACCCGAGCCAGCATTGGTAACCCGCTTGGGTCCCCTTCCACAGTGTGGAAGCTTTGGTCTTTTGTTCTTTGCAATAAATCTTGCTACTGCTCACTCTTTGGGTCCACGCTGCTTTTATGAGCTGTAACACTCACCGCGAAGATCTGCAGCTTCACTCCTGAGCCCAGCGAGACCACGAGCCCACCAGGAGGAACGAACAACTCCAGACGCGATGCCTTAAGAGCTGTTAACACTCATCGCGAAGGTCTGCAGCTTCACTCCTGAGCCAGCGAGACCACGAACCCACCAGAAGGAAGAAACTCCGAACACATCTGAACATCAGAAGGGACAGACTCCAGACGCGCCACTTTAAGAGCTGTAACACTCACTGCGAGGGTCCGCGGCTTCATTCTTGAAGTCAGTGAGACCAAGAACCCACCAATTCCAGACACAGTCTTACTGAGATTTTGAGAATTAGTGAAATTATATGCATGTGTTTCATCTTTTCCTACTTGTATTATGTTATAAGAACTGGTGAATTACCTAGGTAGATAGAACTCAATCCGAGAGGCTTTTTGGCGGGAGAAGAGAATGAAGAGGCCTTGAGAAACAAAAGTGGCAACATTTGAAGAAGAAAGTTATTTGAATGGGAGTTAAAAGGTGCCTTTAGTTTCATTTGTTGGAAATTGAACTTTGCTCTGATAAACATAGTTAAGCATACAAGAATTTAAGCAACTTGATAACTTTGGCAGGAAAAGTGAAGTTTTGGCTAGCTTATCTCAAAGAAAATATTTCAAAAGTATTGTTCTTGAGCATTATCCAGAATAATAATAGATTTAAAACACCAGTCTGTTTTGAAATAGGCCATGCTGTAGGGAATCTGGTTAAAAAACAAAATGCTGCAAATGATATTTGCTGTTTAATTTGATCACATACTACCGTTAAACCTGAATGAAGGTGAATTTAATCTTTTTTTAACCTTCGTTAATTTGTTGTGGTGTCTATATTTTACACTAGGTATTTTTCTCAAATGTCTGGTTATATGTATGTGTCCATATTTAAGAGAAGGAGTCTCAGGAGCTGATTACAAGCCCAGCACAGGGGAGAAGCTTGCCATCTGTGGTCTCTACTCTGCTGCAGGGTGATCTAACTTAGTATTTCTTTAGAGAGGTAGGGGTAGAGCTGCCAGCTTCCATTGGTTGAGAGCTGTGCTACTGATAAGAAGATAGTTCAGTCAAGGAAATAAGAAAACATTATAAGGAAATAAGAAAACGTAAATAAGAAGTGTTGAGGCCATTTGTGATAGGAATGCCCTAGGCAATGCAAAGGGCCAGAGGCAGGACTGTTGTTGGTATGTTAGATCAGTAGTTCTCAAAGTGTGCTCTTCTGATCAGCAGCATCAGCAACTTGTTAGAAATACAAATTCTCAGCCCCACTCCAAAACTACTAAATTAGAAACTCCAGTGGTGTGGCTCAGCAATCTAAATTTTAACACACTCTCCAGATGATTCTGATACACATTGAAGTTTGAAAACCACTGTGTTAGATAAAGAGCATGGAGGCCAATAGGGCTGGGACCGAGTGAGTGAGGGGGGACAATTTTAGGGGATGAGCCAGAGGCCAGATTATGTACGGATTTGCCTAGTTTGTGAGATAAGAAACCAATGGAAGGTTTTAAACAGAGGAGTTAATGTGATCTGATAGATATTTTTTAACAGATTATTTTGACTACTGCATTGAGATATGGGTATAGGGGGCTAAGGATTGAAGCAGGGAGTCTGTTGCAATAATAGCTTAGAGATAATATTCAAGATGGTAACAGGGAATGCAGTGAGAGGTGGTTGGAGTCCAGAATTAATTTTCAGAGAGAATCAACAGAATTGATTGATGGATTAACTGAAATTAAACACTAGGAGCCATCACTAAAAATTCTTTCTGGATCTGAGAGGAGTAAAAGCAAGCAAATTAGTAGATGGGAAAGTAGCAACTTGTAGTGCCAAGTTATGATAACATGGTATATTCTTCTAGTTTACGGCATTTTTATTGCTTAGAGAACTAGATCTCAAGTTTGCTGGGTAGAAAACTATAGTTCTTACAGAATGCTAGAGAAGTTTTGGGTTTATTTCAGTTCTGATACTCTACGGGCTGTTAAGAAACTCTAAGTTAATGACTTCTTGATGGCAAAATCTGAAAGCCTCATCTTCTCTGGACTCTTCACTGATTATTTTCTAGTTGAAAACTTTATAGCCCTTGGCTTTGAGACCCCACTGTCTTCTCATTCTCCCACGTCTTTCACCGCTGCTTGTTAGTCTATGTCTTTTGTTTTTCTTTGCTCATCCTCTAAATTTGAGGTTTTCTTGAAATTTTAGTACCTTGTTCAACATGTTCTTCCTCAGTAATTTCGTGTAGTCCAGCACTGCTTGCACATTGCTGTTCTCAGATCTGTACCTCCAGACTCTTTCCTGACTTTGAGAGCTGAATTTTCAGTTGCCTTTTGGATACCACTCAATACATTCTAAACTAAACTCATTAGTTTCTCTTATTTCCAGCTATACTCTTTTTTCTGTATTTCCTATCAGTTTATTAACATTACCAATCACCTTGTCCCTCTTCACTCTCTATCCAGTTACTGTCCAGTCTATCAGTTCTGCCTATGAAATTCCTCTTTCTTTTTCCTTATGCCCCACCTGTCACCACCTTGATTTATTTGCCTGTTGTTTGTAATTGGGACTACTGAAGCAGATTTCTAACTGTACTCAATGGTTCCAGGGAGAAGGGTGAATTAGTATGGTCTCTTTTTAACTTAAAGCAGTCACTATTTGAAAGCTGTTTTTTTTTCATTTATGTGCAAAAACAATAATGCTTTTAAACATTTTACATTTTTTATGTAGTATTTGTTTTCACTTGTAAAATTAGGAGAAAAATAATTATAGCTATAGAAGGCCAATCAATGGTTACTTTAATCTTTTTGCTCCACTCAAGGGTCCTTTCTCATTTTTATGATTATCTGAGGGAGAATCAGGATAAATGAGCGTATAAGATTATAAGGAAGACCTTTGATAAGTATAAAGATAAAGAACTTAAAACATAAGATATCATAAGATACAGTCTACTCATTCAATCTGTGGAAGGTCATTTGTTTTTAAAGCTTGTTATTCTATAAACCTAAAGACCAAACGTTCACAGATAAAAAGATATTTCAATAAAATAGGTTTCCAGACTGGGGAATGTGGTGAAATCTCATCCCTACAAAAAATAAAAAAATTAGCTGGGCTTGGTGGCACATACCTGCGGTCTTAGCTACTTGGGAGGCTGAGGCAGGAGGATTGCTTGAGCCTGGGAGGAGGTGGTTGCAGTGAACTGAGATGGGGCCACTGCACTCCAGCCTGGGCAACAGAGTGAGACTGACCCTGTCTTTAAATAAATAAATAAATAAATAAAAATAGGTTTCCTATTTTTACAAGGGAATTAAAAAATGATGTATCCAAATCAACTTTATCTTGCCATCTTACTTGAGTCAAAACTTGTTTCTAAAGTTATGATGATTAACTTGAATAATTTTTTTCCTGGATTTTAATCTTTTCAATAGTATATATGAAATTATAGTAGATATTATAGGTATGTAATAGTAGTGTATAATTGGAAAATGAATCAAGTACAGTGATTCTATAAATTGTTGAGTTTTTCTATTGTTTGAGGTCTAAAATTTTCTGCTTTTTAATGTTAGGTATAAAGGAGTCAAAAATTATGTTCACTGCCCTAAAAACAGTATTTGAAAAAAAAAAAGTTTGTAAAACTATTTCCCAGGAGCAAATCACCTAGCATGATTTGATTAGTCCTTTTCTACTGTAGGCAAAACTGATTTCTATTGCCTCAAACCTCTTCTCAGAGAACACTTAATTGACTATCTGAATTATTTAGCAACACTCTACCTTTCTCATTCATTAATTGCAAAAATATTTTTGAGCCCTTACTCTATGCCAAGCACTGCTGTGTGTGCCAGGAGATCAGTAACGAACAAAACAGAAAATGTTTCTGCCTTTGCTGAGCTTACATTTCAGTGGAGGGATATGAAGAAGTTGGCAAAATGTCTTTCCCTAGTAACTTTAAGTTAGATTTCCAATTCAGATTCTAAAAGTTCTAAAATAAAGTCAAATTAAAACCTAGATAATTATATTAATAACTATGGCACAATTTAGATATAATTACAATCTCAGTATTATTTCCTAAATTTGGCATAATTCTCCATGTTCTTGTTATACACCTGATTGCTAGATACAAATGGAACTGCATATTCCTGTTAGTTCCTCACTTTAAAGTGTCTTTCTTAAGTTATAAACATCAGTCCCTAGCCATAGCTTTGTGGAGTAGAACTACTTATGTATAATCGAAAACTGTTATAGTCAACTAGGTTTTTAATCAATTAGGTTTTCCTCCCCATTTCTGCAGCTTTACTGACATACGATAAACTGCAACTTCAAAGTCTACAATTTGCTGAGTTTAGATATATAATATATACCTGTAAAAACTACCATCATAATCAAGAAAACAAACATATATATCATCTCTGTACATTCAGACAGCTATTTGTGTGTGTGTTTTGTGTACAATGTTTTGTTATAAAATATTTCAAGCACATGAAAATATGTAACAGTGTTTCTAATTCTAATTAATGGCAGAATGAAATGGTTGGATGAAGCCTCCAGAGATTAACAATTATAAAATCTGGAAAACTATTTGAAGGCAATGAAAAGTGATCAGAAGCAGGTAGAAAGTAGGGTTTACCTTTAAAAGACCATACTACAATGAGTAAGAATTGCAAAGTTTGTGATGTTTTCGCCTGAGGGAATTCCCCTATCCCTGGATCTCATATGGCAGAAAACTGATAGTCTTATTAGCTCAAAGCAGAGTTCAGAGCTGGCAGAGTGGCTGAGAATTAAGGGAGGAGATTCTAGAAGTACAGAAAAGGGGAGATCCAAAATCTAAGTATAAGATCTGGTGAAATCTGTGACCAAGTACTAAAGTGCATTTACATAGGAATAACCTAAATGAGTCTGGTAACAACAACAACAGCCACAACAACAACAACAAAAACAACAAAAAAGTAGGCAGAAATGTGAGAGGGGCCTACACTTGAAAAGCAAATACACTGGTTAAGATTTCTGTGTTTGTTGACTGAGTGTCTTCTGTGACCTATGCATAGCTATAGTGGCAGAAAGTTGAAGTTTTAGTGGCTTGGATTATCAGATGACAGAGTTGGGAGCTGATAGAGCATATGGAAACTTATAAAGAAATCTCATACGCAAGAGAATTGCACAGAGAGTGAGCCCTGAAATCTGAGCATAAATTGTGCTCAAATCTTTGGTTGTGTAGTTTGTTTAAACTGCACAGGTACAGAAGAGACCTTCAAAGGGCTATACTAAAAGGCATTTGTTGGTAGCTGCAAGAACCAAGCAGAGAGATGAGGTGCTTCACTCTATGGGAGAGACAAAAGCCTAGTTTGAGTCTAGTCAAGTTAACTGCCTATTAGAATGAAAGCTCAGTTATCATCACAAGAGCATAACAGTATCCAGAGTCACTACAACATGTTATCTACACTGTCTGGTTTTTAACCCAAAATCACTAGATGTGGAAAGAAACTGAAAAGTGTGATTGATATTCAAGAAATGTATGATTAATATTCAGTTAATAAAAAATGATTCTAATTGGGCCCAGATATTAGATTGAATAAAGTCTTTAAAGCCACTAGTATGAATATGTTCAAAGAACTAAAGGAAAACATGTTCAAATAAAGACAAATATGTTTTAATGAGTGATCAGATAGGGAGCCTTAAAAGAGAACTAGTAACTATAAAAAAAAAGAATTAAATGGAAGTTCTCGAGTGAAGAGTACCATTTTGCATTCCCACCATCAGGTCAACTAATCTAGTAACAGTAGGCCTAGCAAAGGCCTTTACACCAGCAATGAATGAGAGTTCCTGTTGCTCTACATTGTTACCAGCATTTGGTATTGTCAGTGTTCTGGCTTTTGGCTATTTTAATAGGTGTGTAGTGCTATCTTGTCTTAATTTGCATTTCTCTGATATATGATGTGGAGCATCTTTTCAAATGCTTATTTGCCATTTGTATGTCTTCTTTGGTGAGGTGTCTGTTAACGTCTTTGACCCACTTTTTAAGTTGGATTGTTTGTTATTGTTGAGTTTTAAGAGTTCTTTGAGTATTTTGGATAGCAGCCCTTTATTAGATATTTCTTTTGCAAATATCTGTTTTTAGATAAAATGATTATACTGGCACTACATGTTCAGTGGTAAAAATTTGAAAAAATCACTAAAGGACAAAGTAAAAATTAAAAATTATCCATACACCTAACACTTGGAAGTAACAATGGTAACTTTCTGGTTTTTAAAAAAATGTACATATAGTTTTTTTTTTTTTTGCACATATAGTTAATACATGTTTTTTAAAATAATGCATGAATGGAGACTTTCAGTACCTTTGTTTCAAGTATTTATTCATTAAACATATTTTTTTCTAGTATTAATTGTAGTGGCTATATTTATAAATCTATAATTTCAAGGTCATCCAAGACCACTTTTATATTTAGCTCCAATAAATCCTAAGTCTTGCTTATAACTAATATGTCTCAGTGTCAGATAAGTAACGTCTGTTTATGCAGAAGAAGGCTTTTGGGATTATAAAAACTAGAGATGGCAGATTCCACCTAAAGGCATTCAGATTCAAAAATTTTAAAACCACTGTGTTGGCCAAACATAACACATCTTCAGGCTCTGGCCACCTCAGCTCTACTCTTTCCTAAAAAATTAGTTGATGTCTCTGCAAAAATAATGGCCTATTTTTCTAATACTTTAAGATATACATAATTTAAATAAAACTGGGTTACACAGAAGTCTTTACTAGATCATGCCCTATTATATTTTATCACCTTCTAAGCTCTTGGTTTGTCTAGCTGGGCACCATCAGGTCAGCTAATCTAATAAAAGTAGGTCTAGCAAAGGCCTTTACACAGAACACTCATACTTCTCCCTCTCCACTTTAGAAAAAACTTAGATGGCTCATATTAACCCTAAACCACTGGACAGTAGGATGGGTCAGCACAACTGTTGATGTAGTTTTTACAAGATGGAGGCAACAAAATCAATTTTCTGTGTCCTGCCATACCTCTATCCACATGCCAATGCAAGCCTATACTATACATATTTTCCCTAACAAGGTAAATTTGGGGCAACATTTCTCTTTACTTTTTAAAAAAATTCTTACTCCTGAAAATCTTTGCTTTATAAAAAAAGTTATTGTTTATAAATATAGTCTACATTTTATTTTTTATTTTATGTCATACATTGTTTTAATTTGTTATTTATTGTTTTATCTTAGACTAAGAAGAGTAAAGATTCAGAGACTTCTAGATTAGAAAGGGTCTCAGAGAAAGTGATCTTCATCATTTATAAAACAAATTAATTGATTAGTACCACCCTAGAGATCATGAAAAAAAAAAGAAACTGATTAATTGAAAAGTGACACTGGGTGTGGTGGCTCACTCCTATAATCCCAGCACTTTGGGAGGCCAAGACAGGCAAATCACTTGGGGCCAGGAGTTCAAGACCAGCCTGGCCAACATGGGGAAACCCTGTTTCTACTAAAATACACAGATTAGCTGGGCATGGTGGTGGGCACCTGTAATCACAGCTACTTGGGAGGCTGAGGCAGGAGAATTGCTTGAACCTGGGAGGTGGAGGTTGCAGTGAGCCAAGATCATGCCACTGTACTCCAGCCTGGGTGACGGAGTAAGACTCTGTCTCAAAAAAAAAAAAAAAAAAAGAAAAAAGAAAAGTGTCACTCTGGGTTTGGTCAGGAAAACAGAGCCATGGTATGTATTGAATCAATAGGGAATTTAATAGAGAAGTTTGGGGTTACATGACTGTAGGAGAAGTTGGAGAAATGACGATCTGTGGTAGGAAACTCAGTGAAGCCACCTGAAGCCCTGGAGCAGGAAAGAAAGCCATGCATGCATTACAGCGAGGAAGTCTGGACACCTGCGTGTCTGATCACCTTCCAAAAATAATAGTCTTTGCTTCACTGGTGACTTCCAAATCTTATGCAAGTTCTTCTCACTGGTAGACTGTCACCTGAAGCTATAGGGGAGGGGATTTTGGGGAATGTAGCTCCAAGCCTTAGAAGGGACTGGTGGTGATAGTGCCAAATTAACGTGGCACAGTTGCAAATCCAATTCATAGCACTCACTCATTCTTTAACTCCTACCTTTCTTGATCTTTTCCTAGACCCGAATGTATGTATGTTTCCATTTGTTATTAAGCAACCCTGGAGTCTTGATGTCTTATACTTTTTCATTGAATCATTTTAGATTGCTTCCTACAGATATAGACATCTTTCTAAGAGTTATTAAAAAATAACACTAATTTCACTCATTCCTATTTCTTGAACTCTAAACCTGAGGTAGGTTCACTCTGTAAACATTGCTTGTACCTTATTACTCACTTGAGCAAAGCCCCAGGTTGTTAGAACTACAAACATGAATTTCACCAATGATTTAGATTCCCAGGCTTAGTAAAGAAATATGTAAATAAAGACTGCATTAATAATTATTCTGAAATACTGAGAAATCTCAATATTTGCATTTGCTGGATGCTTTGAGACTAAAGTCCACAGTGAGATTACAGAATAGAATCTGTTTTCCAGATTGATAGAGGAAATGTTTATATAGCACTTAACCTGCTTGTCTAAAGCCAGTGACCTAAATTCTAGACTGTACCTGGTTAAAACTACCCATGAATAACAACCCTTACTTACCTTCCTCTTTATCAACTTATCTATAGATCATTTGAAAGAAAGTCTTTCATAGCAAAGCAGATGATGAGTAATTGAAATGCAACTCAGTATTTTTACTAAATGATTGTTCGTTGCTTTCCAAACAACTACTTTAGAAAAACTTGGCAGATTTGGAAATACACTTTTTGAATTCTAAGTGGTTGAGAAATATGAATTAGCTCACAGAACAATTGAGTATGTGGGTGATAATATTATTTTGGAGAGTGTTCTTCCATTTAGCAGAAAGATGTGTAAAATTTAATAGTTGCGGTACATGATCAAAATTAATTTGTAAACAATGAATTTTATTGCTAACAGTTTTAGTCGTGACTCAAATATAAATTGTATACATGTGAATGATTATATCTTGTTTTTGGGTCAATAATTCTTTAAGTTACATTAGTTTTATAATGTGGAATTAACTGCTAGTGGATCAAAGTTATGTAATTATTTACCTTGGACCTCAATACACAAAATTTGGCATGCTAAGATAATATCTGATGATGCTAGTTGTAAGATAACATCAGTGAGTAAGTGGGTAATACTAATGGGTCCACTAGTTCTTGTAAGACAGGTAAGTAAAAAAAATTTTTTTTCTCTAAACATGTTAGTCAAGCCTAGCGTTAGCTGAAAGACTGGTAGTGAATTCAGAATTATTTTCAAAGTACAATGTGAGCTCATTGGATTTACTGAAGAATTATTTTGGGCTTTAAGATTTCATGTGCTGTTTGAACACAGCAGAGAACATGTAGATTTTCTTCAGTGATACATGAAAATATCCACTTTAACAGGTAAATATTGGGAAGATGGATTCACCCATTGAAAAGTGGAACCTAATAATTGGCAACTTGGCTTTAAAGCAGGTAAGTGGTACACATATTTGTTTACAGATCTTGGGTGTACAAATTTTGACTGTAATCTATAAGATTGGTGTAAATTTTAGTACTATGAGTCTACCCTTTAATTGTTTTCAGAAACACCAAAACAATAATTTAGTACCTTGAAAAAGTGATGGAATAAATGGATACCTATGAGCTCTGAAACTATTCGTTGTTTAGAAACTAGTTTTTACAAATATGAAAAATATATACAAAATGTGGAAAAATATACAAAATATTTTCTATCATAAGTGTGTGATAGAGCCAGAATTTGCATTAATATATCTGTTTAGTAAATATTTAGCACTTCATTAAGTGCTATTTTTTACTTTGATATTTAAAGATAAACTGAGCTCTTTTCTATATATTATGATCAGATATTTGTTTGTTTTCCTTAATTTGTTAGTTACTAGTATTAATATAAACAATACAGTAGTTTACCAATTACACGTACACTGAATTGTGAACTGTAGATCGTGTATAATCTACAGCTTTTTCTAATCTTAGATGAGTTTCTCTTTTTCTTCTGCCTTCACCCTCTCCTACCCCTAAGACTGAAGACTGCGACTACCCCTAGTAATTCTCTAGCTAGTGTGAGCTTAGGGAATGCACACTAATTTTGGTATTAGTTCACCTAGGACATAATGTTGAGAACCTGGTTGCAGGAACAGAATTTCATGTAATGTAATTCAAGGACAAAGAAATAAAGCACATTTTTTGAATACGTGTACAAGTGCTTGTAAGATCACAGATGTAGAAATGAGAAAATCTGAGATCTGACCTCAGCTGTAACATTAAACAGTTTATAACCTTTGTTAATCTATTTAACTTTTCTGGGCTTCACTTTTCTCTTTTATTTATTTTTTTCTTTGAAATACATTTTTCCTTTATTTATTTTTTTTTTTTGAGGCAGGGTCTTGCTCTGTTGCCCAGGGTGGAGTGCAGTAGTGCAGTCATGGCTCACTGCAGCCTTGACCTCCTGGGCTCAAGTGATTCTCCCACCTGAGTGCCCGAGTAGCTGGGACTACAGGTACGCGCCACCACGCCTGGTTAATTTTTGTACTTTTTGTAGAGACGGGGTTTCGCCATGTAGTCCAGGCTGGTCTTTTCTTTCAATTTTTAATTTTTGTGGATACGTAGTAGGTGTATATATTCATGAGATGTTTTGATACAGGCTGCAGTGCATAACAATCACATCATCTAAAATGGTATATCCATCCCCCCAGCATTTATCCTCTGTGTTACAACAATCCAATTATACTCTTGTAGTTATTTTTTAATGTACAATTACATTATTGACTGAAGTCACCCTGTTATGCTATCAAATACTAGGTCTCATTCATTCTATTTTTTTGTACTCATTAACCATCCCTACCTCCCCCATACCCTCCTACTACCCTTCCCAGCCTCTAGCAACCATCCTTCTACTTTCTGTCTCCATGAGTTCAATTGTTTTGATTTTTACATCCCATAAATAAGTGAGAACATCCAATGTTTGTTTTTCTGCTCAGCTTATTTCAGTTAGCATAATGACCTCCAGTTCCATCTATGTTGTTACAAATGACAGATATCATTCTTTTTTATGGCTGAATAGTGCTCCATTTTGTATAAGTACCACATTTTCTTTATCCATTCATCTGTTGATGGTCACTTAGTTTGCTTCCAAATCTTGGCCATTGTGAATAGTGCTGCAACAAACATAGAAGTGCAGATATCTCTTCAACATACTGATTTCCTTTATTTGGGATTATATACTCAGCAGTAGGATTTTTGGATCATATGGTAGCTGTATTTTTAGTTTTTTGAGGAACTTCCGAACTGTTCCCCATAGTGCTTGTACTAATTTACATTCCCACCAACAGTGTACGAGGGTTCCCTTTTCTCCACATCCTCACCAGCATTTGTTATTGCCTGTCCTTTGGATAAAAGCCATTTTAACTGGGGTGAGATGATATCTCATTGTAGTTTTGATTTGCATTTCTCTGATGATCAGTGATGTTGAGCACCTTTTCATATGACTGACTACCATTTGTATGTCTTCTTTTGAGAAATGCCTATTCAGATCTTTTGCCTGTTTTAAAATCAGATTATTGGATTTTTTTTCCTATAGATTTGTTTAAGCTCCTTATATATTCTGGTTATGAATCCTTTGCCAGATGGGTAGTTTGCAAATATTTTCTCCCATTCTGTGGGTTGTCTCTTTACTTTGTTGATTGTTTCCTTTGCTGTGCAGAAAGTTTTAAACTTGATATTATCCCATTTGTTCATTTTTGTTTTGGTTGCCTGTGCTTGTGGGATATTACTCAATAAATTTTTGCCCATACCAATGTCCTGGAGAGTGCCCCTAATGTTTTTGTGTAGTAGTTTTATAGTTTGAGGTCTTAGATTCAAGTCTTTAATCCATTTTGATTTGATTTTTGTAGATGGTGAGAGATAGGGGTCTCATTTCTTCTGCATGTAGATGTCCAATTTTCTTAGCACCACTTGTTAAAAAGACTGTCTTTTCCTCAGTGTATATTCTTGGCACTTTTGGCAAAAATGAGTTCACTGTAGATATATGGATTTGTTTCTGGTTTCTCTATTCTCTTCCATTGGTTTGTGTCTGTTTTTATGCCAGTACTGTCTTTTGGTTACTATAGCTCTGTAGCATAATTTGAAGTCAGGTAATGTGATTCCTCCAGTTTTGTTCTTTTTGCTTAGGATAGTTTTGACTATTCTGAGTCTTTTTGTGATCCCACATAAATGTTAAGATTTTTTTTTTCTATTTCTGTGAAGAATGTCATTGGCATTTTGATAGGGATTACATTGAATCTGTAGATTGCTTTGGGTTATATGGACATTTTAACAATATTGATTATTCTAATCCATGAACATAGAATATCTTTACACTTTTTGGTGTCCTCTTCAATTTCTTGCATCAATATTTTATTTTATTTTATTTTATTTTATTTTATTTTTTTTTTGAGATGAGGTCTTGTTCTGTTGCCCAGGCTACCAGGCTAGAGTGCAATGGCGTGATCTCGGCTCACTACAGCCTCCGCCTCCTGAGTTCAAGCAATTCTCCCACCTCAGCTGGGATTACTGGGGTGTGCCACCATGCCCAGCTAATTTTTGCATTTTTAGTAGAGATGGGGTTTCACCATGTTAGCCAGGCTGGTCTCAAGCTCCTGACCTCAGGTGATCCACCTGCCTCAGCCTCCCGAAGTACTGGGATTACAGGTGTGAGCCACTGCTCCCGGCCTGTTTTATAGTTTTTATTATAGAGATCTTTCATGTCTTTGGTTATTTCTAGGTCTATCTTATTTTACTTGTAGCTATTGTAAATGGGATTACTTTCTTGATTTCTTTTTCAGATTATTCACTGTTGGCATATAGAAATGCTACTGCTTCTTGTGTGTTGATTTTGTATCCTACAATTTTACTGAATTTATCAGTTCTGATAGTTTTTTGGTGGAGTCTTTAGGTTTTTCCAAATATAAGATTATGTCATCTGCAAATAAGGATAATTTGACTTCTTTCTTTCCAATTTAGATGCCCTTCATTTCTTTCTCTTATCTGATTGCTTTAGCTAGGACTTCTAGTAGTATGTTAAAAAAACAGTGGTGAAAGTCTCTTTCCTCTTTTAAATATCATTATTGTATTAGAGATGTCTAAGATCTTTTTCAGCTTGAAATTGTAGAAATCTATGCAGGGGTAATAATCAAAACATTTAACAACCAGTAGAGTTGTTAAATATATATATAAATAATATATAAAAATAATATAAATAATATATAAAATTTGAAAATATATTCCATTTATTTTTAAATACCCTGAACTCTTACAAAGTAATATGAGTTGTAGTATAAATTATTTGTCAAATTATCCTAATAATTTCCATCTCAGCTTTTCATTTTTCCTCCCATTCTTTGTCTTCACTTTTCCTTTATCATCCTCTCTCCCTGCAACTGTCAGTCAAGATAGGAGTCAGACATGGCTAGGGATTCACTGATTCTAGTTGCCATAGCCCAAAGCCTGTGTCTTTATGTGCCTTACTCCACCAAGAAAGTGTGAAGAACAGGGAACCCCAACCAGGCCCCTCAGGACACACCTGGTACCAGCCAGTGAGGCAGCAATTGGTTGAAGCCCAGTCACAAGTAGACAAAAGTGAGAAGAAAAGAAGATGGAGCGGTGGGGGTAATGGTTGGGGGAGAGGGTTTTTTCTTCCTGAGGCTTCTTCTGCTAACACTTGTGAAAGAGTAGATGATGAGTGTGGGAGGGGAGTAGGATGGGCTGGCACAAGCCTCCTCTGCCTGGAGACTGGCCATGGAGGGTAGAAAGAGAGAAGGGTAGAAAGCACAGACGAGGCCCACACTCCCACTTGCTCAGGGTTGTGCTCTTCTCACTGTTAAATGGAGCCCCAGGCAGATCGCCTGTCACAGATTTCTTCACGATTGTACAGAATGGTCTTCTGGACCAAATACATACATAAGTAGTCAGATAAAGCAAAGTCTCCAGTCCCACATGAGGAACTGTTGCCTCACCAGGAGGGACGTGTCCTGTACCAAACATCTCTTCAGGCCTATGGCCCCTGTTAACCTTCACATCTACTACTTAAACCCAGACTTTGCTTTCTCTTGGGTACAATTAGTCATTTTTCAGTTAGTCATTATTTTGCATATTTCCAGAATAGGACTTCCTCATCTCAGCTGTGTGCTTTTATTTTCTCAGAAATTGACAGATTTATATATACATATATACACACCATGATGTCTGCAGTAGGTTCTCTAGCTCTGTGTTCCAATGTCAAGCCAGACAGGACTTGGAATCATAGTGCTAGAATTTATATTATAAATTAATTTTACTGCTTTAAAGTGTAATTACATCATTTACTAACCAGAATGAAAATCCTGAAATATTTTAACTGCTACACTCATCATGGTGCTTATTGGTTTGAATCTCAGCTCTGTATCTGTGGATGACATCCACAGAAGCTGTAATATTAATACAAGATCATGGGGCTGGAGTCCAGGATATATGGTCTCTTTAGTCCTGGCTCTTCTGTTGATTTACTATATGACTACTTCAGGAATTTTTTACTTGGAGCCCTCGATTCCAGCACGTGGATTGGCTTCAGAGAGTCCATGAACATCAAGAAATTCTACTCAAAATATTGAGTGCCTCTGTGTTTGCCTAGAGAAAGAGAACTCTATTCTATAGAGTTTTTACCAGATTGTCAAAGGAGTCCATGACACAAACTCAGCTAAGAGTGAGTGCAATAGATGATTCTTGTAGGGTTTCTTTTAGTTCTGACATCCTATTAATCTGAGGCTGAGTTAGCGGTGAGTGTTATTTCTTAGTGGCAGGTTTTTTTTATTCTTGCTTTGTGTCAGCACTGTGGAAAGCAGTTTATATATTTATATAATTAATTTAAATCACAAAGTTTGAGGTTATTGTGGTCTTACTGATTAGGAACTGAAATTTTCATAGCACTAATCACAATTGTGCTTATTTGTGAGGTTATTTTCAAATGTTTGTCTCTCCCACTGACCAAGAGCTCTGTGAGGGCAGGGAATAATCTACGTTGACCACTGCTGTAGCCCAACACAAAACATAGCACATTATACATAGTAGAATCTAAATAAATACTCCTTGAATGAATGAGTTTAAATAATTTGCTACAAGATTAAGTGCTAGAACCAGGAGTCAAACTCCTATCTTTCTATTATAAAATCCAATCTCTTGCCAGCACTACCTCTAGAGTCAGACTTCAGATGTGTGGATTGGGTACTTCTCAGTCTGAAGGTGGCATTTTCTTAGGTGATCTATTAGTTATACCATCAGCATCACTTGGGGTGCTTGTTAAAAACAGATTCCTGGACTCCGTTCCATACTTGTCACCAGATCATCAGAGCAGTTTGAGAACCCACCATCTTAGGGAATATTAAAACCAAAATATAGTAACTACTCTAAAAGGTAATGTAGCTCAATTATTACATGCAATACTTTTTTTGACTTTTTGTAGTAATATTTACATAATCAAAATGTTTAAATGTGTTTTTAAAGTGAATAATTCAGTTGGATTTATGAAAAAAATTTTAGGTTCAGGCAACAGTAGTGGGTTTTCTAGCAGCTGTGGCAGCAATTATATTGGGCTGGATTCCAGAAGGAAAATATTACCTTGATCATTCCATACTTCTGTGCTCTAGCAGTGTGGCAACTGCCTTCATTGCATCTCTTCTGCAGGGTAAGTGAATTTATAAATGTCTACTCTATAGCCTTTTACATTTAAATGGTTTATTTCTTAAGATGACTATTTTTATTTAAATGATACCTGTTATGAAAACAACAGAAAAAACATATCTACAAACTTAAAAAATGCCTTAGTTATTCCAGATATATTTACATTTCATTATTTATAAAACTTAGTGTAGAACAGGCTTTTCTGAGGTTGTCTCCTGGCCTTGGATACTCCGTTATAGTTCCTCAAAAAGATCAGGAAAATCGCCTAGACATTCATTTGTTTCTGTAAGTTAAATAAATTGGGAAACTCCTTTCTGGACATCATGCAGGGGATTTACTAGCTTGTCACTTGAGTAACAAGTGTTCCAGGAATTCTGGGTTTCAAAAGTCATCCTCTGTTGAAATTTTTTTGTTTCAGATTTCAAGAAAAATTTCTTCCCTGTTTCTGTGGCAATACAAATATAACCTTATACTTAAGATAGCATATTGTTGGCTATAGAATTTAAAGAGCCAGAAGGTTTTAAAAATTAACTACTTTAGAACTTTTATTTGGGTTATTTTTCTTTATATTTATTCGTATGAACTTTACACTAGAGAATTAGCTTATTGTGGAATCACAATCATAAAGACTTTGTTCTTTTTATTTTATAATTGCCATTTTCTTGCCCTTATATCACCAGCAAAGTTTAAAGTGGATTATTGTCATGTTAGGTGATCATACAATGCAGCTAACTTTTTTGGCTAGGTTCTGGGAATTTAGGGAATCTTATTAAAATTATAACTCGATTTCCAAAATATTTTCAAGCATTTTGTTTTAGTAGTTTAATTGTATCGGGGTAGTTTCTTGTCTTCATAAAGAATTACTATAGTTGAATGGAGTTAACATTGACCAAAGCAGAGTGAAGTTAAGCTATTGGAAAATTAAATTGTTGGTACAAAAATAATTATGCCATCAGCATGCTATTTTTTTAGGCTCATTTGCTTCTTTTTTCTTTCTGATTTTATTTCATTTAGAAAGTGTCATTTAAAATTTTTCAGTCTAACAAGTATTTGAAAGCTTTTCAAAACTATCCAAAATTCAGAATTTTAAAAAGTATTTGTTTAAAGCTTCTGACTTTGAATAATGTGTGTTCTAATTTTATGATAACTTGACCTTTATAAGCACTTTAGTATATGTAAAGTAGAAACTCTTAGCCATATTTGTAGGTGAGAAAACTTAGGTAAGGTGACTTGTCCAATCTCATCAACTTGTTACCAGCTGAATCAGAACTAAAACACGTTTCCTAACTCTTAGCTCTTTCCACTGGACTATGATACATACAAAATATTTGTTTTCAGTTGAAAAGATATAGATGGTACTATGTGTAGGAGAACTTCCCATATACATCTTCAAATGTGCTGATTTTGGAAAAAGATTCTAAGCGATTACATCTTGCCTGATTATTGCATAATGTATTTTTTTTAAAAAGTTTTCTGCTATAGCTTTTTTTCTTTTTCAATGATATTATGGGAAAGGTAAGTCTAGTAATTTAAAAAGCCTCCAGAATACTAAAATATAAGGCACTGTTTGATGCAAGACAAAAATTCTGCTTATTAAAATTTTGGCTTTAATAGGTAGAGTAAAAAACACTGGGCTAGAGTCACAAGCTATGTGACTTTAGGCAAGAATTTAAGCCCTACTCTACAGGACCTCAGTTTTATTATCTATAAAGTGAGTATGCTGGAACAAAAACATTTAGAGTCATTTTAACTCTAAAAGTGCTGTGAGATTCTGTTACTGTTTTTCTCCATAGCCATATTTAGGCTTTCATATTGATTTGTGGTTAGCACATTTAAAGTTTTCTCTTTACTACATCCTCTTAATGAGTATCTTGGTGTGACAAAATCTACACAATTTAGAGTGGATATAAATGTTAATAGTTTTATCCCATTTGTATAATTTAAGAAAATTAGGATGTAAAAGTACAAGTACACAGTTAAATTTTCATCTTCTATTCTCTCGTAGGTTTATAGACAGAAACTTCAGGTTTAAAGAATATCTTTTACAAAGACTGTTTCTTGTATTCTGGCCTTCAGTGTTTTAAAATTTAATTATGTCCTGCTGCTTAATACTTCAACGTCTTTAAGTAATAAAATGAAATAAGCATTTCTAGCTGCCATATGTAAACAAATCTGGTTTTGTTGGCCTTCTTCCCAGTTGTTGTACATATACATATGACTCACCTTTTTTTTTGATGTTTTCATACTTTATTTGAGGGTTAAAATTAAAACCTTTGGATTCAATACACACAAATACATTATATCTAAGATATACATGTCACTAAATCTGAAATTTTAGCTTTACCATAATTTTAGTAGCTTTCAGGCCTCTAAATACAATGCTGAACTTCTTAAATTTTCTATGATCCCCACTTGGAGTTTGTTGAAAGGCATTTTGCCAAAGCGTTAGAGTAAATGTTTTGTTTGCTTTAGTCAGCTTATCTAAGCAGTCTAACTGGAATTGATATGCTGTTTTTCTATCCTACACATTTTGGTATTTGGGGGATTGATTTTCTTTAAATCATAGCCTAAAAAGTAATGAACATTCTTTCTTCTAGGAATAATAATGGTTGGGGTTATCGTTGGTTCAAAGAAGACTGGTATAAATCCTGATAATGTTGCTACACCCATTGCTGCTAGTTTTGGCGACCTTATAACTCTTGCCATATTGGCTTGGATAAGTCAGGGCTTATACTCCTGTCTTGGTAAGTTGATTTAAAACTAAATATTGTGTGTTGTCTCAAGTCTCTTTAAATAAATATTGTTGCAGCAATGCCATGAATCCATGGTAGCCTTCATTTGCATTAGAACTGCTGTTGAGACTGATTAGGATAACTATCATTTGTTTTATACCTACTATGTGTTATGATTCCCACTTTCTTTTTTCTCGTAGAGTTTAAAACTCTGTAAAATAAGGATTATCATCTCTAATTTTAGATGAGAAAAGCAAGGATCATAGAAGTTATGTATGTTACCCAAGTTTATATAACTACTAGTAAAAAAGTTGAACACAGGCTTATCATATTTTGTGATTTCTGTCCTTTCCTGTAAGTGTACAGCAGCTAGGAGTCAACCTGCAGTGTTCTCTGTATAGAACCATCTCAGAATATAAGCTTATAAGTGGTACTTAAAATTTACCAATGGAATGTTTTTCCCCATCAGAAACCCACACCAATAAGTAGCTTCATGGCAGTTAACAAAAGGGAAAAAAAAATCACCACAAAAATTAGACTGAATGCTGTATAAAGTTGGAGCCATATATGTAATTCCTGATAAATAGTGATAGAGTATTTATGGAATCTAATGAGTTGTTTTAATGCAAATTTGTGTTCTGGAAATGGTAAATACATATGATTTGTGAGTGTTGATGACATGCTAAAAGTTCATTGTGGTTTTATTATTTTTAGATGCCAAATTAAGGAAAACAGAAACTTACAGTAATACAAGAAAAAAACATGAGTATATAAGCCAAGCCAGAGGCAAACATTTATTCACAAATCCTCACATATGTTCATGGATTCTATACAGATTTATGGTGTACTTTAAAATAAATCTAAAGCATGTTTCGTTTTAAGAAGTAAGGGTCTCAGATATATGTTCTTGAAATAAAGAAAGGGCTTTAACCAACCAAAGGCAATAATTTTCTGTGACTTTTGGAGACATCAAGGAAGCTTCACTTAGCATATAAAATTGCCTTAAGTTATTTAGTGAGTGGCATAAAAACAATATTTAATAAGACTTGGTGTGTATGTTCAAGGAATATTTCTCTCATTTAGAAGATAAGGTTGCATCCACTTTAAGTGAGGTATAAGACAAGAAATGATCAATGGCCTAAATGTAAGCTCTTGTTCCCAAAGGTCTTGGCTTTTTTATGTTGTTGTGCAATTTGCAAAGAATGATACATGTTTAAGTATATTAAGGACAACACTTAATTCCCTTCCCTCCCACTCAAAAAAAAAAGCACAGGAAGTGGGTTATGTTATTAAAGGGATAATCTTAAATTTGCTCTAATTTGTATTGTTTGGATGATAAATTGATAATACTTTAATTTAGAAATAGATGCTGAAGTCAGGGATTAAAATATTAGCTTATGGCTAGCATTAGAAAATGTGGCTTAATATTCTTGTCCTACTCTATTAAACTCACCCACACACTCTCAGCCAGACAGTTGGATAACTTGTAGTCCTGACCCCATAGAATAAGCTGTTAACTGTATTGGTGAAGAGAGACTGTCACTAATAGGCTGTATCTCAAAAGAGAAAGCCAGTAACGGCATGAGTTAGGCATGAGTTAGTGCCCCTTTCCCTAGTATTACTAATTAGATAAGTCTCTCCCAATTGGAGGAGGAGGAAAGAGAGAAGAAAAGAGGGGTAGAAGAGGATAAAGGGTTATGTCTCAATATCATTAAAAGGACAGAAATTCTATGGGTTTGCCCAGGAACATAGAGGGTGGGGGTAGGGATGGAGGGCTGGTAGTGGTTCTGGGACAGGTTACCCTATATACATAAAAAATACAGGTATACAGTTCCAAGATGGCCAAATATGAATAGCTCCAGTCTACAGCTCTCAGTGAGCGACGCAGAAGATGGGTGATTTCTGCATTTCCAACTGAGGTACTGGGTTCGTCTCATTGGGACTAGTTGGACTGTGGGTGCAGCCCACAGTGTGTGAGCCGAAGCAGGGTGGGGCACTGCCTCACCAGGGAAGCGCAAGGGGTCAGGGAATTACCTTTCCTAGCCAAGGGAAGCTGTGACAGATGGTACCTGGAAAATTGGGACACTCCTGCCCTAATACTGCACTTTTCCAAGAGTCTTAGCAAACAGCACACCAGGAGATTATATCCCACACTTGGCTTGGTGGGTCCCACACCCATGGAGCCTTGCTCACTGCTAGCACAGCAGTCTGAGATGGAACTGCGAGGTGGCAGCGAGGCTGGGGGAGGGGCGTCCGCCATTGCTGAGGCTTGACTAGGTAAACAAAGCGGCTGGGAAGCTCAAACTGGGTGGAGCCCACCACAGCTCAATGAGGCCTGCCTGCCTCTGTAGACTCCACCTCTGGAAGCAGGACATAGCTGAATAAAAGGCAGCAGAAACTTCTGCGGACTTAAACGTCCCTGTCTGACAGCTTTGAAGAGAGTAGTGGTTCTCCCAGCACGGAGTTTGAGATCTGAGAACGGACAGACTGCCTCCTCAAGTGGGTCCCTGACCCCCAAGTAGCCTAACTGGGAGACATCTCCCAGTAGGGGCCAACTGACACCTCATACAGCCGGGTGTCCCTCTGAGATGAAACTTCCAGAGGAAGGATCAGGCAGCAACATTTGCTGTTGTGCAATATTTGCTGCTCTGCAGCCTCCGCTGGTGATACCCAGGAAAACAGGGTCTGGAGTGGACCTCCAGCAAACTCCAACAGACCTGCAGCTGAGGGTCCTGACTGTTAGAAGGAAAACTAACAAACAGAAATGAATAGCATCAACAGCAACAAAAAGGACATCCACATCAAAACCCCATCTGTAGGTCACCATCATCAAAGACCAAAGGTAGATAAAACCACAAAGATGGGGAGAAACCAGAGCAGAAAAGCTGAAAATTCTAAAAACCGAACGCCTCTTCTCCTCCAAAGATTCACAGCTCCTCAGCAATGGAACAAAACTGGATGGAGAATGACTTTGACGAGTTGACTAAAGTAGGCTTCAGAAGATTGGTAATAACAGACTTCTCCAAAGTACAGGAGGATGTTCAAACCCATTGCAAGGAAGCTAAAAACCTTGAAAAAAGACTAGATGAATGGCTAACTAGAATAAACAGTGTAGAGAAGACCTTAAATGACCCAATGGAGCCGAAAACCATGGCATGAGAACTACATGATGCATGCACAAGCTTCAGTAGCCGATTTGATCAAGTGGAAGAAAGGGTATCAGTGATTGAAGATCAAATGAATGAAATGAAGCAAGAAGAGAAGTTTAGAGAAAAAAGAGTAAAAAGAAATGAACAAAGCCTCCAAGAAATATGGGACTATGTGAAAAGACCAAATCTACATTTGATTGGTATACCTGAAAGTGATGAGGAGAATGGAACCAAGTTGGAAAACACTCTTCAGGATATTATCCAGGAGAACTTCCCCAACCTAGCAAGACAGGCCAACATTCAAATTCAGGAAATACAGAGAACGTCACAAAGATACTCCTTGAGAAGAGCAACCCCAAGACACATAATTGTCAGATTCACCAAGGTTGAAATGAAGGAAAAAATGTTAAAGGCAGCCAGAGAGAAAGGTTGGGTTACCCACAAAGGGAAGCCCATCAGACTAACAGTGGATCTCTCAGCAGAAACTCTACAAGCCAGAAGAGAGTGGGGGCCAATATTCAACATTCTTAAAGAAAAGAATTTTCAACCCAGAATTTCATATCCAGCCAAACTAAGCTTCATAAGTGAAGGAGAAATAAAATACTTTACAGACAAGCAAATGCTGAGAGATTTTGTCACCACCAGGCCTGCCCTAAAAGAGCTCCTGAAGGAAGCACTAAACATGGAAAGGAAAAACCAGTACCAGCCACTGCAAAAACATGCCAAATTGTAAATACCATCGATGCTATGAAGAAACTGCATCAATTAATGGGCAAAAAAAACCAGCGAACATCATGATGACAGGATCAAATTCACACATAACAATATTAATGTTAAATGTAAATGGACTAAATGCCCCAATTAAAAGACACAGACTGGCAAATTGGATAAAGAGTCAAGACCCATCAGTGTGCTGTATTCAGGAGACCCATCTTATGTGCAGAGACATGCATAGGCTCAAAATAAAGGGATGGAGGAAGATCTATCAAGCAAATGGAAAACAAAAAAAAAAGCAGGGGTTGCAATCCTAGTCTCTGATAAAACAGACTTTAAACCAACAAAAATCAAAAGAGACAAAGAAAGCCATTACATAATGGTAAAGGGATCAATTCAACAAGAAGAGCTTACAGTCCTAAATATATATGCACCCAATACAGGAGCACCCAGATTCATAAAGCAAGTCCTGAGAGACCTACAAAGAGACTTAGACTCCCACACAATAATAGTGGGAGATTTTAACACCCCACTGTCAACATTAGACAGATCAACGAGACAGAAAGTTAACAAGGATATCCAGGACTTGAACTCAGCTCTGCACCAAGTGGACCTAATAGACATCTACAGACCTCTCCACCCCAAATCAACAGAATATACATTCTTCTCAGCACCACATTGCACTTATTCCAAAATTGACCACATAGTTGGAAGTAAAGCACTCCTCAGCAAATGTGAAAGAACAGAAATCATAACAAACTATCTCTCAGACCACAGTGCAATCATTAGAACTCAGGATTAAGAAACTCACTCAAAACCGCACAACTACATGGAAACTGAACAACCTGCTCCTGAATGACTACTGGGTAAATAACGAAATGAGGGCAGAAATAAAGATGTTCTTTGAAACCAATGAGACCAAAGACATAACATACCAGAATCTCTGGGACACATTTAAAGCCATGTGTAGAGGGAAATTTATAGTACTAAATGCCCACAGGAGAAAGCAGGAAAGATCTAAAATTGACATCCTAACATCACAATTAAAAGAACTAGAGAAGCAAGAGCAAACACATTCAAAAGCTAGCGGAAGGCAAGATATAACTAAGATCAGAGCAGAACTGAAGGAGATAGAGACACAAAAGAACCCTTCAAAAAATCAATGAATCCAGGAGCTGGTTTTTTGAAAAGATCAACAAAATTGATAGACCGCTAGCAAGACTAATAAAGAAGAAAAGAGAGAAGAATCAAATAGAGGCAATAAAAAATTATAAAGGGGATATCACCACCAATCCCACAGAAATACAAACTACCATCAGAGAATACTATAAACACCTCTACGCAAATAAACTAGAAAATCTAGAAGAAATGGATAAATTCCTGGACACATACACCCTCCCAAGACTAAACCAGGAAGAAGTTGAATCCCTGAATAGACCAATAACAGGCTCTGAAATTGAGAGAATAATTAGTAGCTTACCAACCAAAAAAAGTCCAGGACCAGACGGATTCACAGCTGAATTCTACCAGAGGTACAGAGAGGAGCTGGTATCATTCCTTCTGAAACTATTCCAATCAATAGAAAAGAGAGAATCCTCCCTAACTCATTTTATGAGGCCAGCATCATCCTCATACCAAAGCCTGGCAGAGACACAACAAAAAAAGAGAATTTTAGACCAATATCCCTGATAAACATTGACACAAAAATCCTCAATAAAATACTGGCAAAACGAATCCAGCAGCACGTCAAAAAGCGTGTCCACCATAATCAAGTTGGCTTCATCCCTGAGATGCAAGGCTGGTTCAACATATGCAAATCAATAAACTTAATCCATCATATTAACAGAACCAATGGCAAAAACCACATGGTTATCTCAATAGATGCAGAAAAGGCCTTTGACAAAATTCAACAGCCCTTCATGCTAAAAACTCTCAATAAACTAGGTATTGATGGGACATATCTCAAAATAGTAAGAGCTATTTATGACAAACCCACAGCCAATATCATACTGAATGGGCAAAAACTGGAAACATTCCCTTTGAAAAGTGTGACAAGACAGGGATGCCCTCTCTCACCACTCCTATTCAACATAGTGTTGGAAGTTCTGGCCAGGGCAATCAGGCAGGAGAAAGAAATAAAGGGTATTCCAATAGGAAGAGAGGAAGTCAAATTGTCCCTGTTTGCAGAGGGCATGATTGCGCATTTAGAAGACCCCATTTTATCTGCCCCAAATCTCCTTAAGCTGATAAGAAACTTCAGCAAAGTCTCAGGATACAAAATCAATGTGCAAAAATCACAAGCATCCCTATACACCAATAACAGACAAACAGAGAGCCAAATCATGAGTGAACTCCCATTCAATCTCTTTGCATCAAAGAGAATAAAATACCTAGGAATCAATCTCAATTGCTTCAAAGAGAATAAAATACCTAGGAATCCAACTTACACGGAATGTGAAGGACCTCTTCAAGGAGAACTACAAACCACTGCTCAACAAAATAAAAGAGGACACAAAGAAATGGAAGAACATTCCATGCTCATGGATAGGAAGAATCAATATCATGAAAATTGATGGGGATGCCATTCCCATCAAGCTACCAATGACTTTCTTCACAGAATTGGAAAAAACTACTTTAAAGTTCATATGGAACCGAAAAAGAGCCCACATTGCCAAGACAATCCTAAGCCAAAAGAACAAAGCTGGAGGCGTCATGCTGCCTGACTTCAAACTATACTACAAGGCTAAAGTAACCAAAACAGCATAGTACTTGTACCAAAACAGAGATATAACCCAATGGAACAGAATAGAGCCCTCGGAAATAATACCACACATCTACAAGCATCTGATCTTTGACAAACCTGACAAAAACAAGAAATGGGAGAAGGATTCCCTATTCAATAAATGATGCTGGGGAAACTGGCTAGCCATATGTAGAAAGCTGAAACTGGATCCCTTCCTTACACCTTATACAAAAATTAATTCAAGATGGATTAAAGACTCAAACCATAAAAACCCTAGAAGAAAACCTAGGCAATACCATTCGGGACATAGGCATGGGCAAGGACTTCATGACTAAAACACCAAAAGCAATGGCAACAAAAGCCAAAATAGACAAATGGGATCTAATTAAACTAAAGAGCTTCTGCACAGCAAAAGAAACTACCATCAGAGTGATCAGGTAACCTATAGAATGGGAGAAAATTTTTGCAATCTACCCATCTGACAAAGGGCTAATAGCCAGAATCTACAAAGAACTTAAATTTACAAGAAAAAAATCAAACAACCCCATCAACAAGTGGGTGAAGGATACGAACAGACACTTTTCAAAAGAAAACATTTATGCAGCCAACAGACACATGAAAAATGCTCATCATCACTGGCCATCAGAGAAATGCAAATCAAAACCACAATGAGATACCATCTCACACCAGTTAGAATGGCGGTCATTAAAAAGTCAGGAAACAACAGGTGCTGGAGAGGATGTGGAGAAATAGGAACACTTTTACACTGTTGGTGGGAGTGTAAACTAGTTCAACCATTGTGGAAGACAGTGTGGCGATTCCTCAAGGATCTAGAACTAGAAATACCATTTGACCCAGCGATCCCATTACTGGGTATATACCCAAAGGATTATAAATCATGCTGCTATAAAGACATATGCACACGTATGTTTATTGCAGCGCTTTTCACAATAGCAAAGACTTGGAACCAAGCCAAATGTCCAACAATGATAGACTGGATTAAGAAAATATGGCACATATACACCATGGAATACTATGCAGCCATAAAAAAGCATGAGCCCACATCCTTTGTAGGGACATTGATGAAGCTGGAAACCATCATTCTGAGCAAACTGTTGCATGGACAGAAAACCAAACACTGCATGTTCTCACTCATAGGTGGGAGTTGAACAATGAGAATACCTGGAGACAGGGTGGAGAACATCACACACCAGGGCCTGTGGTGGGGTGGGGGGACGGGGGAGGGATAGCATTGGGAGAAATACCTAATGTTAATGATGAGTTAATGGGTGCAGCACAGCAACATGGCACATGTATACGTATGTAACAAACCTGCACGTTGTGCACAAGTACCCTAGAACTTAAAAAATGTATATATATATATATATATATATATATAAAATACAGGTATATTATTTGCAGATTTGGATATTTAAATTACCATTAAGTCATTTATAACACATTTTTCAGCTGCTTGCAAATACCAGATATCTCCTCAGTTAAAGACAGTGGTAAGAAAGTAAGAAAGAGAATGCCGTTGAAGAATGTTATCATGATAAACATGGCAATTGTTATAATGTTACAGAATTAAGTACTATGAGATTCCAGAAGATAAACAACTATTGAGGAAAATAATGCACACTGACCTTTACAATTTTATTTAATTAATTAATTAATTAATTAATTTTTTGAGACAGAGTCTTGCTCTGTCATCCAGGCTGGAGTGCAGTGGTACGATCTTGGCTCACTGAGACCTCTGCCTCCGGGGTTCAAGTGATGGTCGTGCCTCAGCCTCCTGAGTAGCTGGGACTACAGCTACTACAAGCACACGCTACCATGCCCGGCTAATTTTTTGTATTTTTAGTAGAGACGGGGTTTCACTGTGTTGCCCAGACTGGTCTCAAACTCCTGAGCTCAGGGAATCTGCCTGCCTCGGCCTCCCAAAGTGCTAGGATTACAGGCGTGAGCCACCACGCCCCACCTGAAATTTTATTTTTTTAAATTATACAAGGGATAAACTCTCCTTATAAAAGACTTAATCATAATGTGTTGCCATCTAAAGCTTTCGGTATTTCGAATGTTATATAGTGATGCATACATAATTTGACTGGATCAAGAAATAAAAAAAGTAAAATGGAATGTTACTATCACAGATCATGATTTTGAAAAATAATATTATTAAATATTGCTTAGGATTTTCTAATCTTTGTCTTCTGAAAGTTGGCTCAAAGTAATTCAAGATGAATTAACTAAAATAGTCTTTTACATTTTTTCTGTATCATTGATTCTCCTAAAAATATATTTTTTGTGTTACAGATCAATCCCATAGTTAATTTGTTAAAGGTATTTCTAAAGTGTCTGTGTTCAGATTGCTAAAGTGTCTGCTCTGTGCGCACTAGGGGGCCTCCTAAGATCAGCAGTTGGATGCCTAATATTTTTATTCTGAATACAAAGATTAGGAACAGGCACATTTAAATTCCAAGACTCCATTCATCCTGCTGAGAAGCTTCAGGTTTATTTCCTGATAAACTTATAGTTCAAGTTTATTTCCTGAACTATTTTGAAAACACTTAGCAGTCTTTAGAGATAAAAAGAGGATTTTATGATAGCAGTAGGCTTTAGTTATAGAGGCCATGTATTATATAGTGCTCAAAGAACTGGACATTAAGAAAAGTCTTATGGTCTCAATTCATCAAGAAGATATAACAATTGTAAATATATATGCACATAATATCAGAGCACCTAAATATATATATGATCAATTGTTAACAGATATGAAGGGGGAAATAGACAGTAAGACAATAGTAGTAGGGGACTTCAGTACCCCACTTTCAACACTGGAGAGATCATCCAGACAGAAAATCAATTAGGAAGCATTGGACTTGAACTACACTTTAGACCAAATGAATCTAGCAGATATGTACAAAACATTCCATCCAACAGCAGCGGAATACACATTCTTTTCAAGTGCACGTGGAACATTATCCAGGATAGATCATATATTAGGCCACAAAACAAGTCTTAACAAAGAAGACTTTGAGAAGATTGAAATTTAAGAGACTGAAATCATATCAAGTATCTTTGATGATCACAGTGGTATGAAACTAGGAATCAATAATAGGAAAAAAACTGGAAAATTCAAAAACATGTGGAAATTAAACATCATGCTCCTGAACAACCAAGAGGTCAAAGAAGAAATCCAAAAGGAAATTAAAAAAATATATTGAGACAAATGAAAATGGAAACACAACATACCAAAACCTAAGGGACACAGCAAAAGCAGTTCTAAGAGGGAAGTTTATAGCGATAAACACCTGCATTTAGAAAGAAGAAAGATCTCCAATAAACAAGCTAATGTTACACCTCAAGGAACTAGGAAAAAAAGAATAAAGTAAACCCAAAGTTAGCAGAAGGAAGGAGTTAATAAAGACCAGAGCAGAAATAAATCAAATAGAGAATAGAAAAATACATTAACAAAACTTAGTTGGCTCTTCTAACATATAAGAGTGACAAAGCCTTAGCTAGACTAAGAAAAAAAAAGAGAAGACTGAAATTAAAAAATCAGAAATAAAAGTGGAGACCTCAGAAATAAAAAAGATCACTAGAGACGATTGAACAATTTTAAGCCAACAAATTAGATAACCTAGAGGAAATGGATAAATTCTTAGAAACATATACCTGCCAGAATTGAATGAGGAACAAATAGAAAGCCTGAACAGACCAATAACAAATAGTTATTAAAGTAGTAATTAAAATCCTCCCAACAAAGAAAAGCCCAGAACCAAATGGCTTCATGGCTGAATTCTACCAAACATTCAAATAGTACCAATCCTTATCTTCCAAAAACATAGAACTAGAGGAAATACTTCCAAACTCATTTATTTTTATTTTTAGTTTTATTTTCAGAGATGGGGGTCTTGCTCTGTTACCCAAGCTGGAGTGCAGTGGCATGATTATAGCTCACTGCAGCCTTGAACTCCTTGGCTCAAGCAGTCCTCCCACCTCAGCCTCCCAAGTATCAGGAACTACAAGTGCATATAACCATGCCTGGCTAATTTTTAAATATTTTGTTGGAGACAGGGTCTCACTATGTTGTCTAGTCTGGTGTCAAACTCATAGTCTCAAACAGTCCTTCTGCCTCAGCCTCCTGAGTTACTGGGATTACAGGTGTGAGCCACTGCACCCAGCCCAGACTCATTTTATAAGGTCACCATCACCTGATACCAATTTTCCAGACAAAGACACCACAAGAAAACAAAACTAGTGAGGTGTGGTGGCACATACCAGTAGTTCCAGCTACTCTGGAGGCTGAGGTGAGAGGATCACTTGAGCCTGGGAGTTGGAGTCCTGCCTGGGCAACATAGTGAGACCCCATCTCTAAAACAAAAGCAAAGACAAAAATGACCTAAACAACAACGACAACAAAATAAATGAAAACTATAGGCTAATATTTCTGATGAACACAGCTGCAAAAATCTTCAATAAAATACTAGCAAACTGAATTCAACAATACATAAAGAATATTATACATCATGACCAAGTGGGATTCATCCCAGGGATGCAAGTATGGTTTAACATACACAGATCAATCAGTGTAATATAGCACACTGTGTTAAATAAAATATCTAGAAATAACTTTAACAAAGGAGGTGAAATATCTCTACAATAAAAATGATTAAACATTAATGAAATAAATTGAAGAAGACACAAATAAATGGAAAGGTATTCCATGTTTATGGATTGGAAGAATTAGTATCATCCATACTACCCAAAGCAATATACAGGTTCAGTGCAATTCCTATCAAAATTTCAATGGCATTCTTCACAGAAATAGAAAAAAGAATTCTAAAATTCATATGAAACCACAAAAGACCCTGAATAGCCAAAGCAATTTTAGGAAAAACAAAGTTGGAGGCATCACACTTCCTGATTTCAAATTATGTCACAAAGCTATAGTAATCAAAGCAGTATAGTACTGGCATGGGAACAGACAGTGGAACAGGATAGAGAGCCCAGAAGTAAACCCAAGTATATACAGTCAAATAATTTTTAACAAGGGCACCAAGAAGACACAATTGGGAAAGAATAGTCTCTTCAATAAATGGTGTTGGGAGAATGGATATCCACATGCAAAAGAATGAAACTAGACCTTTATCTTACACATACACAAAGATAGTTATCTTACACAACTAAAAATAGATTAAAGACCTAAACATAACGCCTGAAGCCATGTAACTCCTAGTAGAAAACATAGGAGAAAAGCTCCTTGACATTGACTTTGGCAATGATTTTTTGGATATCACATCAAAAAATCGGGCAGCATTTGGCTGGGCGTGATGGCTCACGCCTGTAATCGCAGGACTTTGGGAGGCCGAGGCGGGTGGATCACGAGGTCAGGAGATGGAGACCATCCTGGCTAACACGGTGAAAACCCATCTTTACTAAAAATACAAAAAAATTACCCGGGCAGGGTGGCAGGCGCCTGTAGTCCCAGCTACTCGGGAGGCTGAGGCAGGAGAATGGTGTGAACCCGGGAGGCAGAGCTTGCAGTGAGCCAAGATTGCGCCACTGCACTCTAGCCTGGGCAACTGAGCAAGACTCTGTCTCAAAAAAAAAAAAAAAAAACAAACTCAGGCAACAAAAGTAAAAATAAGTGAGACTACGCCAAATTTAAAAGTTTCTACACAGCAAAAGAAACAATCCACAAAGTGAAAAGGAAAAGGCATCCTATGGATTGGGAGAAGATATTTGTGAACCATATGTTTGATAAGGAGTCAATATCCAAAATATATAAGGAGCTCACATAACTCAATAAAAAACACATAACCCAATTTAAAACTGGGCAAAGGACCTGAGTAGACATTTCCCCCAAGAGCACATAAAAATGACGAACAAGTATATGAAAAGGTACTCAATGTCACTAATCATCAGAGAAAAGCAAACCAAAACTGAAATGAGATATCATTTCACATCTGTTATAATGGCTATTACCAATAAGATGAAAGATAACAAGTGTTGGCAAGGATGTGGAGAAAGGGGAATCCTTGTACACTCTTGGTAGAAATGTAAATTGGTGCAGTTTTATGGAAAACAGTATGGAGGTTCCTCAAAAAATTAAAAATAGAATGACTGCATGACTCAGCAATCTCCCTTTTGGGTATGTATCCAAAGGAAATGAAATCAGCCCTTCACAGAGATATTTGCACTCCCATGTCCATTGCAGCATTATTTACGGTTGTCTAGATATGGAAACAACCTAAATGTTCCTGATGGATGAGTAAATAATAAAATTGTAGTATATATACAATGTAATATTGTTCGGTCTTAAAAAAGGAGAATCCGCCATTTGCAACAACATGAATGAACCTGGAAGACATTATATGTCAAGTGAAATAAGCCAGACACAGAAGTAAAAATACTGCATGATCTCACTTTATATAGAGAATCTTTAAAAATATGTCAGATACATAGGAACGAAGAGTAGAATGGTAGTTACGGGGGATGGGGGTTAGGGGTGGAGGTGAGGCAGGAAATGGGGAGATGTAGATCAAAGACTACAAAGTTGCAGTTATGTAGGATGAAAAAAATCTAGAGATCCAATGAATGTACAACATGAGGACTATAGTTATAACTAGAAGTTTGCCAAGACAGTAGACTTTAGATGTAATTACCACAAAAAAGTGGAAAGAGGTTAAATATCTGAGATGATGGATGTTAAATCACTGGACTGTAGTAACCACTTAACTATATATCTAACCATGTAACTGTAATATGTCTATGAAAACACCAAGTTGTACACCTTAAGTATGTATCAAAAAAAGAAAAAAGTCTTATTCAACTACTTAGAATTCTGAGTATTCTGAAATGACTGAATACCCCCTCATGTGCTGTTAGCTTTCATACATGTACTAAGGCTCTCTGCATCCATGGAATTCAATGTGTGCTACTTTTCTTTTTTTTCTTTTGGAGACAGAGTCTTGCTCGACTGTCGCCCAGGCTGGAGTGCAGTGGTGTGATCTCGGCTCACTGCAACCTCCGCCTCCCAGGCTCAAGCAGTTCTGCCTCAGCCTCCCAAGTATCTGGGATTACAGGCACCTACCACCACACCTGGCTAATTTTTGTATTTTAGTAGAGACGGGATTTTGCCATCTTGGCCAGGCTGGTCTTGAACTCCTGATCTCAAGTGATCCACCCGTGTCGGCCTCCCAAATTGCTGGGATTACAGGTGTGAGCCACCACACCCAGCTAAAGTGTGCTACCTTTCTTTTGCTTCTGCTGAAATTTGCTGATTTCTGCTATCTGAAGTAAATATGCAATTTTCCCCCTTTTCCTCTCCACTCCTCCAAAAAAGAGTGAAACAAACAAGCCTAAAGCTTTGTTTACTCCAATTGACTTTATTTTTTGTAGTCATCCTGAGTAACTCTTTATTGCTTAATGGACAAAGTTAAAGTTTTTACCCTGGTATTTAGGCCTCGCGGAGTCAGTTGGAAACTTACCTTCTTAAGCTTCTGCCTGCTTCTCCTGTTCTATACCTTTTACTCCAGCCAAACTCAGCTGTTTACTGATCTCATATACCATCTGTTTTTTTTTTCCTTCTTATTCCCCTCCCTCAATTCATTCCTCATTCCCCTCTCCCAGTTCATCCTCTTCTTCCCATCAAGGCCAATCCAAATCCTTCTCATTTTTAAAGCCTACATTTATAGATTTTCCTAGTCTTAAGTGATCTTTTTTCTCCTCTGAATTCCTATAACACTTAATTGACACTTCTCTTGTGACATGTTTAATGTGTGGCTGGTCATTATAGCTTTTTCTATAAATGTTATACCTTCTCTTATGAGGATATAAGCTTCTTAAGGACAAAACTGCGTTCTTATTTTATTTCTTTGTAGCACCCTATAGTGCCATATACAAAACAGATGTTTAATAAACAGTACTTCACCAAATGCTTTATTCCTTTTGAAAGCACTCCAATTAACGTGATTAGAAGTTATTCAGAATGATTTTGGCACAGTAATTGTCCAATAACATAATAGATTGTAACAAAAAATCATTTTGATGAGGATATAGTATTGGGGAAATATTGGAAGGATATCTTAGCAGAAAGTATCTGGGAATTAGTACCACTATAGAAAAATAAAAATGGCAACACATGGCTAGAAAAGATCTATTTCAAATGGAAATAGAAAGTTCAGAGAGTAATCTAAGCTCTGGATTCTGATATACTTTTGTGTGGCTTGCAGGGACAATATAAAGGCATTTATACATTCGTATAGTAATCTTTAAACATACAGTAATCTTTAAAAGCTATTAACAAGATTCAACATTGGGCCAGTAACTGGAATATATATATGTTCACATGATTGTTGCTCCTTTCTTTCTGTTTGCATAAGTTCCAAGAAGATTTAAAAAATTCTTTTTCACATATTTATAACTGCATGGCTATCTAATTCTTGTGTGTACATGATATTTATTGATTTGAAAAAATTATTAGATATTCTCTTTGTAGGCGAGATCTGAGAGGCAAAATGTTGATTGATTTTTCATTTTTCAAGATTAACTTTAAACAGATGGCTTAGCTGAAGCTGTAAGAGCAGTAGCAATTAGCCTCAGGTTACTGCATTCCTATGGAGACTAACAAGGATGCCACCTGGTTATTTACAGACCATTCTAGAATATCTCTGCCTTAATGTGGTGGTGTGAGTAGAATCTAAATTTATCTTGAATGTCTCTATGCTTGAGGGATTTTTAGCACAGTACCATCTTAGGTTAGAGTGATTTCTAGAGTATCAGTTCCCTCAGAAAATTTAGATCAATTATTAAGGGGCATTTAGAAAAAAATCACAACTTACAGTGCCCATTGCTTTGTTGTTTACATAGAAACAGCTAATACATAAAAATTGTCAATCATAACAGCTACATGTTTCAGAAGAATTTGGGGTGAGAATGATGAACACTATTAATGAAATGATATAACAGCAGTTGGGAAATGCCGTCAACAATATAAAATGTGAAAACTGGATCACAAAAGATGCTAGTTATGTTTGCCAGTTAGGAGGCATCAGAGCGATTTGAACCACTTTAGCTGTGTTAATCTTTACTTTTCCGTAGTTTGCCTATATCACAGAGTCAGTATTAATGTATAATGGACATTTATTAGGCTTAAAATTCCAAGAAGTTTTAAATATGCATGTATTAGTTATCTATTGCCATTGTAACAAATTAGCACAAACCTTGTGGCTTAAGACAATAGAAATGTTTTTTGGGTTTTTTTGTTTGTTTTGTTTTTACAGTTCTGGAAACCAGAACAATTACAATTAAGTATAAATTCAAAATGAGTTATATAGGAATAAAATCAAGGTGTCATCAGGATTGGATCCTTCTGGTCTTGGGGAGAATCTGTTCCTTGCCTCTTCCATCTTCTGGCAGCTGCCTGCCGGTGTTCTCGGCTGGTAGCTGTATGACTCCAATCTCTGTTTCTGTGGTCACATTGCTTTCTTCTCTTCTGCAGCCACATCTGCTCCTGCCTCCCTCCTATACCTGCAATTATATTTAGGGGTCACACAAATAATCCAGGATAATATTCCCATCCCAAAATTCTTGACTTAATCATTTCTACAAAGCCCCTTTTGCCGTATAAGGTAGCATTCACAGGTCCTGTGAATTATTACTAGATTTTATTCATCCTACCCTAATACCCATTATGATATACCCAGATTTTAATACAAAATATTATTTTAACCAGGATCTTTTAAATGTGTTTCATTTAGAAGGAAGATGATTTTACATTTTAATATTAATGTGGAAGTTCATAGTTGGCCTTTAATTGACTATTTGCTCTGTTGATTGTGTCATTGGTGGTTTTCTAAAAGTAATTCTTTAATTTTATGACATCTATAAAACACCAGTATATCCAAAAAAGAGAAATGTTTGTAGCATCTCTTTTTATATATTTGTAATTTTCCCTACCTATCAAAATTGGATTAGAAGTTAGCCAGGAATAAGTTAGGAGGGTCCTATAGAATTATCCATATGGTCTAATTTGGTGGGAATGGGCATGTTGGATTTGGCAGGTAATTGAAGTAGAATACATTTACAGTAAACATTTGGAAATTTGGGTTTTATCATGGTTTTCCCACCTTTTTAACATTTAACAAACTTTTATTTGAAGATAATTATATGTTTATAGAATAGTTGCAAAAATCAAAACAGTACAAAAAAAACCCCTGCATACTCTTTATCTGGATTCACCTAAGGTTAACATTTTACCCCATTTGCTTTATCTTTTGTTCTCTCTCTTTGTCTATGTACGTGTGTATATCCTTTGTCTTTAATGACAGACATTTTTGAAGAATGTAGTCCTCCTTCCTGTTTTCCCCTCTGTGAGGATTTTTAAAAATTGGATGTAATTCACATGCCATGTAATTCACTTTTTTAAAGTATACAATTCAGTGGTTTTTGGCATATTCATAAGGTTGTACAAGGATCACCGTGATCTAATTCCAGAACATTTTCATCACCTCAAACAGAAACGCTGGGCCTGACATGGTGGCTCATGCCTGTAATCCCAGCACTTTGGGAGGCTGAGATGGGAGGATCACTTGAGCCCAGGGATTTGAGGCTGCACTGAGCCAAGATTATGCCACTGCACGCCATCCTTGGTGACAAAGTGAGACCCTATCTGTAAACAAAACAGAATACTTTAGCAGTTATTCCTCATCCCACCCCTCCTCTAACAATCACCAATCTACCTTCTCTTCGGATTTGCCTATTCTGGGCTTGTATGTAAAAGTAATCATTTGATATGTGACCTTTTGAGTCTGGCATCTTTCACTTAGCATAATGTTTTCAAGGTTCATCACGTTGTCACATGCATCATTTTTGAATCATATGAAGTGCAGAGTAACATCCAATTGTATGGATTAATGAAATGGCCAAGTAATAGTCCATTTATGGATATACTAAGTTTTGTTTATCTATTCACCATTTGATGAACATTTAGGTTGCTTCTACTTTTTGGCCATTATGCATAGTGCTGCTATGAACATTCAAGTTTTTATGTAATGTACAAGTTTTTATGTAAATATGTTTTCCATTCTGTTGGGTGTACATGAAGGAGTAGAATTGCTGGGTCAAGTTAAACTCTGTTTAACTTTTTAAGGAACTGCCTGCTCATTATTTTTAGTTTCTTTCCTAAGGTATTTTTTCTCCTCTTTGAAAATTCAGGGCAGTGATTCTGGGGTGGGTGTGGTGGGTGCGTTTTTCAGCTTCAGATGTCCTTCCAGAGATTTAATGTTGAGGATAGCTTCTTTAAAGTCTAGCAGGGTGCTCCTCTCTTGACCTGAGAATAAAATACTAAGATGATCTGACCTAGCAGAATAGTTCTTTTCATTTGTGTTTAGTGGTTTTCAATGCATTTTGTTTTCTATTTCGTTCTATTAAAGAAATTATTGGCAACCTTAGTTGTTTTAGTAGATTGAAATGCTTCCTAACTGGGATGTTATTTATCCTTATCTGTTGGCTTACAAGGAGAACTGTGAATCCATTCAACAAATAAAAGGTTTTTTTCATCTTTTAAAAAATCATGGAGAAAATGACACAATGTAGCATTAGTCATATTCCTTTAAATAGAAGAAAATATAAAAATAAATTTTATTAGTATAATTATTTTAAAGATGTGATGGCAAATCCATACAAAAGCTTAGGAGTAAAATTTGTTTAGCTATATTTTAATATCTATAATAATTGCTTATTCCTACATGATATGGAAGAAATAAAAATTTGGGATTTGTATGTAGTTCAAGCATCTTTAGTCATAGGTGAGAAGATCTTTAAATATCTTAAGAAGCAAAAGAAAGAAAATTCAGTCAAAGATAAGAGTTGGGGTAAGGGTTGTAGCATTCTGTAACATCAAAAAATTAAGTAACATTTGACTTAGATTAAGTAATCTAAGGCTGTAGGCTACAGGACTGTGAGAAGATGTGATGGCAAATCCATACAAAAGCTTAGGAGTAAACTTTGTTTAGCTTTATTTTAATATCTATAATAATTGTTTATTCCTACATGATATGGAAAAAATAAAAATTTTGGGTTTGTATGTAGTTCAAGCATCTTTAGTCATAGGTGAGAAGATCTTTAAATACCTTAAGAAGCAAAAAAAATAGAAAATTCAGTCAAAGATAAGAGTTGGGGTAAGGGTTGCAGCATTCTGTAAGATCAAAATATTAAGTAACATTTGACTTAGATTAAGTAATCTAAGGCTGTAGGCTATAGGACTGCGAGGCAAACTCTGCCTTTAAGTTAAAAAGTACTTATTCTGCATAATAAATTAATTAGAGTTATGGAGAAGAAGCCAGGAATATCTCTGATAATAATGAAACTTTGATCAGTTAAAATGATATTATCCAAAAAATGCCTTGAGATGATAAGACTTTCAGTAAGGGATATGCAACTTTTAACCCTAGGGAGATTTAGAATTAAATATGAATTGAGAATCAAACCTAGTTTTTCTATTTCATTTTGGAGCTTGGATATCTATTATCAGTAGGCAGCCAATATTTTATGGAATGCCTGTACTATAAGATCCCTATGGACAAAAATAATATCCTATTTACCTTTAGAGTTAAGAGCACTAACTTTGGTGTCAGATACATATTTTCTTCCGGCTCTCCCTATTTCCTCACTGTATTCTTAAGTTTCTAAGCCTCAGTTTCTTCATAAAATAGAAATGACAGTATCTATTTTATATTGGTGGGGACAATGAAATGAGATGATGAATGTAAAGCATTTAGCATAGTACTTGGTATATAGTAGGAGCCCAATAAATGTTAGCTTTTTTACTGTTACTGTTCTTGTTGTTATTGTTATTATGCTATTTTCATGTAGGTTATGTAACTATTTTAGTAAATGTTTATTGAATTAATGTGTTACTTTTCAGTTACATTGTTTAATATTTTTACCTTATTTACAGTTATAAATTTGTTTGAAGTTTATAGAAAATGTATAGCATGTTAATATGTTTGATAGTGTCGTACCTTCTAGTAAACTTTGATAATTTAGATCTGCTACATAGAAGAGAGATTTAAATGTTGTCTCTCTTTTTTTTTTTTTTTTTAATTTTAGAGACCTATTACTACATTTCTCCATTAGTTGGTGTATTTTTCTTGGCTCTAACCCCTATTTGGATTATAATAGCTGCCAAACATCCAGCCACAAGAACAGTTCTCCACTCAGGCTGGGAGCCTGTCATAACAGCTATGGTTATAAGTAGGTTAGTATTAAAATATGTGTGTGTGTGTGTGTGTGTGTGTGTGTGTGTGTACGTCTGTCTGTCTTTGTGTGTCTTCTATAAGCATATATGTACATGCATATTAAAATAAATGAATTGCCTGTTTTTATTTCTTAGGTTAATTATTTTATATAGCCAATTCATTATTCTCCCGGGTATTATAACAAGGGATCTAAATGACAGGCATAATTAATGAAATCAGTAGATGTAAAGAACCTCATGTGGCTACCAATTTCAAACTTCTCTCCAAAGCCTTACCAGATTGAGTAAAATTTAGTGGTGTTTGTCTTTGTGTGTGTATGTGTATGTTAACCTGACAAGGACATTACTTACTCTGAGTATTAAGTTGCTCAGATGAGTATCATAAAGCCTTAGAAATGTATATTCCATTGGCTACTTCCATATCTAGGACTCTGATGACCTTAAAGATGTAATTAAGGACATATGTAAAAGATTTAGCTGCAAGCATCCTCATCACCCCAGAGTTTTTAATAACAAAAATAAATAGAACAACATAAAGGTCTTGCAATACGGTATTGATCAGATAAATTATTATATAGTCACAAAATGGAGTATCAGCCATTAAAATAACATTGTAGCATTTCTATTGCTATGGAAAGAGTTTATGATACATCTGATGAGAAGAACAACCTAGAAAAGAGTATGAATTTCCTATTAAACATGTTAGATTAAGAAACGTTTCTTTTCCTTCCTGAAATTACTAAAAGGACAGTAAAAGAATAAAAATGCTATAAAACCACAAAGACAGAGGAGGAGCAAAGAGGGCAGCAGGTGAGAGACAACATTAGGAAGATAGGAATCAGATGAAGAGTTGTTAACTGAATGAGCAGAATGAAAAAAGCTGACACCTAACTGCCTATCAGAAGCAAGTCTCAGAAACCCAGAAAGAGGAATTAAAGGCATCAAGTACATCTGAAAGCTGCAATGAGGAAGATTGGTTGAAAGTTTAGGTAAGGAGCAATTAGATCCCCACAATCTTTCTCCAGCTTTAGCACCCATGTGACTGCCCCCTCACACCCTAGCAGAAGACAAGAATAACCTCTCAAGAGGCTAAATCGGAGAGGTTCTAGATTCAGAAACATCTGTACATGTGAGGATGTGGCTCAAGCACTGTGTGACAAATAGCAAGACTAAGTAAAAGTCTACTGAACAATGAGAACCCTATCCCACTTCCTTTTCTTTGTATAATGCTGAGAGACAGCCTTTTACCCCCAGGCAAAAAATTAGATAATTCATTTGTGGGGGAACTTACCAGCACAAAAGATCAGATCTGCAGATACTAACCCTTGTGAGTCCTTTAATGAAAGAGCTACAAACCCACCTGATTGTCTTCCATGAGTCCCACTTGCTGACAAACTCTGCCCATGTACACAGAGAGTTCCAAGTATGCCTTGCAGTGCCCCTTAAACAGGGCAGCCAGTAAAGGATTGCTAGACATTTCATAAAGGCCTCTAACATAAAAGACAGATGGGAAAAAAAAATAGTACTCAAGGAAAGTACCATCAGTACTTTCAGAAAACTCTTATCAGTATCCTCAGATAAATAAGAGAAACTATTGCATAATAGCTATTGCATAATATTCATAATATAGGAACAGAATGCAAAAGAAGATTTGAAAAACACAAAGAGCTCTTGGGAATTAAAAAAATACATAAATGGCAGAAATAAATTATGTAGAAGAGTTGGAATATAAAGTAGAGGAACCCTCCTGAAAAGCAAACCATGAAGCAAAGAGATAGACAATAGGAGGTGAATGATAAGGAGAGAAAATTCTCAAATAAATAATACAAGAAAATTCCCAGAACTGAAAAACATGAGCTACCTGATGGAAAGCGCCTGCTAAGTACCCAGTGCAATAAATTAAAGTAGGTGGGACCCAAGTGAAAGCATATTATCATGAATCCCAAATGTTTCCAGAGAAAAAATAAGTTACATATAAAGCACTGGGAACCAGAATGATGTCCAGTAGCAACACTAAAATGATTCCTTTGAAATTCTGAGAGAAAATTATTTTGAACATAAAATACAGTCACAATATCAACCACGTGTAAGAGAAGACTAAAGAAATTTTCAGACAGGCAGGATCTCATGGAATTTACTGCCCCTCTACCCCTTTGTATAAAGCTGAAAGGAGGTGTGGTCTATCAAAATTAGGAAACAAATTAAGAAAGATGATACAGGAAAGAAGAAATCTATTCTGTGACAGCATGTGGTTCATTTTTCTGTAATGTAGATTGCTTTTTTCCTGGAGGATTCAGGCAACAGAATCCCATGAAATACTGGGCTTTTGTTATAGTACATAGACCAGGATCCAAGGGGGTATTGGAGGGAAGGTACAGGATGACAGCTGTACATCAGGCCTAGACAGGCAACCATCCAGATTGGCAGGAGGACAGGGGACTTAAGGAGGGAGGTCTCTAAGAAAAAAAAAAAAAAAGTGGAATTGATGAGTTTGACTGTATTGAAAGGTACTTCATAAACTTAGTTACACATGTGAGGTTGAATTAGTAATAGGTACCTAAAAAGTTAAGAAAAATATGAGGCAAAGCAAAAAGCGTACGTGAGGATATCTAATAATACACTCTGTGGCTCAGCTATGAGTAATGAAATTTCTGTTGTTATAATAAAGTCAACCCTAAGTATTTCACCAGAAATTATAACCAGATTAGCAGGATGGGAGGAGGAAGGGATTTGGGAAGGGATCAAAGTGGGAGGGAAGTGTAAGAGAGGTCAAATCCTCATCTGCCATAGTAGGAAGTCATTTGCTAAATGTCTAAAATTTAATATGAAGAAATAGCAGTATAAGCATGTTATTTAGAAAAACTAAATGCCATAAGAAACTACTAAAGAAGATAAAAAGAATTTCTAGTACAGAGAAGGACCTGGAGGTGGGGCTAGGGACCATTATTTTATTATGAACTTTATGGTACTTTTATATACCTCTTTTTTTTCTTTTTAGAGATTGTGTCTCGCCGTGTTTCCCCAGCTGAAGCACAGTGGCTTGATTGTAGTTCACTGCAGCCTCAAACTCCTAGGCTCAAACAACCCTCCTGCCTCAGTTTCTTGAACAGCCGGGACTACAGGCATGCACCCACCCAGATAATATTTTTACTCTTTTGTAGAGACAGGGTCTCACTATGTTGACCTGGCTGGTCTTAAACTGCTAGTCTCAAGCAGTCCTCTCACTTCGGCCTCCCGGAGTGCTGGGATTATAGGCATGAGCCACCATGCTGGCTGTACTTTTACTTTTTTAATGACACACATCTATATGATAAAAATAAAATTTAATAAAAGCAAATAAAACTACTTTTATCATTTAATTTTTATTTTTAAAAATGTATATAGTAAAAAAGCTGGGTTGCGGAGATGTTGGTCAGTGGATTAAAAATTTTGGTTAGACTACAGGAACATATTCAAGAGATTTATTGTACAACATGGTGGTGATAGTTTATAACAGTGTATTGTATTCATCAAAATTGCCAAGAGATTTTAGGTGTTCTCACCACAAAAGATAAGTATGTGAAGTAATGCATAAGTTAATTAGCTCAATTTAGTCATTCTACAATATATACATATTTCAAAACATGTTGTATAGGTGTTCTCACCACAAAAGATAAGTATGTGAAGTAATGCATAAGTTAATTAGCTCAATTTAGTCATTCTACAATATATACATATTTCAAAACATGTTGTATAGGATAAATATGTGCAATTTTTATTGTCAATTTAAATAAGTAACAAAATAAGTTAAAAAAAGTCTAGAAGCCTATATAACAGCATACTAACAGTGTAACTCAATGGTGTAACTAGGGTTGGTTTTTACTTTCTTCATTTTGTCTTTTCTAATTTTTTCTATAGTAACTTTTATCACTGGGCTTAACAGGAATCTAAAAAATGTATTTTTAGCAATTGTTATGTTATATCCACAACATGATCTATATATTTTGTCAGGGAGGTTTATTTTTTGACTCAGAACTAGTTTGTTCTTGAAGTATGTACTTTATTCTTTTAATTAGGGCTTAAAATGTTAAAATATTTCTAAAGAGGACTATTTTGGGACTCTACAGTGTACCTCTTTAATGAGAACGCCCACAGTTTAGGCCTATTAAGGCATAATTCCTTTATTTTACTAAAGAATTAAAATAATAAAGATTTGATAATTTTCTAATGTTAACTATCAGGTAAGAACATTTGATCTGATATTTTGACAATCCCATTCTGTGACAGCATGTAGTTCATTTTGTTGTAATGTGGATGGCATTTTCCTGGAAGATTTGGGCACAGGATCCCATGGAATATTAGGACTGGCAATGTTTTATACTACACAGACCCAGAAACTGATGTTAACCAGTTGATAATGGCCTTGGAAACTTAGAAAAATCTCCAAGTTCCACTGACACATTGAGAGTGTATGGCTTGCTACCATATAACGATATGTTAGTTTTCCAGATTTCTGTTCTCAAGATCAGCTCTTTCTGTGGCTATAACTCATTATTTTAATTTGCCAGTAATAAGACACATCCTAACAATATCTAGTTTTAATACAATAAAAATAACCTCTTTTATGCTTTATTTCAAATATGAAACCATACTCTTTTTTAAATTATTTTTTAAATTATAAGAGTGATCAATGGCATGGTTTTAAAAAATTAATAAGCACAGAAGGATATAAAATGACCGTCAGTCCCCTGTCACCCTCACCCCCAGAAATAGACATGGTTAATAATTTCTCGTATACTGTTCAAGACATTTTAATGCATTTAAAGCGTATGCTTTTTCTTTTCACAAGTAGCATATCTTAGACATCAGAATTCTGAAATTTGGGGCTAGAGCTTATGCCGTGTTTTATTTTCAACATTTTACTGTTGACATTGATTTTTACTTTGAATATTTTTATTTTTGCTCTATTTTTAAAATGTGTGAATATTTTATTTTAAAAAGGAGGGGTGTCTGTATGTACAGAATAACTTCAAGTATGTTCTCTTCCCTCTTCTCTAAATTATATAATTTTATCTCTTTCAGCATTGGGGGCCTTATTCTGGACACAACTGTATCAGACCCAAACTTGGTTGGGATTGTTGTTTACACGCCAGTTATTAATGGTAAGAATTAGATATACTGTTTCATGATAATATCAAATCTTCGTATCCTCTTAGTCTTAGGTACTATTAGAAGTCTTAGGGCTCAGATTCAAGAGGTCTGTCCTCCCATCCCAACCATTCTGCCTCCAACCCCAAGTTGTTGCTCACAGTGAAAATTACATTCCCAGGTCTCAACAGGCAGAATACATTTCTGAAAAGTAATCTTTCTTAATCTTATCATGAACTACTAGTTTGAGAGTCAGGTATACCTGACTTAAGATTAATGTGGCAAAATATATTTCAGATTTTGTTTATTATTTACATTGGGATTATCAGCTATTGTATATTGTTTTGTTGTTTCTTTTGTCAATTTTTGTGGATAAATTAGAGACAGCTGGGTTTCAACATTGCTTATCCATTCAGTTCATTAAAATCTGGGGTGGGCACAGTGGCTCATGACTGCAATCCCAGTGCTTTGGGAGGCCTAGGTAGGAGGGTCGCTTGAGGTTAGGGGTTTGAGGCCAGGGCAACATAGTGAGACCCCCATCTCTATAAAAAATTCAAAAATTAGCCAGATGTGGTGGCACACACCTGTAGTCCCAGGTATGTCCTCAGGAGGCTGAGGCAGGAGGATTGCCTGAGCCCAGGAGTTAGAGGCTACAATAAGCCACTGCATGCTAGCCTGGGAAACAGAGTGAGACCCTGTCTTAAAAAAAAATAAAAGAAAAAAATCTATTGGTCCTCAGCTGATCCCTTTAAAAATCTGTCGTATATTTTTTTGTTATCTATGAAATGGGAATTATAATACTTAAATTCACAGACATTTATATATGAATTACATTTAATAAGATCATTTTAATCCAGTCTACCGGCTTCTGGGGTGACTGTCATTAAAGTGGATTTTTTTTTTTTTTTTTAGTTTAAGTTCTGGGATACATGTGCAGAACGTGCAGGTTTGTTACATAGGTATACATTTGCCATGGTGGTTTGCTGCACCTATCAACCCATCATCTAGTTTTTAAGCCCCGCATGCATGAGTTATTTGTCCTAATGCTCTCCCTCCCCTTGCCCCCCACCTGACAGGCCCTGGTGTGTGATGTTCTCCCTGTGTCCATGTGTTCTCATTGTTGAACACTAAAGTAGATTTTAAGTACAGCCTAGATCAATATAATTTAAAAAGTAATTCTACTTGGGGAAAAACATGTCCCAGGATATACTACATATTTAATGTAATTTACTTTGCATATCTATGTAAAAAGAAAATATGTCAGTTGGGCACGGTGGCTCATCCCTGTAATCCCAGTACTTTGCGAGGCCAAGGCAAGTGGATCGTTCAAGCTCATGAGTTTGAGACCAGCCTGGGCAATATGACCAAACCCTGCCTGCACAAAAAATATAAAAATTATATTTTTACAGGCATGGTGGTACACGCCTGTAGTCCCAGCTACTTGGGAGGCTGAAGCAAGAGGACCTTCTGAGCCTGGGAGGGAGGCAGAGGTTGCAGTGAGCCAAGATCACGCTACTGCACTCCAGCCTGGGCAACAGAGCAAGACCTTGTCTCAAAAAAAATGTATATATGTATATATGTAAAAAATATATATGACATATAAAGGCAAGTTCTTCAAAATCTAATTTCATGTCTAAAATTTCTACTGAATATTTTAATTTTTATATCACTTTAGAATATCAATGAACAAATTTTCCCTATAGGTCTCTCTCTTCATGCCACCATTCTCCCCGTCACCCACACATAAAATTGTGGGACCATCTATTTCAACCTGGTCCTTCATCCTCTTTGACTGAAAAATGACCAAGCCATTGTCTGCTTGCCCTTTAACACAGTTCACTTGCTCAATCATTTATTTATATAACAAGCATGTCTTACTCTTGTAGCCTAATGTCTCAATATAGCCATCATTCAAGTAATAAAGTAGGCTTCCTGACTCACTCTCTATTTGAGGCAAATTAAGTGTCACTAATAGCCTAGTCATTCTTAAACATTGTTTTTATTACATGGGTCCTAAGATGATGAATTTAACAGTGGTTTTTTTCCCTGCCTATCAGATCAAATTTGAATTCTTCTGCCTAGCTTTCAAGGCCCTCTGTACATGGTTGGACTCATTGTTTCCCAAAGACATGCGCAATTTTTTCATTATCATTCTAACTAGGTTTTTATATTGTCCCTACAAAGATTCATCTAATTTTCACTGCCTGGAATAACTACTGCTTTCCTCCCTCCTCTTCAGATCCTCTTCTGTGAATATTAATGGATGAGTTCATTAGCATAAACATTACTCATAATGACTGTTAGAGCTATATTAAACAACATTTCAGTAAGAAATTTAACTTAAATTACAATAACCCTTTTATTATAAGGCTTTAATGCATATTTCAGTTGTTTTACCTTAAGTAAGAAACAATTCTAGAGCTTCACTGAAATGCTCTCCTTGGATGTCTGTGCTGTGGCATTGTGTGATATTCATAGTAATATATTTTTAGTATCTCAGTAAGTAAACCTCTTAGTTGGCTATCAGCACTTTGGGAGGCCAAGGCAGGTGGATCGCTTGAGCTCATAAGTTTGAGACCAGCCTGGGCAACACGACCAAACCCTGTCTGCACAAAAATTATAAAAATTAGCCGGGCATGGTGGTACACTATGAGCTTATAAATTCCACTCTTTAAAAAACATTAATAGAGATGGTTTACTCTATGCTCCTCAAATAAGATGGAACTTTTGAGAATTGAATTTCATTTAAAATGTGTTGGGGAATGTACTATTTAAAGGACTCTTGTTTATCTTCATCATTATCATCATTATCTGCTATTTAGTGAGTACCTACCACTATGTACCAGGTAACTTACAGGTTTTTTTTATACATGTTGTGTCGTATAATCCTCACAATAAGATCAGTAGATTGTCTAAGGTCTCTTATCTTGTAAGTGGTGAGTCACGATTGAAAACCAGATCGGGTCTATTCTAAAGCCTGTGATTTTTTTTTTCTCAAAATATGCAGCTACTAATTTATGTTTTATTAGCTACAAGAATGCATACATTGTTTAAGGCATATCTGTGTTCATATTGTGACTAGGATATTTTTTAATATTTATTAATGTCTTTCAGAACTAGTGGCATTTTCCAAAATATATTTCATGGTAACACTAGTTCTGTGAGATGTTAATAAGTATAACTTGAAAAGTGAGTTCTGTGGTCAATCAAATTTGTTAAACATTAAGTTAAACAAACTTGCTTACTACGAGATTTCTTTATTGTTGTTGGTGTTAATTCTTCTTTATTTTTTTATTTTCTTTTTATTATACTTTAAGTTCTAGGGTACATGTGCACAACGTGCAGGTTTGTTACATATGTATACATGCGCCATATTGGTGTGCTGCACCCATTAACTCGTCATTTACATTAGGTATATTTTCTAATGCTATCCCTCCCCCCTCCCCCCACCCCACAACAGGCCTCGGTGTGTGATGTTCCCCTTCCTGTGTCCAAGTGTTCTCATTGTTCAATTCCTATGAGTGAGAACATGCGGTGTTTGGTTTTCTGTCCTTGCGATAGTTTGCTGAGAATGATGGTTTCCAGCTTCATCCATGTCCCTACAAAGGACATGAACTCATCCTTTTTTATGGCTGCATAGTATTCCATGGTGTATATGTGCCACATTTTCTTAATTCAGTCTATCATTGATGGACAAATTTGGGTTGGTTCCAAGTCTTTGCTATTGTGAATAGTGCCTCAATAAACATACATGTGCATGTGTCTTTATAGCAGCATGATTTATAATCCTTTGGGTGTATACCCAGTAATGGGATGGCTGGGTCAAATGGTATTTCTAGTTCTAGATCCTTGAGGAATTGCCACACTGTCTTCCACAATGGTTGAACTAGTTTACAGTCCCACCAGCAGTGTAAACATGTTCCTATTTCTCCACATCCTACTACGGGATTTCTTAAAGCCTTTATCATGCTAACATAAACGTGAGTCTCTCTTTCTGGTACTTCTGTTAGCTAGGTGTTGGGATTTCTAGATCTAACCTTCCTCAGACCCCCTAGACCACACTTTGAGAACCATTGATTTAGAGCTTATATCTTTTTTATCACAGTCTACTTTCAAACAATAGTAAACCACTTTACATATAGGATAAGAAGCTTATGTCACTATACTTGAAATACCACTCCTCTTTCTTATGTACTCTTTTTTGAAATACGTTTTACTTATGTACTCTTTTTTGAAATACGTTTTACTTTTTTGAAATAGTAAATCCTGTAATATATTGTTATTATTTTTTGCTTCAGTTATTTTTAAAAAGAGACTAAAAATGAAAAATATATCTTTTAGATTTTATCATATAAAGTTATATTTCCAGCACTCTTTCCTTTGTGTAGATCCAGGTTTTTATCTGGTATTATTTTCCTTCTGCCTGGAGAAATTCCTTTAATGTTTGTTGTAGGGCAGGCTTACAGAGAAAATAGAGTCTTTAGGCATGTCTCTCCCAGCGTGCTCTTTCCTTTCCCTTCACCTCTGTTCGTATCTCTAACAATGTCTATTTTTAACTTCTTTCACCCCTATCTCAGAAGAGCTGATTCTTTTGCCCAGGACTGACTAGTTGACCTGTGCCCTGGATACTATTCCATTACAATTCCAATGGGAGCCTTACTCCATCAATTATTTTAACTTTTCCGGTATCTCCCATGTCTTCCTCTCTTACATCTTTTCCCTTTAGCTTACAAATGTGCACAAGTTTTTTATCCCAAGTCACCTTTCCCATAGTGCTCTGCCTTCTCAAGCTTCTGTTCTGTCTCTTCTACTCTCTACAATCAAACTTTCCCAAGTGTAGTCTGTATTTTTTCAACTCATTATAGTATTTTTCTTCCTTCTCACTCTACAAAACTGCTTTTACTAAGCTCTCCAGTGACCTCCTAATTACTTTATCCAATAACTTATTTTCAGTCTTCATTCTATTCAGTTGTTTAATACTATTTACTATACCCTTTTTGCAATTCTACCATTCTCATCGCTTCTCTGAAAATTCTTTTTCATTTTCCTTCACTGGTTCCTTCTTTCTACCTGTCTCTTTGTATTCTTCAAGACCCTGCTCTTGAGCTTCTATTCTTAGTTTTCACCTTCTTTATGGGCAATATTGTCTCATCCAGAGATTTTCAAAGTGTGGTCCCCAGACCAGCAATATCACTTGGGATCTTATTAGAAATGCAGATGCTTAAGCCTGAATCAGCAGCTCGGAGGTAGAACTCATCAATTGATTTTGATATATGCAAAAGTTTGAGAACAACTTGTCCTTGTCATACGGCTCATTTCATGGCTTTATCCCTAGTCTTGACACATCTGTTCCTTTCTAGATCCATACTTTAAATTGGATATTTCCACATGGAACATCTGAAGCTTCTAACTGAACTCATCCTCTTCCCCGCAAACCTGCCCTTTGGTGTTTCCTGTGTCAGTTAGCGGTGTTAGCTACCCAGTGTCCCAAACAAGATATCCCCAATCGCATACTTCCTCTCCCTTATCGTCTCTATTTTTATCTGCTCTTGAAATAGCTTCTGAATTCAAGATGCATTGGTTAGAAGGAGGATGAAAGCTATGTTATTGTAGCCAAGAAGGATTCAAGACGGACTGTTTATTCAGTGATCAGGAAGTCATTTGAGAGTTCAGTTTTGTTGAGTAGCAGACTAGATAAATGAAAGTACAGTCTTACAATAGAATGTTATTAACAATAAAAATGGATTAATTACATGTCCCAGAAGAGCAAGGATGAATCTCAGAAACTTATGTGATAAATTATTCCATTTATATAACGTTCAAGGGTACGTAAAACCAAATTATATAGTATTTAGGAATATACATGTATGTAGTAATAACACAGAGAAAAGCACGAGAATAAAAAACACAAACATAGTCACTCTGATAGCGAAGGAAGGATATGGGATTAAGGAAGAGCACAGAGGGCACTACAAATCTAAAGATAATGAATTCCTTTTCTTAAACTGAGTGGTGGGTACATGGGTGTTTTTTTGTAGTGTAAGTCTTTGTAACTTACATGTATTTTATAAATATTATTTTTGCATTTATTAAATAGTATAAAACAATAAACATCTTAGAAGTAGCACTTTTAGACTTCATATTAATTAATTGACAATGAAAAGAAAAGAATTAGAATGACACTTAGAAGTCCAGATGAGGAACTTTTTCCAAGAGAAGAGACATGTGGGTACGTTTGTTGGCAAGGAGGCAAAGGAGTAATAGAGAAGGAAAGATCAAGGATGCATGAGAGATGGTGAATAGTGAGGGAGCAAGGCCCATGAAACGGTGGGCCACACAGTAGCCTTGGAAAGAAAGGATAACCCCTTATCTCACTGTGGTAAGAAAAGGAGTCTTGAAGAAAGACAGGTGAAAATACACAGATACGGGCTAGGGGATAGAGACTAAGATGAAGGGTCTTACAACTGACAGCCTCAGTTGTCCCAGGAAAGTAGAGAGATTCATTTCTCTAGGGCAGTGTTTTCTAATCTTTCTCATGTCATGGCACACATAAAAATTAATAATATTTGGATGGCACCCTAGGGTGAAGAAAACAGCCATTTGTAACCAGAGGTACCTGATTTGGAACTGCAGCCATGCCAAGAGCTTGGAGGATAGTATCTTGACACAGCTGTAACCCATGTGAGGCACACTGGTTGGGAATTTCTGATCTAAGGCGGTGTTTTTTTTTTTTTGTTTTTTTGAGACGGAGTCTGGCTCTTTCGCCCAGGCTGGACTGCAGTGGCGCGATCTCGGCTCACTGCAAGCTCCGCCTCCCAGGTTCACGCCATTCTCCTGCCTCAGCCTCCCGAGTAGCTGGGGCTACAGTCGCCCGCCGCCACGCCCGGCTAATTTTTTGTATTTTTAGTAGAGACGGGGTTTCACCGTGTTAGCCAGGATGGTCTTGATCTCCTGACCTCGTGATCCGCCCACCTCGGCCTCCCAAAGTGCTGGGATTACAGGCGTGAGCCACCACGCCCAGCCGGCGGTGTTTTTCAATCTTTTATTTTCATCATCACCTTTTGAAGGAGCCGTTTGAATCAATTTTTTTTTCTAAATATACCTACCCATGAAATTTTCATTTTGCACATCTACTGTTTATCCATTTATGTGCTGTATGTGTAAATGGGCTTTATAAATAAAATGAGTGATATTTTTTCTCCTCTCAAGAACCAGTTTTCACCTCTGTTAAGAATGTATAATCTAGGCTGAGCACGCTGGCTCACTTCTATAACCCCAGCACTTTGGGAGGCCAAGGAGGTGGGATTGTGTGAGCTCAGGAGTTTGAGACCAGCCAAGGCAACATAGTGAGACCTCAGTTCTACTAAAAAAAAAAAAAAAAAAAAAAAAAAAATCAGCCAGGCATGGTGACATGCACCCGTAAGTCCTATCTACTTGGGAGGCTGAGGTGGGAGGATCACTTGAGTCCAGGAGATCAAGGATGCGGTGAGCCGTGATTGCACCACTGCATTCCAACCTAGGCAACAGAGCAGGACCCTGTCTCTAAATACATACATACATACATACATACATACATACATACATACATACATACATTTATTTAAAAAATAATGCATGATCTATGGTAAAGGAAGTAGAAAATTTAGAGAGTTCGTCAGCCATTTACCACCTTGTCTACAAGTGGGAGGGAAATGGTAAAGGTAATGGATTAGGGACTAGGGAGGTAAATATGCCTACCCTTGTTTAAATAAAAAGCTCTTCACTAAAAGGGTGTTCCAATGCATTTCTTCTTAAAAATATGAAAAAAATGGAAAATATTTCTCCTCCATCTTTTTGCATTTCTTGAAACTCAAAGAGTAATTTCTGCATGTGAGTTCTGGTAAGTCTTGAGAGGAGGATAGGTGAAAATGCAGAGGTACATAGAGATGGAGAAAACAGGTAGGGATATAGGAAGGGGCCAGACTTATTATGCTGTTGATTATAAAGATTTATTTCTTAAGAAAATGAACTTTTGCTTTGGGTTTCCTTCGGAATGTGCAAAGGAATTCTTGACAGAATTTGAAATATATTCCATGACGTTAGTGCTAAACATTTACTGGAAACATATATTTCTAAATTTAACAAAACATAAATTTGGATTTTTAAAACAGTCCCTAGATTAACCTGCTGATAATTTCTTCCCACTCTCAAACTTTATTTCATCAACTGAGCTTATTCAAGCATTAGGCACTTAAAATTCTGTCTTGTGGATACTGAGGAATCTCACATATTATTTAGTATATTGACAAGTTGTTTTTACTAATGTTTTTAATTTGTGTGAGACTATCTTTAGATGCTCTCCACTGGCTTTAATAGTGCAATTAGTCCCTGAAGAATTTAAATAATTTAAAAGAAATGTTGACAGACTAGCTTTTAGTAGAAACATAGTGTATGTCATTATAGCAAGAAAGCATTTTTTGACATTAAAGAAAACTATTCTAAGGTAATAATTTTGTTATAGTTTAAAAATATAACCAATGATCATGATGAAACCATGAGAGGTTAAAACTTTAATTAGCCCCTTCAATAATTATGTTGTTTACTTAAAAATTTTATTCACCTTATCTGGAAAAATGATATCAGTGTCTTTCTGAAGTCCCTCACTCATTTTCTTTTTAGTTTGGTACAATTATAACATCAGTTATGTCTGTGTTTCCTGGACTACAGTGTGATAAGGTGATAAACTGTTTATTTATAAGACTGTTTATATTTATTATCATTATCTTAGTCTGTTATATGGTAACAAAGAAATGATAAAAGTAGTTTTATAAAGTTTTACCAACAAATTTGTGGGTTTTAGAAGAGAGCTACAATTAATCATCAGTAGCTTTTTGTTTCAAACTCAAGAGAAGTTGCAGTTGTAGAGTAGATATACGTTGGCTTAATAGCAGATGCTTTCTGTGTTTGCATTGAAGCATTCCATATCCAATAAAATACCACATAGAACATTACCCCCAAGAGAATCCCCAGAGTAACTGAAGAGGAATGCAATTTATGCATTCCTATGGAAAATATCCATCATTGAAAAACGTATCTGAATGTAATCTTCTGCTTTGCATTAAGTATAATTTTTGATATTAGATTCTTTTCCTTTTGAGTGACTATAAAGAGAAAGATTACAAAGCTGTTTTTGCTAGTTTACCCCTTATTGGCTTACCCAGTAACTTTTTGTGAAAATGCTTGCATTATGTAGTTAAATACTCTTGCCGCTTTCAATTTCTGAGACATTTTCATTTACCTTCACTTAGAGGTATAAGCTACTGGCCTTGTTTATATGCTATTATCAGATGAGTACCGATACATGCTAATTATTCAATGTTCTAATTGTTTGTTTATTTTTTTATTTTTTAATGTCAGTGAGTTTAGCAGTGGATAGTCATATACCAACTTTAGCAACACTAATGTGAATAAGTTCTGATAAACCACTACCATTGGACCAGCCTCTATTCTTTTCTTTAGAAAGTGAGTTCAGATTTAGAGAATCCAGACTTTAAAAAAGATAGTCACCTCTAACTTCTAGTAGAAAATTCATTGAGTAAACAGAAGGCAGTTTAATTGATTGTTTAAAATATGGGTGCTAGCCAAGCTTGGTGGCTCATGCCTGAATCCCAGTGTTTTGGGAGGCCTAGGCAGGAGGATTGCTTGAGCCCAGGAGTTCAAGACCAGCCTGGGCAACACAGTGAGACCCCATCTCTAAAAAAAATTTTTTTTAAAATTAGCTAGGCATTGTGATGCATACCTGTAGTCCCAGCTACGCAAGCGGCTAAGGCAGGAGGATCACTTGAGCTCAGGAGTTCGACGTTGCAGTGAGCCACAATGACGCAACTGCACTCCAGCCTGTGAGACAGAACAAGACCCTGTCTCTAAAAATAAAAATAAATGAATAAATAAATAAATAGAATGGGCACCAAATGATTTATTCTCTTTCATATATATATTTTAAAACAAAATAGTCTGTGAATTGAAAATCTATACAGTTTCTGGACATCCTCTGACCAATGAATTCTCCAGAAAATGTCAGGATCTATAATTAAGAAAATGCCAAGTCAGAATCACATTATTTACATAAATTTATTATTGATAATAACAATAATATTTAACATTTTTTAAGCCTTTACCATGTCCAGAAACTGTGCTAAGCATCTTTCATGTATGCATTATTTTATTTAATTCTCTCAGCATCCTTATGAGATAGGTATTATCCTTATTTTCAGATTAGAAAATGGAAGCTCTAAGAAGTTAAATATCAGTGATGTCATAGCAAGTGACTGAGGTGGTTTTCAGAAAAACCCACATAGTTTGAGCCACAGTCAGAATGTTACAGAGAACACAGCTCTGCATTTATGTGCCTTAATTATTCTATCTAGTCCATGTGACTTTTAAACACATTTTTAAAGAAATTTATTTTCCTTTAGAATTTTTTTCAGAACTCCCTGGGATACATATTTTAAACATTTTTATGATGAACTGCATTTTAAATTATCTTAAGCATTTGCTTTAATGAATTTTGTATTTACTAAATGAGATGTGATGAGGAAATCATGAAGCTACATTTAGTTTAAGATCAAGACATTATAATTTCAGCCTTAAAACAATAATGTTTAAATTGCTTCATTTTTGGTGCATTGGCACAAAAAGTGATCAACCTCTCAGCTTAGAAGGGGGGAAGCTCATGCTTTTCCTGTTTCTGTACTTACATTTTTTCTGCAATTAAAAAATGCTAAATTCTTATTCCACATAACAAATTAACATTATTAGAATGCAGCGAATGCCAAAACTTCACTAGGTATCCGGCAATATATAGGTGATATATAGGTAATATTGACCTAAATATCTTTGAACAGAATTACTCAATCTTTATTTCTGAGTATAATATTTATGTATGCCCAAGATTAAACTGCGTAGATTTGGAGGCTGCTAGGGCTGGGTTTTTTCTTAATAAGAAACTGGATCCTAAACATCACATCCTAAATTATTAAGCAAAGAATTAATAATCTAGCACAAGCCAGATAATCCTATTATAAAAACAAAACAAAAACAATGTAGTTTCATCACTTTTTTTTGGAGGGAAATCTATTTTGCTTCCAGGTAACTTGGATCAACAGTAGACCTGGCCAGAGGATTGCTGCCTTCTGATTCTCTGTGATATCATCAAAGCTTTCAACTTTTAGCACCTGGTTCAGACATCCTGTTGCAATTGTTCTCTAATTCTTCTTCAAAAATCTCCTGCACCAGTGTATTCGGTATGATTTAAATGGAGTCCTTCATAAATTTAAGATGTCAAGTTCTCTTGATTTCATACTTCTTTCAGAGCTCATTCTTCGAACTGTTGTACATATGTAGGCATTTATTTGAGTATTTGTCTAAGAGTGGAATTGCTAGATTGTAGAGTATGCATATCAACAACTTTATTTATTTATTTACTTACTTACTTACTAAAGATAGGGTCTTATTCTGTCACCCAGACTGGAGTGCAGTGGCATGACCACGGCTCACTGCAGCCTCAATCTCTTGGGCTCAAGCCATCCTCCTGCCTCAGTCTTCTGAGTAGCTGCAACTACAGGTGTGCACCAGCACACCCAGCTAATTTTTTTATTTTTAGTAGAGACAAAGTCTCACTATATTGCCCAGGCTGGTTTCAAACGCCTAGGCTCAAGCGATTCTCCTGCCTCAGTTTCCCAAAGGGCTGAGATTACAGGTGTGAGCCACTGCACTTGGCCTCAACAACTTTATTACACAATGCCAAAATGTTTTCAAAAGGGATTATAACAGTTGACACTCTTGCTAGCTTTGTGTAAGAGTTCTCATTGCTGCACGTCGTTATAAATAGTTGATGTTTTTAGGCTAAAAGGTTTGCCAATCTGATGAGTATGAAATGATATTTATTGTGCTTTTATTCACATTTCTGCAATTACTGATTCTCTCTACATGTAGGATTTCTTTATATATTCTGGATAGTAGTCCTTTGACAATTATACGTGTTGAAAAAAATTCTTCCACTCTGTGGCTTGTCTTTCCACTTTCTCCATGATGTCTTTTGATGAACAGAAGGTTTTAATTACACTGTAGTCAGATTTGTCAACATTTTCCTTTATGGTGTGTAATTTATCTATTTTGTTAAAAAATCCTTTTCATCCATTCGTTATCATCTTGCAAAACTTAATATGTTTTTCTTTTGCACGAGGTCTTTAATCATGTGGAATTTATTTTTGTGCATGATATGAGTGGGGATCAAATTGCATAGGTTTTTGGCATATTAATAATTATCTTAGCACTACTTATTAAAAGTCGATAGCACTATTTATTGATTTGCAGTTCCTCCTTTGTCATATGTCAGATTTGGTGTGTGTGTGTGTGTGTGTGTGTGTGGTTATCAAGTTAAAGAAGTCCTACTTGATTCCTGGTTTGCTAAGAGTTTTTAATGATAAATATAAAATTTTATAAATTATTCTGCATTTATTCATCCAATTATATTATTTTTTCCTCCATTCATTTGTTAATGTGCTGAGTTGTTTTACTTTCTTTCCAACTATTAAATCAGTCTTGCATTCCTAGGATAAATCAAATTTGGTTATGATATACATTAAATGTTTTGCTGGATTTGATTTGCTAATTGTTTAGTATTTTTAAAATTTATGATATTCCTATATTATCCTTTTAATGCATGCACTGTAGTGATGACTTCTCTTTCATTCTTGATATTAGAATTTGTGTCTTCTACCTCTTTTTTATCTATTCAAAGAAGCAGCTTTTTGTTTCATTTATTTTTCTCTGCTGTTTTTATTTTCTATTTCATTGATTTCTGTTCTTATTTTATTCCCTCTTTATGCTTTCTTTTGGTTTAATTTTTTTTCTTGGTTCTTAAGATGTGAGCCTTAGATCATTGATATGAAAGCTTTCTTCTTTCCTAATATAAGTAATGCTATGAATTGCTAAGTACTGCTTTATGTGCCTCCCACATATCTCAATATTTTATGTTTTCATTTGTAGTAAATTCAAAATACTTTCCAAATTTCCTTGTGTTTTCTTCTTTGAACTATGGGTTATTTAGAAATGTATTGTTTACTTTCCAGATATTTGGGGGAATCCTCAGATATCTTACTTTTCTGTTATGGAAAGAGAGCATACTTTGCATGTTCCAATCATTTCTAATTTATTGAGACTTGTCTTATGGCCTGTAATATGGTCTATCTTCATTAATGTTCCATGAGTGCATGTGTGAAATGTATTCTGCTGTTGTTGGCTAGTATGTTCTAAAAATGTAATTTAGATTAAACTGGCTGATAGTATTATTAAAGCCTTCTATATCACTGTTGATTTTTAAAATATAGTAAGTCCTCCCTTAACATCATTAATAGGTTCTTAAAACTGTGACTTTAGGTGAAACAATACATAACAAAACCAACTTTTTTCTCATCAATGTTATAATACAACGACATTGAATGATGCTATTCTAGGACCTGCTGTATGTCATTTCGCTTACAGTCTGTTTCCAAGAATCTATCAATGACATTAAGTGAGGACTTACTATATGTGTACTCAATGAATGAGATACAGTGTTTTCTGTGTATAAAAACAGACTTGTCTATTTTTCCTCTTGGATTTATCAGTTTTTGCTTCTTGATGTATTTTGAGGACTTGACTTTTTTTTTTTTTTTTTTTGAGACAGAGTCTCACTCTGTCGTCAGGCTGGAGTGCAGTGGTGTGATCTCAGCTCACTGCAACCTCCAACTCCAGGGTTCAAGTGATTCGCCTGCCTCAGCCTCCGGGGTAGCTGGGATTACAGGCACGCGCCACCACACCAAGCTAGTTTTTGTATTTTTTTTAGTAGAGACGGGGTTTCAGCATGTTGGCCAGCATGGTCTTGATTTCCTAACCTCGTGATCCACCCACCTCGGCCCCCCAAAGTGCTGGGATTACAGGCGGGAGCCACTGCTCCTGGCCGTCTTGACCTTCTTAAACTTTATTCGATGTTCGTCTTTATCCTTGGTAATATTCCCTGTTAGAATGCCATTTTTTTCCCCCTTGATATTGATATAGTCACTCTTACGTTCTTTTCCTTAGTGTTTGCATGATATATCTTTTCCCATATTTTTACTTTTAATTTATGTCTCTGTCTTTTAATATATTTGTATATCTTTTCCACTAGATCCTTTAACTTATTAATTATAATTATTTTAAATTCCTTGTTGGATGGTTTCAACACCCGATTCATCTCTGGGTCTGGCTCTGATGACTTCTTAACTCCTTCAATGGTTTATATTCTTTATTGCTTTTTCCTGTCTTTTAATTTTTTAATTGAATGATGGACATTATACATACAAGACCATTGGAGACTGAGATAAATATTATTTATGCCTAGAAATGGGAGTTCTTTTCTTCTGCTAGATCATTAGGATGGAGGATTGAGTCAATCTAGTCAGCAGTTGAACTGGGTTTGTTTTTTATGGTTATTATCATTACCCTCAGCTCACCACTAACCTCAACTTTCTTTATGGGCATGCTCCGGCTACCCTGTGCTAAGTGTGAAGCGTGGAGGGCTGTATGCCTGCAGCCTGGAAGGCTTAACTATCTGTGCTCTTGCTCTTCCCCCAACAGTCAGTTGCTGATGTTTCTTAGTGAAAGGCATGGGATGGAGTTTGAGATTCTCTTGCTCTGTCCCCAATCTTAGGCAGTCCTACACTCATCAGTTAAGAATTTGAATTTTTCAGTTTTCTTCTTACTCACTTTTATGGCTTAACTTCTTTCTCCTGCACTCTGCAAAAGGAGAAACAATTTAAGTATCATATCTTACCTTGGAGGGGCTTACCACTCTTTGGAATTCATTTCACATCCTGGCATCAACTCTTCTGCCTCAGAGTATGTGAGAGGGTAATGAGTATTTTTTCCAGTGGCTCTGTACCAATTTCTTTAGTAAGCTGAGAAGAAAAGTTTCTAGCTTTATCTATTTGAGTAAGTCCAGCTTATCTTCCCTGTCATTAAGGTGATAAACATGAAGGATCTTGGTACCTAATTTTATTTCTTGGTTTTGATAATGACTTTTAAAAATTACCTGCTCTGGTCTGCTTGCATACCAGTCAAGTTTGAAAAAATAATGAATTAATCTTATCTAACAATGATTTTATGCCTTTGGAATGTCTACTTCAACATTAAATAGATCAACATTTCAGAAGAACTCTTTATTTTGTTTTATTGGCCCAGAATGTTACACGAAGAGGCTTGCTTTTGGTTGAATTTATGCAAATTGTTTAAAATATGAGGATTGCTACTTTGTTTTTCCTTGTGTTTCAGGTATTGGTGGTAATTTGGTGGCCATTCAGGCTAGCAGGATTTCTACCTACCTCCATTTACATAGCATTCCAGGAGAATTGCCTGATGAACCCAAAGGTTGTTACTACCCATTTAGAACTTTCTTTGGTCCAGGTATGTGCTTATGGATTTTTGCATATTTTAGATCAAGGGCTATTGCTCTCTAAGATTATAGGCAGGCAACATTTATTGAATATGTGTTTTGTGAAAGTTGCTCAACTTTCCGATTTCTGAGAGCTAATCCCAGTGAATGAAAAGGCATGTGTATCAAGTCTGCAGTTGCTGAGGATCTTTGTATAATGTTTCTCTTTGATGCCTCTTTCTGGGGTATCTTGCTTATTAGTTGTGAAAGAGAAACCTTATTTTGTGAAAGACAAAAAAAATAATTGCCAGGTGATTTCGGGAGGCAGATGTACTATCTTATCTATATTATTATTTTGGCCTTTCTAAATGTAGGCATTTGATCTCAAACAAACCAGTTGAGAAGGGATAAACTCGATTTCAAGGAACAGTGCATTATTTATGTGGCTATGAAAAAACAAAGGCACATGATTACCAAAAAACTAAGACCACAATTTTAAACTTCACAATTCTTGTCATTTTTTTTCCCTGATGAAAATAAGTATGATTATTGACTTTTGTTTTAGAAAATTTTTTGTTGTTGTTGAGACAGGGCTTTGCTCTGTTGCACAGGCTGGAGAATAGTGGTACCATCACAGCTCACTGCACCTCAAACTCCTGGGCTCAGGTGATCCTCCCACATCAGCCTTCTGAGTAGCTGGGACTACAGGCACGAGCCACTTTGCTTGGCTAATTTTTTTTTATCTTTATTTTTTGTAGAGATGAGGTCTCACTGTGTTGCCCAGGCTGGTCTTGAACTCCTGGCCTCAAGCAGTCCTCCCACCTTGGCCTCCTAAAGCTCTGGGATTACAGGTGTGAGCCACTGTGCGTGGCCATTATTGACCTTTGAATGAAGATCAGAATGGCTACCCTTTTAATACCAGTGATAGAATTCTAAAGAAATTAATAAAATTAAAACATTCTTGTACTGTAAGAACTTTATATTTTCTCTGTTTTTATGATAGATATTAAAGTGTGACCGATGTTCTTCATAGCAAGTTTTTATCAACCACCTTTCATTTAATTAACATATATAGTGGAAATTTCAGAGAATGAAATGAATTGTAACTACTTGAAATTTATTTTTGGCAATCAAATTTCATGTGATAGTATGAAGTATAGTAACTAGAAAGTAATCCTCAAATTTTAATAACTATGACCTATTATTAACCAAAATATAATTTTGTTTTAATTACTTTTACATTTTATATTACAGGAGTAAATAATAAGTCTGCTCAAGTTCTACTGCTTTTAGTGATTCCTGGACATTTAATTTTCCTCTACACTATTCATTTGATGAAAAGTGGTCATACTTCTTTAACTATAATCTTCATAGTAGTGTATTTATTTGGCGCTGTGTTACAGGTAAGAGTTAAAACTTCTTGAAATCTCTTTTATGCTGAGACTGCTGTAAAAGTACAACTGTGGAAATATAAAAACACATGACACATTTTACCATTTCAAAAATCAACTGAACATCTTCATATTGATTTGATCTTCTTAAAACCAATAAACAATTTTGTGTTAGTCATCAATATTTATATTATTAGGTTCATGTAAACATTGTTTATTATAGAGTCAGATAATTTCACTATGGCTATATTTACTTTTCTTATATTTTCTTTCCCATGGAGCTAATAATCATATCTCTTTGCATTTGCATCATTTTCCATAAACCCATCTTTAATTTTTACCAATGGTTCTAGTTTTATTTTGGCTTCCTGGGCATGGCTTCTTGCTAAACTTTGTAGATTTGGTACCTTCTTCAGTGCGATAAGTCCTAATCCCTTAAGAGATGGATTCAAATAGTTCTTTGAAGAGATAACATTTATCATTTGGCTTTCAAGGAGTTTGGCGTGTAGGAAGGAGGCTAGAAGGTAGGTATGTAGACATTATTACACTCAAAAGAAACTACATTGATGATAATGATGGTAATGAAATTAGTTGGCATGTATAGTGTTTCCTATATGCTCAGAAGCATTATAAGTGCTTTATATGTATTGATTCATTTAATTCTCACAAAATGCTATGATATTTGTTCTTTTGATATAAATCAGCGATTTTCAAAGTGGGATACATACAAAGCAATGCATCGTGTGGAGGAAGAAAAGATTAAAACTTCATTTGTTTAAAATATCTGTTTTCTTCTATTTTTGTGTTTGCTTAGTAATAAATATATTTTAGCACAATGTTAAATAAGTATACCAAATATTTTATACTGAGAGAGCTGCATAATCTAAAGCTTTTTGGAGATTACTGAGTTAAAACATAGAGGTGAGAAAGCACAGGGCTTGTGCAAGATAAAATAATTCATATATAGGATCTAACAGACAAGATAAGGTTAAGAAGGTTGATTAGGGCTGGTATAGAAAAGGCCTTAAATGCAAGGGAAATTAGAATCTATCCTTAAAATAACAAAACCCTTACAACTTGACATTTTTAACTTGTCTATTATGCTTTATAGTGCCTTAGATTTTACTAAAAGTCACCTATCGAATAATTAATTAATTTATTCATCCAGTAAACCTTCATGCTACTAGATGGAGGGATGGCTTTTAAATCCCAGGAGGAATAAGTTCAGACTCTGTGCTCAAGGTCTCGTAGTCTAGAGGGAAGGCCACTATACGAAAAAATAATTATAATGTACTATAATGTAAGTACTGAGTTTAGCTATATATGAAGTGCTTTCAGAGTTTGAAAGGAAAAGGAAGTACCTCTACCTGGGGAGTAATATTTTTCTATAGTTCAGTAGGGACAAAACTTATAGCAAATTGCTACTTTTATTGCTGTATATTATATGGTCATTTATTGTCATATATGTTTGATGCTGTTCTCTGTGTAACTATTGTGAAAAAGATGCATTCTTCAATCCCAGGGGAAATATTCAGAGACTAGTGTTTGGTTTGCTGATAAACAAGCCATTGCTGGAGCATATTCCTATTTGCAACTCTACCTCTTAGCCTCATGGATTATTTGACATTTATGTTTATGGTTCTGTGCCATTATACTATCATGCAGCATTTCACTTAAGTCAATGAAGGATATAAGTAATTTTTCTAGTTTATTAAAAATAGATTTCAACATATATCCACTGTGTACCTACATGCCTTTTAAACCTCTGATCTAAAGTCTCACCAGTGAAAGCTGAATAACTAGAATGGAGAAAAGAGTAATTATTAGTCTCTCTGTGTCTCAGTTACCCCCTCTGTAAAATGGGAGAGGTTGTACTATCTACCAGACAGGCTGCTTTGAGGATTAAATGAATTATTTATATAAAGTGTGTTTATAGCAGATGCTATATAAGTGTTAGCTGACGCTATTGTTGTTGTTATTAAAGATAGTATTATAAATGGTGTGTCATTGATTTCAGAAGGACAGCTGGAAACTATACTGTTGATTGAATTTTCTTATGTGTCTTTTATAACTTTAATTTTTATGGGCTTTGCTTTTCATTTTTCCCCCAAGAATCAGATATCTGCCAGAGTAGACCTTTGCATTTGCAGCCTGACATTGTGCATTATTCTAATGGAATAGCTTAGGATAGGTTGTAAATTCTTAGATCAAATCTTCATGTTCTGACACTAGCATACACATAAGCACATGCACACACACACCTCTTTAAGGTTTAGGTAAAAGATCTTGACCTTCCCCACCTGGCTTCAGTCAATCCAAAGATGAACAGAATGAAGAAATAACTCCTTAAAGACAAAGAATCTTTCACCACTTAAAACTTACCTTTTAATATTCTTTACTAGATTGTCTTCCTTTTTTGATCTAGGTTAAATTTATATTCAAAACCTTGGTCCAAGCTCTTATTCAAATATTTTAGTTCATACCACTCTTCTCATCCCTAAACTCTCTAATTTGATTGGATATTCTATAGTGCAGTTTTCCAATGCATGCTGAATTTCTCCCCATCTACATTCCTACCTTCTTGAGGGTTGAGACCATGCCTTTCCCTTTGGTATTCCCCACAGGACATGATATAGTGGCTGGTTTTATAAATTATTGTTGTTTTACACACTTCACAGACTAATACTCTTTGAGGAGCTTCCCTGCTAATTCCCCAACCCACTAAATGAAGGAAATCTATTTGAAGGAACCTTCATATTGCACTTATTATAATGACATAGTAACAATCATTTGCAGCACTTTTGCATTTACTCAGATGTCATCTCTTCCTGGAAGCCTTTCTTGAATATCTGATTTCCTCTGAATTGCCTTATTCTCTATTTCCCAAAGTACCCTGTGAATACCATTATCTTAGCATTTTCCATATTATATCGACATTATCTATAATATTTATTGTGTCTGTCTCATCCATTCTAGAAATAGGATCTTTGTTTACTCATTTTTTGTATCTCCAGCACCCAGCCCTGTCCCTAGTGCTCAATTAATGCTTGTTAAAACTGAATGACTGTATCTTGCCAGCTCCATCTCCTTCAGTGGAAGGAGGAGAAAATTTTATAACTGTATTTAGGTACAAGAAATCACAGAAGAACTAAAAAAAAAAACCTAGATTTTTTATTCTCCTTGTCTTCAATAAACACCAGTTTCCTCACTGACATAGGTATCCAAAATAAAAACAATTAAAAATGAAACACAGAACCCCACAACTTCTAACAGTGATCAGTTAAAATTGTAAGGTTTTACTGAAATGTTTAGAGATGAAATAACTTGATTTCTGGGGAAGTGGAAGTGGAGGGGTAAAACTGGTCATGAGTTGATAATAGATGAAACTGAGTGATGGTTCCTGAGAGTGAGTGGGGTTAATTTATACTATTCTACTTTTGTATATGTTTGAAGTTTTCCTTAATAAGGAGTTTTTAAAATAAAACTTTCAGATTTTAGATGTTAGTATAAGATTTTTTTTTCAGAGTATATCATCTCTCAATTTTGGTCTTGTAGCTGAATGGGTATTTCTTACTTCAAATGAAAAGTAAAAAGCCAACTTAAATTTGAAATTCTTTGGCATTGGAATGGCTGAGTTAGTTTCTTATTTTGCCCTTAGCCATTTTTTGAAATTATTTTTTAAATTTAAGAAAAACTACTTACATGTGACAAATTACATTGTTTGGTGGTATTTGTTATGTGTCTTGCAATTAGAAGGAAGCTATCAAATGTGGTTTTGTTATGTGATGTTTAGGCCACTGGACCACAGTCAGAAGATGTGATGGATTATACTCTATTCATGTTCTTGCCCAGTCCCCAAGAGCAATCAGAGTAGCTAGACCATATCAAGACCAGAGTAATGTGCTAAGAGACATTCCTATTTGACATACCACCAATCACATTGCTTTTTGAGTTTATTTTTCTTCAACAGTAAGGATGAGTTGGTATCTAGCTAACCATCTTGATCCGTTATACCTTTTATACCATCAGTCAGCATTTATGAGACTACCAGGTGTGCTTAAGGCACAATTGTTTGTTTTAGAATATAATTTTTTTATTTATGTTAAACTAGCACATTGAACCCACAGCTTTGATTTCATAGAAGCAGAGTATACTTTCCTCCACAAACTTAGACATGTTTCTTGGGTTCTTTCTCTCTAAGCAGTGATTCTCCCAGCCTTCACATCTACTTACTCGGATGCTCCATTGACTGCTCAAAGCCTGTTAACTTATGAACTCAAAAGCATAATATGGGATTCCAAGTTTGGATGGGCATTGCTGGCCTTCCTTTTAAGATGTAACGAAGGGAATCTTACTGTCATCTTCAGGGTTTTCTGTTTGTTTGCCTTACGCCCTACGGTATTCTTCAAAGGCTAGTCCCTTGACAGCATAATAAACCTGAGAAGGTACAAAGAAAACTATCAGTTAAATAAGCATACTGACAATCTATTGAGCAAAGAAGGAACAGCAGTACATCTTTGTTTCCCTATTTAATTTAAGGCTTCTACTAGTTGTTCCCCTTTGTATTAGAAATCCTAAATATATATCCTCTATGAAAAAACAAAAACATAAACATGTCATCTGTTGGATGACACATCCTATAAGAGGCAAAAAGATTGCCCCTAGAAAAACTGAAAGCAGAGGCCGGGCGCAGTGGCTTACGCCTGTAACCCCAGCACTTTGGGAGGCTGAGGCGGGTGGATCACGAGGTCAGGAGTTCGAGACCAGCCTGACCAACATGGTGAAACACCATCTCTACTAAAAATACAAAAAATTAGCAGGGCGTGGTGGTGCACGCCTGTAATCCCAGCTACTCAGGAGGCTGAGGCAGGAGAATCTCTTGAACCTGGGAGGCAGAGCTTGCAGTGAGCCAAGATCACACCACTGCACTCCAGCCTGGGTGACAGAGCGAGACTCCATCTCAAAAAAAAAAGAAAAAAAAAAGAAAAACTGAAAGAGGAGAAAAAAAGACTATAATTAGATGGGTGATCACAAATGTAAATAAGTCTATTACTATTCAAATCTCATTATTCTTATCCACTATTTTACTCATTTGATTAAAAACAACAATAACCCCTTTTGTTTTACTGTTAACGGTTTTCTGTTTTATTATGATGATTATGTATATATGGAGTATATAAATATTTTTTCTGCTATAAAGTATCCCAGTGGAAAAAGAAAAATGAGACTTCTCTAGCCTTTAAATTCAATAGCCCTATTCTATTGAATTCCAACAAGGTATTTGTTAATATTATTAGTAACAATGAATTTAAACTATTTCTAAATGAAATGTTGAATTTTCTATTTTAGGCAATTATTGTTTCTTACAGAAAATTAGATTATTAAGAACTCTACTAAAATTCTAACAGCACCAAATTCCATGGGAAATTTATTTTGAAAGCTTAGTTGTAGAAAAACTTTGCCTTTGGCTATGTCTGTTTTCACATGGGAGAAACAAAATGTTTCCTTTAAAGGGTAGAATGGCAACAAATTCTCAATACATAAAGTTGAGAATTGTAAATATCAGGATTTTGTCAAGTATATAGTACATATAGTGTGCCAACTACTGTGGTAGTCACTGTACAAAAGAAATAAAAGGTATTGTCCCTGCCCTTAAGAATCTTCTCTTAGCTGTAGATTAGATTGAAATGCATGAAACAGCCAGAGAAGAACCCAAGACTTACTTCCTTATAACAATACAGTCTTTTTCCTCTGTAACTTCAGAATAAATTAAATTTTGTGCCTATGCCTAACTTTCACTCTTTGAAAGTGCTTTAATAGATTCTTTTTGGAGGAAGGAGATCAGACAATATAAGTTTTAACCACTGAGAAATTCAGTATCAACAAATATGAAACTGCTTTTAGCAAAATAGTAATGTTTATACTTTTTATTAATATAATTTTAAAAACAAAAGTCTAGTTAGTTTTTGCTATTACTTTCACTAGGCAATACTTGTTTTTGAATTTTATGCATACATGCAAATTGCACCATCTCATATTTTCCAACAGACTCATATTCTCAAGAAAAAAACTTGTTCTCAGCAAAGCCCAAGCCCAGATAAATGCCCCTCATGACAAAACTTATAACCAGTATATTAACTAATAAACTTCCTAATAAGTATTTCTGTTTTATAAATAACCAGAGCTCCTGGTTGTTGAACATGTGTTTGTAATGTGAATATACCTACGACACTAACAGTGCAGACTAAGAGCAAAAATGTTCCATTTCTCATCCAGTAGAACATGCTTGGAGCAGAAATACAGCCAGTGACCTCTACATACTTACCAAAAGGAGCATTGACAGTATCTTCATTCTGAAGTCATGTTCACATGATTCAGTGTTATTATCTTAACTACAAAGACATAAAAATAAATTTTTCCACAAAAGAAAAATGCAAGCCAGACTGTCTGTCATCCAGACATCACATACGAAGGGCAAAAGATAGGCCCCCAGTAAGCAGAGCATTGTAGAAATATCAGTCTTCAGAGTCACTCTTGAGTCTGAATTTCTTCTTTGCTACTTATTTTGTATCCATAGTCAGGTTTATTAACCTCTTGTAACCTTATTTTTCCCCTACATCAGAGGTTAGAAATGAGGGCTAAGAAAATATATATAAAGTACTTGCTAGAGTGCCTAGAACATAGTGAGTTTCCAATAATGGTAGTAGCTGCAGTTTATCATGCTTATTGTCACGGGCCTCATTTTTTTCTTTCCCTCAGTGTTAGAGCTGGTTATTCAATACCCTGAGCCCCTTTTCATCTCCTTACCACTCACCTTCCTTTTGGCCCCTGTTCTTTACTGCAGAACTCTTCTTATTTATTCTCTGATGACTGCCCTAAGCTTCACATACCACGCTTTCATTGCTTACTTCCAGACTGATATCTCCAGTCTGGACTCCTGTTCTACATCTCCAGTTAAATGTTGAAGAGACATCTCACACTCAACACATCCCAAAATAAATTCCTTATATCCCCCATAACCTTTCCCATTCCAGGGAGGTGTTGAGCAAGAACCCACAAGTAGGGACAATGAGAAAGGAAATAGGCCAGCCTTAGATATACAAGCAAGGATCCCCTGAATCCCTCAGCCTTTGACCCCAGAAAGTCCCTCTGGGATAAGAAGAGCTTTACTCCCATAGACTCTGTATTTCATGTGTACGGGTGCCCCAAATCCTGACCGTCATGGTCATCACCATTGTCTTAATACTGGTGAGTCCATGCAGTCTAATAGGAAGACTCCTGGACTAGGAATAAGTATTTATGGGTTCTAATTCTAGCCCCTTCTTAACTTTATGACTTTTGCTAAGTCACAACACTCTCTGTGACTTAATTTCCTCTGTGATTTAATTAACAGGGGGAGCTGTTAATAATTAAGGTGGCAAGCATAAACCATTACTAAGCTAGGCAAACTAGGAAGTATAGTGACCCTAGCTATCACTCAGATCCCATCCAGCATTCATGATGTATGATTTTACGAGTTGCCATTCCTACAGTACAGATGATGTGTTACAAAACCATTGTCGTACATAACTAGTAAAATATATGTTAATACTAAAACAATCTGGCAATTAAAATAGTCTATTAATATTAAAATCATCTGTTGTTACTCCTAGAGTAATATTAAGTTAAACTGGCTTGTATGGATTAGCCAGAAAACCCAGGCAATACAGAAAACCTTGTTTTCCTGAAAACAATTGTATTCCAAGTCTAAATAGCTAATTTTAAATTCATCTATTAGACACTATCAATTTTTAAATTTGTTTGACCTAAAACAATCTCCTTCAGGTTTCCAGATGGACTCCTTGGTTCTACTGTCTCTGTACTTTACCTAGAAAGTGTATATTCACCTATCTCTGCCATCATTTGATTTATTATTTTATAGTGTTCAGTTATATCTTCTCTTGATCTGTAACTTTTCAGAGGAAAATGGTACTGCTTCATTTATATATAAGCCATTTTATATGCTTCACCTAAATTGTTTCTTCTGAAAGTTTTTGATCTCTAACAGTTCCCCTCTTGGAACTGGAGCCACTTTTCCAATCTACATATGAGTTTCAAAAATAATAATGGCAAATATTTGTATAGTATTTATCATGAGCCATACAATGTTCTAGGCACTTTATGTATATGAACTGATTGAGTCCTCACAACAGCCCAGTAAGGAAGGTTCTGTTATCATTTCCTATTCACAGATGAGGCAGTTGGCATAGAAGTTAAGTGATTTGTCCAAGTCCACACAGCAAGATGGAGACTGGCTCCAGTCTACATTCCTAACCACTGTGTTTTATAAGAATAAGTTTGGGGCTGGGTGTGGGACTCACACCTCTAATCCCAGCATTTTGGGAGGCCAAGGCGGATGGATCACCTGAACTCAGGAGTTTGAGACCAGCCTGGCCAACATGGTGAAACCCCATCTCTACTAAAAATACAAAATTAGCTGGGCATGGTGGCTTGTGCCTGTAATCTCAGCTACTGTGGAGGCTGAAGCAGGAGAATCACTTAGAACCCAGGAGGCGGAGGTTGCAGTGAGCTGAGATCATGCCACTGCACTCCAGCCTGGGCAACAGAGCAAGACTCTGTCTCAAAAAAAAAATGATGCTTTGTTTTGCTCTTAGTGAGGATCATAGTTTTTAGGATGGCAACTTCTAAAGATTTACAGCTGCCTCTTCTCTGTGGTTTCATTAGATCTTCAACTTCTTCCAGCCAGGCATATTGCCCCAGAAGGATATTCATTCCACAGGATCCATACCGAATCAATGCCTACTGAAGTCAAGTAGGAATCCATTCCAAGCACATAAATATCTCCTGAATGTTCTGAGAGAAGGACAAACTGCTATGGAAGTTCAATAGTGGGAGAGGTTTTTCTATGTGGGGAGGAAGTTTTATAGTGGATAACAATTTGCTTTGTTGGAATCCATAGAAAATGCCGTTTCAGCTAAAAGGAGTAGCATTAGGCAAATGAGAAAAACTCAGGGTATTTATGGAAAACAGCCAGAAATTTCCTGGAGTTAAAAGGAGTGATGAAAAATAAGGTTAGAAATTATAGGTTGTAGCAAGATCATCAAGGAGCTTAAAGAACAGATGATAAAGAGTTTAGTTTATTCTATAGAGTGGTGATTTTCAACTATTTTCCACTCCCAACAAACTTGAGAGATCTGACACATTCCTCTGATGCAGTGTGAGATAATTTATAGGGCTTGGGCTCTGGCTTCCACCATCAAATACCTGCATCAGCTAGGCAGTCACTGCTCAGGCACTGTTTCCCACCTGTATAAAGGGGCTAAGACTAGACCAACCTTGTGGGTTGTTATAAGGATGAAATGATGCATTTAAGGTGCTATTATTTTCATCATTATTGTCTTATTTTTTAATATCAACATCATCATCATCAATAGCTATGGATTACTGGGACAGTGACTCTCTTAGGGTGGCAGTGGAGCAATCAGAACCTATGAAACCAGCATTAAGAGTCTCTACCTTGATTCTGATACCTTACTCCATTCCTTGGAGTCACTTTTCTAGATAAGGAAGAATGTAGCCATATGGTAACAACATGACTATAATTGGAATCCCAGGATAACTACCCAGTAGCTGAGCAAGTTAATTAGCTTGGCCTCAGGCAAGTTACTTTATTCCTTGGAGTCTTATTTTCTTTGCATATAAAATGATAAGGCTTCCTTTTTGCACAGCAGTTATAATATTTAAATACTTGACACATAGTAGGCCCTCATTAAATGATGTAGTTATGTCTTTTTTTTTTTTTAAATCATGATGCTAACTCAAACCCTGTTCCCAGATGGCATCTCAAAGGAAAAACCTAAGCAACCAGGAGATTTAAACAGGTTACTTAATCTTCATATTTCTTCTCACTCCTCAGGATTTAATTCTACCAGATTCTAACTGAAAGTAGGAGCTCTTTATTTTGTCTATGTGACTGTTCTGCCTCTGTCTCTTAATTGGTTTCTCTGTCTGTCAGCTTGGGTTGAAGGAGAAGTATAAAGAGAATGATAAAGGAGATATGAAGGGAGGGCCTATAGTTCCTAGAATTTTTTTTCTAGCTGTAAAAACAGCTCCTTTAACTTTTGGAGTTGATCAATATGCTTACCTTAAGATAGGAAGTTAAAGCAGGTGAATTTTTGAGATTATTTTTTAACAGCCTCGTGATTGCATTTTTGTTATGTGTGATTATGCTATTATAGCTTAGGTTGTAAGGTCTCAAATTGAGACACCTTTCTAAATCCATATTTATGGTTAATTCTTTAGATAGGTATGCTTGGGCTCCAGGCCAGTGATGCACAGAAGATGAAATGACTGTCTGCTTTATTGGAGGCACAGCATGCTTGATTCCTGTGAGGTGAGGCATTGGGAAAGAGCTCTTTTCGGTCTTGTAAAGCCTGATAAAGGTGAAGGTAGAACCAGGGAAGCTCAACCATCTTTTCTCAAGTATTCTGCTTAGGACATTGCTTCCTGTGCTCTGAATCCTGCTGACATTGCAGATATGATTTAGAGGAATTTTCACATCATCTACAAAAAAAATCTTATAACTGAGTGAAACCACATAATTGAAAAGTGTAAAAATAATTACTCAGGAAATTTGCCAGAATAAAATCTAGGTTGATTTGTGACCCTAGAATATTCACCCCCCACAAAAAAAAAACAACAAAACACTGACCTGAATGATTCTATAATTGAAAATGTTTAGCTATTTTTAAGAATAGATATTAGCACAATACCACTTTTTAATTTGAAAGCTAAACATTTGTATTAGTTCAGTGTAACAAAGGTAATTAAATTATATTTTTGTACTATCTAGGGAAATGTATTAAAGCAAAAAGTTTCCAAAGATTTTTGCATTTATTAAAAGGGAAGCTTAAAGGGTATCAAAGGATGGTGAGACCGTCACTCAGTAACTGAAATAAAAAGACAAAGCTGAATTTTTACTTACTATTGTAATGGAGTTATACTGGGATCAGGCACAAGCAGAGCCAACTATTGATCTTCTGTAGGGTTTTAGAGAAGCATGGCTTCAGGAACTGGCAAATGTTCAAAAGCATATTTGGACTAATGTCATCTGTAGAAGTATGATTACTTGGGTATGACCATTGTTTGGTTGGCCCCTAGGGATACATTTAATGGAATTGATTAGTTCCTAATTGGCTACTTCAGGAACAAGGACTATCATTGATTGGCTAGCTTCTAAAGCATGTTCAATGAGGCAAGTTTATTGATTGAATGAATTTAAAACCAGTTGTGGTGGCTACTCGTTACTGTGGCTAAAGAACAATCAGTCTTTTCCAATGAGTGTAGAAACTTATTTATTCTTAGTTCTCACTTTTGCTCTTCACTCAGGAGAAATAATTAAGAATTATCCAGACATTCAACTCTGTTGTTGATTCTCCCTAAAGATGAGATTTCAGTGTAGAGAACTCTTTTCAGTTTAAGTGTCAATCAGCATGATTTCATATTCTTTTTATCTTTGAATCATTTGTTGAACCATCTGCTGGGACAATAGCTGTGCAAAAGCATTTGAGACCGGACAATAAGCATTAAGTGACTGTAAGACAAACAAGAATAACAAGAAATATTTTAAGAAGGGACAAGAAGGCACTTCAGTACCAAGACATAAGATTTTTGAGGCCTGACCAAGAAAACAAGTCTGTATGTTTCTCTAGGTAGCTTGACTGCCTTTTTTTTTTCTTTTTAGCTTAGATATAAGTTGCTTCATTTCATCTGTAATGTTAGTTCAGGTATAGCGTGAAGTGTTAGCAATGGTTTAGGTTGGCCAAGAGAAAATACAACACCATTGTATTATCTATAGCTATAACAGTTAACTATAACTATTTGAGTTAAGGAAATTAAATTGTTCCCCCAGGGCTTGGACTGTGTTATTTACTGTATCAGCCAAAGTGAGAGGTAAATCTTCATGGACAATTTTGAATTGTCAGTTCAAATTGTCCAATTGACTGTCCTGTTGATGGGGTTGATATTTTTAGGCATTTGTTCCACTAGTTATTGTTTTCCCAGAAAGGACTCTAATGAGACATAATCCATCCAAGGGTACTGGGGAGTCATATCCTTGAATTGGCTTAATAACTCTGCATAACAATTAATCTTTTCCTGGATTGGCATTAAAGAAACTAATTCCTACATAGGAAGAAAGAGCCAGGAATTGTACAAGAGAGATAATCCGTAAAGACAGGAATGGAAAGGAGAGTGTGACATAGAAAAAGTTTGTTCTAATGGTCATGGGTGGAATCTGTCTGCTTTGTGTAGTCAACTCTTTGTTCTGAGAATCTTGGGTTAATAGTCAATTCCCATGGATCATCTGCTTCTGAAGGTATGCTGAAGAACCTCAGTTTATGTTCTCTGATGAGTTGTTACTTTTTAGCTCTGCCAAAGTCTCTTTCATTTTTCCAGAGGATAGCAGAGGATGTGGCCAGTTCAGGCTCATGCAGGGATTCTGTTTTATTCATCACTGAAGTTTCAGCACCCAACCCTCTGCCTGGCACAGTAAATATTTATAAAATGAATATTGTTTTTTATTATTTGTGAATTATTTTAGGCATTTCAGTTATGTTTCTTCATTTCGATTCTGATATCCCATTGAAAGCAATAACTATGTCTTATTCTTTGAATGCTTCAGGAATCTCATCACACTGTTTTCTATGTTAGATATAAATAAGTATTCATTAAATTAGATATATTGAGTGTATTTTGTATGGGTAATAGGGAAGCACCTGACAAGGTTCTCTATCTGAAAGAGGTAACATATCAGTTGGAGAGATTAAACATACACCCATAAACAATTTGAAGGTATATTTTTTAAATGTAAAATTACATTCTCAACAAGTGTAATAAAATATTCTATGAACAACTACAGTGATATGTTGCTTAACAATGGGGATACAATATCTAAACTTAGAAACAGTGCAGTAAAAATATGGTATTATAATCTTACAGAACCACCATCATCTATGTGGTCCATTGTTAACAGAAATGTCATTATTTGGAGCATGACTGTGGGTATTTTAACATCATGGCCAGTTTAGAATGTTAAACTTTACGTTTGGCAGGTCATGGTGGCTCATGCCTGTAATCCCAACATTTTTGGAGACTGAGGTGGGAGAATCGCCTGAGGCTTGGAGTTTAAGACATTTTATTTTTAAGACATGGGGAGACCCAGTCTCTACAGAGAGAGAGAGAGAGAAAGAGATTTTAATTTTATGATCGAAAGTAAATAGGCTGAGTGTGGTGGCTCATGCCTGTAATCTCAGCATTTTAGGAGGCTGAGGCAGACAGATTGCTTGAGTTCAGGAGTTCAAGACCACCCTGGTCAACATAGTGATACCCCATCTCTTAAAAATGAAAATGAAAAGAAAAGAAAGTAAAGCTTCATAGTGAAGTACTATTATACTATATACATCAGGGATAATGAATGATCTACAACTCTATACAACAATATAGTAAATCTCATGAACATAAGGTTAATCAAAAGAAGCCAGACACAAACTACATATTGTATGATTATGTAAGTACAAAGATAGGCATAAAAGGTTTTTTAAAAGTAAATGAAGTTTGATAACTAACTTCTGCCAGCATAAGAACTAATATAATGTAGGAAATAGCTTGTGCCTTCTAATTTGAAAACTAATGGGTAGGTGATCAGGCTCATTTTTTCCCCCATTTGACAAGCCCTTGTTTTTAAATACTTTATTTAGAAGGAGAATATGAAGAAATATTAAGTGTTTGTTAACTGCTAGACAATATGTATTTTATTTACATTATCTCATTAATCCTTTCGGTGGTCCTCTGAGATGTATATCATCTCCCCTACTTTCCAAGTGAAAAATCTGAGAAAACTGAAAACTTAAAAAATTTGCCCAAAGTAATATACAGCCAGCCCTCCACATCCATGAGTTCCACATACGTGTATTCAACTAACCTTGGATCAAAAATATTCAGGAAAAAAATTCCACAGAGTTCCAAAAACCAAAACTTGAATTTGCTTCACACTACATTGAATCCTCATGAGTGAAGTGATGTGTTGGCATTATATTAGGTATTATATAAGTAATCTAAAGATGTTTTAAAGTATTCAGGAGGACATGTGTAGGTTATATGCAAATACTGTGCCATTTTATATAAGGGACTTCAGTATCCGCAGATTTTTATATCCATGGATTTTGCTATCTGCAGGAGGTCCTGAAATCAATCTCCATGGATATAGAGGGACAACTGTAGTAGTTAAGTGATAAATAAGATTTGAGCTTAGCCTTATATTACTCCAAAGCTTATGAACCAACTCCCCAGTCACAGGAGATAAGTAAAAGGATTGAGAACAATCTGGTTAATTCCATTATTTGGTAATGGGAAGTGACAGGAAGAATTCCTGTACTGTAGGGTAGAGGCCACAAACTTTTTCTGTAAAGGGCCAGACAGTAAATATTTTAGGCCTTTAGGCCATATAGTCTTTGTCGCAAGTACTCAACTCTGCCATAATAGTGCAAAAGTAGTCATAGATGATATGTAAACACATAAGCATGGCTATGTCCCAATAAAACTTTGTTTATGGATACTGAAATTTGAAATTTATATAATGTTCATATGCACAAAGTAATATTCTTCCTTTGATTTTTTAAATGTTGAAAACTAAAATTATTCCCATCTTGTGGGCCATATAGGGCTAGATTTGCCCTGCAGGCTATCATTAGGTGACCCTGGCTAAAGGCTGTTGCTTGGAGGGCTGCACACTTCTATTCAATATACAGAGATGAAATCTGCAATCTTCAAAGACAATTAAAAAGATCGACATTAAGGCATACTTGATATACAGTAAAGTATACCCATGTTGACATATGTGTACACCCATGTAATGACTACCATAATCAACATACAGAATATTACCTTCACCTCCAAAAGGTTTCCTCATGCTCCTTTGCAGTCAGTTCCCCTCCATGCCAGGCACTAGGCAACCACTGGTTTCTTCTCTGTCACTATAAATTATATTTCCCTCTTCTAGAATTTTATATATTGAATCTAAGTATGTCCTCTTTGTTTCCTCCTTTTACTCAACATAATATTTTGAAACTTATCCATATGGTTACATGTATTAGTAGTTTAATAATTTTTATTGCTGAGTAGTAGTCCATTGTATGAATAAATCACAACTGGTTTATCCATTCACCTGTGAATGAACATTTGGTTTGTTTCCAGTAGGGGCTGTTATGCATGAAGCTGCTATGAATATGCATGTACACATTTTTGTGCAGATATATTTTCATTTCTCTTGGGTAAATACCTATAGTAGAATTTCTGGGTCTTATGGAAGTAAATGTTTAACTTTATAAGAAACTGCCAAGATGTTTTCCAAAATGATTATACCATTCTGCATTCCCACTACTATGAGAGTTCTAGTTGCTCCACATCCTTGCTATCACCTAGTATTGTCAGGCTTTCTATTAATACCTTTAGCCATTGTAGTGGCTGTAAAGGTAGTATCATGGTGATCATAATTTGCATTTATCTGATGACTGATGATAGTGACTATATTTTTATGGGTTTATTAACCACTCATGTTTTCTTATGCCTATTTTTTTTTTAAATTGGGTTGACTTATGGAGTTATAAGAGTTCTTTGTATATTATGGATACTACTTTTTTGTTAGATATATGTATTGGAAATATTTTCTCACAGTCTATCAATTGTCTTTTTATTTTCATTTTTAAAAATATTGTGTATTTTTGAGGTTTACAATATGATGTTGAAACGGGAAACGTTCCTTGTCCCCCTCACAGGGCATGTGATGGGGGTATGGCTCGCTTCTTCCGTACACCACTGCTCAAACCTCTAGGGGAGCATACAGATGGGCAGGCTGTGGAGCTCCAAACCCACAGCAGTGTCTAGGGGTGATTGTTTACAGCTGAAGCACCAGTGGGCGTGTGTTACAGGGTGCTCTTTTAGTTTAGCTATCCGTAGATGGTTTATGTTAGCTCAGTTAGACTCCTGCCTTATTGCAAGGACAGACGGCTTTCTGTATACTGGGGTTCTTGCCTTGGTGTACCAGAAGAATCAGATTACCTGTGGGCTTAGAGAATGAGTGCAAGGTTTTATTGAGTGGAAGTAGCTCTCAGCAGATGGGGGAGCCAGAAGGGAGATGGTTTTCCACTGGAGCCGGCCACTCAGCAGCCTGGGCTCTCCTCCAAGTGCCCCAGCCAAACTCCACATCATTCTGCCAGTCGATGGCCTGCCAGCATGCCGGTGCCTGTCGGTGTGTTCCTCCTGACGTTCAGCCGCCCATCTGTTTCTCTGCTGATGTGCTCCTCTTGACGTCCAGTTGCTTGTGTGTCTGCTTGCTAGGGTCTCAGGGTTTTTATAGGCACAGGATGGGGCTTGGCAGGCAAGGGTGGTCTTGGGAAATGCAACATTTGGGCAGGAAAGCAAAAATGCCTGTCTTCACCTAGGTCCATGGGCACAGGCCTGGGGGTGGAGCCCTAGCCAGGGACTATGCCCTCCTCTACACAGCACTTCTTCTCCAATTCCGTCTTATTTAAAGGAACCATGCCCTTCCCAGCACTTCTGTATCATTATCCCCCTCTGAAGAGGTATATCTTACTGCCGTTAGAATATGGACGATGACCGGCCTTAGCTGTTTCCTGACGACAGGGGGCACTGTTTTGGGCAAAACAGCAGTCAGATTTCTCCCAGTCTATCTAAGTGTTCCTAGCAAAGGGGAGCCATCGTCCAAGGCTTCGGTTGCCTGACCGTTTGGAGTTTGATGGCTTCTAGGCATGAGAGAAAAAAAACAAGTTTTATAAGGTTAAGTATACATGGGTTATACGTGTGTTATACAAGGAAAGAATTTAGTGCCAAAGATTACAGAGATAAGTGAAATATACGAACAACAATATTGTACCTTGAATTGTATCACCCTGGTGAAAGAAATTAAACCTTATATGGGAGCGGATAAACTTTTAGAATGAGAGAAAACTGTTCTTGCCTTATCTTTAGCAGTTAACAGGTGCACTCTGGGAATTCTAGGGTTTGTAGGCTTGCCTGGGGGCCATTAAAGCTTCTTTCTCTTTCCTGCATTTCTCTCCCTTTGCTGGGCCTCCCTGTCTCTATTATAAAAGACCGAGGTGACTACTTTAAGGAGGTTCTCTAAAGTGCTATCTGGTCCCAGGACCTGTTTTTATAGCTTCCTCCTGATATCAGGGGCTGCCTGAATAATAAATTTATCCTTTGGGATTAGCTGTCCCTCAACTGAATCAAGAGATAAGAGAGGTGTGCTTTACGAAGGCCTCTCTTAGCCGCTCCAGGAAGGCAGTGGGATTCTCATCAAATCCCTGATCGATCATGGACAACTTAGTATAATTGCCGTCTCAGAGAAGGCTTGGTCTTAGTTCTACATATGCCCTCTATTATGCACACCTAAGGATGTCTCCTCTTCCAGTCTTCCACCTTGTCACTGGGATCCCATTTAGGGTCATACACTGGTACTGCTTCTCTTCCAATTGGATAATATTTACCCTCTTCCCTGACACTTTACATGATACAAAGCTCATCCCCAAATCTCTCTGCTACTTGCAGAACAGCCTGCTTCTCAGCGTCCATCAGGTTCTAATTCAAAAGTGACATAATGTCTCTCCAGGAGAGTTCAAATATTTGGGTGAAATTCTGGAAAGCCTCTATATATCTATCAGGGTCATCTGAAAACTTGCCAAGATCCCCCATTTGCTTTAAGTTCTGTAGGGAGAAGGGGACCTGGACCTTACTGGGCCCAAATTCACTGGGCATCTGTTGGAAAGGCAAGAGTGAGACTGGGGCTTGTTTAGAGTGATGATTTCTAGGAGGGGGTAAGGGAGAGGCTGAAGTTGGATAGAAAGGTTGGGGTGGACCCAGAGGAGCAGGGCTTGAGGGTGCTGGCTTCTCTGCTGGGGGTGCCTCTGGGACTCATGTCTTTAATTTCCTGGCCTTGCCACTTGCAGCCTTCCTGAGACAGCAAACACAGGGGCTAGGTCAATCCTACATTGTCGGCAAAGGTCGGGATTGCCTTGCAAGGTATAGAAAGCCTGCACGTATGGGACCTCAGACCATCTGTCCTCGCATCTACAGAAAAGTTCCAATTGCCATATGGTATTGAAATGAATGGTCCTTTCCTGAGGCCAAGCCAGTCCTTCCTGTAAATCATAATTTGGCCAAACCTTTGTGCAGAGAGCTATGAGGTGCTTTTCCTCCAGATTATGAGGGTCAAAGCAGTCCCAATGGTTCAGGATACACTCCAGAGGAGTATAAGCTGGCGGTGGTGAAGAGAACTGTTTGCCCATTCTGAAAGACAGGGAATAGAGGCTTCCCTCATTTCCCTTCCCTCTTTCAGCGAAAACTCAGGATGTGATGGAGAGAGAAAGCGAGCATCTTCCCTTCACTCTCTACCTCTTATCCCTGAGCCCTGGTGACCTTGGCAGGTGCTGGCCGTAGGTGCAATTGCAGTATGTACCCATGAAGCAGAGAAAACCTGGAGAATAGGAATTAAACGCTGTCACCTATGCCTCCCATTCTCCCTGTTGTTGGCAATCTTTGAGGTCCCAGGGACTGTTCATGCCATAAAGCATGGCCTCCTTCTGTGGGGTGGGTTTCAGTTGGCAGGAATTGGTCCTGCCCATTTACATTGTGCCTATTGCCTGGCTTTGAATCCCTCGCACCTGGTTTTTCTTTCTAGGGCTTCAGCCTGAAGCTTGGAATCGAGTTTGGGACTGAAAAGATATTTCAGAGGCTGTTTGTATCTGTTTAGAGTGTCTCAAATGAGCCCTGCTGAATTTGCAGTTCTCAGCCAGCAGGGGTCATTCCTCCCTTAACTTCCATATCAGAAACAGAGTTGGGAGGGGGAGCCCTCTCACATGGAAAAGGAAAAAACAGAAAAACAGTTTAAGGGGCAAAAAGGGGGAGATTCTGGGGGAAGAACCCCTTGCTTAGTGCAACTGGGTTCCTCTAATTCTTATATCTTTTTCCTGGTTCAGACTGGGTTGAATTCCTTGGCCAAAGGAGAAATGTTCCATTGACACAGCAGGCGAGAAGCGCCCTATCTGTTGACCCCGTGGGGTCCTGGCTACCACTGGTTTTCTCCTGCCCCCCTTGTGACTGTTGGGTTTGGCTTTTGCCTGCTGCAGGCATGCCCAGGTGCCTGAGCTGGGAGGGGTAAGAATAAGGAGAGGTGCCCTGAGCCACGCATGCCTGTGACTGTCGAGGTGGAGGCATACATGCACCTCTAGGAAAAAATTGGTCTGATTTGCACCTTTGGTGGCTGAGCCAAATGCTCATTTTACTTAGTAACATTGCCGCAGCCTGTAGCAAAACTCTTAATATTATAAAGAAAGAGATAAGAGCCATTTTAAACCATGTGAGAGAGAGAGAAAAAAGAGACAAAGTCTGGGGGTTTTGACTGGCCCAGTTAGGGCGGTTTAAAACTCTGTGAAGGGAAACAGAGCCTCTTACCCGCAGGAAAGAGAGAAAGGTGGTGGAGTTTCGGAAGAGAGGCAGACCCGACAGTTTCACATTCACTCACACCTTCCACAATCCTGGATGAGCCCCCAGTTGAAAAGGTAAAATTTCCCTTGTCCTCCTCTCAGGGCACGTGATGGGAGTGTAGTTTACTTCTTCAGTGCCCAGCTGCTCAAACCTCTAGGGGAGCATACAGACAGGCAGGCTGTGGGGCTCTGACCCCACAGCATTGTCTAGGGGTGAATGTTTGCAACTGAAGCCCCAGTGGGCATGTGTTACAGAGTGCTCTTTTAGTTTAGCCATCTGTAGGCAGCTTGTGCTAGCTCAATTAGACTCCTGCCTTATCGCAAGGACAGAGGGCTTTCTGTATCCTGGGTTCTTGTCTTGGTGTACTTGAAGAATCAGATTACACATGGGCTTAGAGAATGAGTGCAAGGTTTTATTGAGTGAAAGTAGCTCTCAGCAGATGGGGGAGCCAGAAGGGAGATGGTTTTCCCCTGGAGTCGGGCCGCTTGGAGGCCTGGGCTCTCCTCCAACTGCCCCAGCCAGACTCCACATCATTCTGCTGGTGGATGGCCTGCTTGCATGCTGGTGCCTGTTGGTGTGTTCCTCCTGATGTTCAGCCGCCCATATGTTCCTCCACTGATGTGCTCCTCTCGATGTCCAGCTGCCTGTGTGTCTGCCTGCTGGGGTCTCGGGGGGGTTTATAGGCACAAGATGGGGGCGTGGCAGGCCAGGGTGTTCTTGGGAAATGCAACATTTGGGCAGGGAAAAAAAAATGCCTGTCTTCACGTAGGTCCATGGGCACAGGCCCGGGGGTGGAGCCCTAGCCAAGGACCACACCCTCCTCCACACAGCACTTCCCTTCCCTTCAGCACTTCCCTTCACCTCTTCCGTATCATTTAAAGGGACCATGCCCCTCCTGGCACTTCCGTATCAATGTTATGAAATACATATAGATAGTAAAATGGTTACTATAGTGAAGTAGATTAAAATATCTGTCATCTCATGTAGTTATTTTTTTGTGTGTGACAAAAACAGCTAAAATCTACTTATTTAACAAAAATCCCTAATACAATATAATTTTATTAACTTTAGTCCTTATGCTGTATATTAGATCTTTAAATTTTGCCTTTTTATTTTCTTGACCATGTATTTTAAGAGCAGAAGTTCTAATTTGAATGAAGTTCAGTTTATCAGTTTTTGCAAATGATTAGTGCTTTTCATATCCTAAGAAATCTTTGCCTATCCCTCAGTTGTGAGGGCTTTCTGTTTTAGAGATTTTCTAGTTTTAGCTTTTATTTGAGTCTCTGACCATTTTGAATTAATTTTTGTGTATGGTATATGATAAGGCTTGAGGTTCATATTTTTCAGTATGAACATCCGGTTGTTACAGCACCATTTATTGGGAAGACTATCATTCTCCCTTGAATTATCTTAGCATCTTTGTCAAAAATCAATTTACTATATATATATATATGCAGGTCTATTTCTAGACTTTCTTCTGTTCCACTGATTTATATGTCTATTCTTAAGCAACTGTTGTTTTCTTTTGAGCCTTAACTTGTTGTTGATTTTAGTTTTAAAAAGAAATCATTTACCTTTTTTTAAAATTGCAAACTCTTCTGTAGGTAGCTCTCATACATATATTTTTATGTTGACAGGTATAGATATACTAAATAACCAAATGTAATGTAGATGCTTTTGCCACTGTGATTTCTGCCAAAATCAACATCCTTTTATTCTCTACTCTCAACATAGAGTTTTGGCATTTCAACAGCAGTAGTAATTATATCTACAAATCCTTATGTGATGCTCTATCTCAAACCTTCTGGAAGTCCAAGTTGATTATGTCTGGGTTTTCACACTTGTCACTTCTCATAGCTGCTTTTTCCAATATGTTAATTAATTAGGCATTTTTTCCTTTTGTTCTCTATGTTCTTTCTCTAAGCAATGACTTTAGACTCTCCCATGTCAAAACAAAATTCTTTTTATAGTTTTCAAATTTCTCAGTTATTTCTTTGCCCCTTTCTTTAATTCCCTCTCAATATAGTGAGTTTTCTTCTTATCACAGTTTTTGTTTTGTTTTCTTAACCTTTTTTATGTCAAAGGAGTTCAGAGCTATACTTCTGATTTTTTTTTACCTGCAATTAAAATTTTTTCAGGTAGTTTCACTTTCTAGAGATATCTATTACTCAATTCCTACAGATTTCAAAATTATCTTTCTAAATCTGTTTTCTGAGACCATATGTCCCCTACTTAAGAAATAGGTCTCTATACTGAGCTTAGTCAAGAGAGGGATGTTAGGTCATTGTCTCATGGGGCTATTTTTTGTTTTTGTTTTTCAGTTTATTGAGTTTTGTTTCTTCTCATAAAACAGCATATATTCCTTATTATCAAAATTGCTCACAATCCCCACACTCAAAGGCCATCATCACAAATAATTTTGGTGTGTATGCTATTTTTTAAAACTTTTTTAAAAATAATTTTTCAAATTTGAGTAGCGCTTTGGAAAGACACTCAATAAACAGTTTTAAGTAAGCGAATATGCCTTTTTCCAGTGAAATGTTTTGCTGGGCAACCTGCAGAAGGCCTATTTGAAGTGGGCATGGTAGTAGACTCAGGACCATTTTGGCTATGGGCAAAAAGGGAGCACATAAGTTGTACAGGGCCTAGCCTCTGCTGATTGCACCTTTCCTTAATATTCTATGGATATCAAGAGTATTGTACTAATTATACTTAGCATATAGTAGAAAATCAATGTGTTCATTTATTTTAGTTATTTATATATGCTTCATTCACACTTTTTTTTCTTTTTCCTTCTTCTTGTTAGAAACCAAGAAACAACTTTAGTTTGAATATTTCCTTGATTTTTAGGCTATCATTTCTTAATATCAAGTGACATTAGCTGTCTCTAGTTCTTTGCATTATTCCTTCAGAATGACATGGTCAGATAAGGGAGTGTCCATGGCAGGTGTAACTAGGCAATAGTTAATGAACACCCAGCCAAGAATGATGATATCTTTTAAAATTCTAAATTGTACATTAACTGTTGAATAAAGAACAATGATATGTATAAGGTATAAAGAATAATAACATAGTGAATGCTAGTGCACTTAACCTGTCAGCTCAAAAATACAACACTACAATTGCCCTAGTACCTACAGGTTTAGAAGACACCTATGTGCCCCATTCTCTTCTCCAGAGGAAACTTTTCATCCTGATAGCTTTCATGGCTACGTTTTCCCTTGTTATTTTACTGTGTGTATTTGGACACCTAAATATTGTTTTATTTCAACATGTTTTTAAGTTTTAGAAAATTGAATCATACTGAATATATGCTTAAGCGACTTTTTTTGCTCAGCATTGTATTTGAGATTCATTCATATATGTAAGTATTATTCATCTACTATATTTAGCGGGACTACCATTCAGCTATTTTACTGTTACATAGTATTCTATTGTGTGAATATTCCACAATGTATTCAACCATTTTTCTTTTAATGGACTTTTTAGATTGTTTTTAGTTTTTTGCTATTAAAAATCAAGGTTATGAATGTTATCATGTAGGTCTCCTGGAACGTATTATAAGAGTTTATTTTGTAAAGAAGATCTTAACCATTTTATGTCATGGACTCCTTGGGAATTTTTTTTAATATTATGGGATTCTTCTCAAATTAAGGTTTTTAAATGCATGCAATAAAATACATAGGTTTATAAAGGAAACCAACTCTCTCTCTATATATGTAATGTAAAATACATATCTACATATTTTTAAAGCCCTGATTTTTAAATTATTAGATTCAACAGATATAAAATTACATTTCAAGAAATACAGCCAGAAGAAACATAGAGGAAAAGAAAAGAATCACAGAAACTGTACACATTGTTCACTGAAAGTTCTTGTATAACAATATAGAAGATTGTTATTATACTCACGACTTTTTGTCTTTTCGCATTAGAACTAAATAAAAAGTCAAGAGTGATATAGAAATTCCCTGCATTAGGCGGGGCACAGTGGCTCATGCCTGTAATCCCAGCACTTTGGGAGGCTGAGGTGAGTGGATCACCTGAGGTCAGGAGTTCAAGACCAGCCTGGCCAACATGATGAAACCCCGTCTCAACTAAAAATACGAAAAAATTAGCTGGGCATGGTGGCGGGCACCTGTAATCCTACCTACTTCGGAAGGCTGAGGCAGGAGAATCACTTGAACCCAGGAGGGGGAGGTTGCAGTGGGCCAAGATCGCACCATTGCACTCCAGCCTGGGCGACAAGAGCGAAACTCTGTCTGGAAAAAGAAAAAAATTCCCTACATTAAATAACTATGTGCATATTTTCATTAAATGTCAAGTACGTAAATATTTAAAACGTTAAATATGACAAATGACCTTGTTTCTTGTTAACTTATCTACTCTGCTGTAACACTATTGACAAGGATAATGTATACGTAAATTGTTTCTAGGTTTTGTTTTGTTTTGTTATTAAAAGAGATGGGTCTCACTGTGTTGCCCAGGCTGCAGTGCAGTAGCATGATTATAGCTCACTGTAACCTTGAACTCCTCGGCTTAAGGTGATCCTCTTGCCTCAGCCTCCTGAGTAGCTAGAACTACAGGTGTGCACCGCCATGCCTGGCTTTTTTATTTTTAAGTAGACACAGGGTCTCATCATGTTGCCAAGGCTGGTCTCAAACTACTGGTTTCAAGCAATTCTCTGGCCTTGGCCTCCCAAAGCACTAGGATTACAGGGATGACCCACCATGCCTGGCCTAGATTTGGTTTACTGATGCTCATACCAGTCTCATAGAGGTGTGTTGATAGGAATGGAGGAAGGTATTTGAAAGCATTATTAGACCTTGGCAGGGTGGGAGGACAGAAAGCCAGTGTGGAGGGAAGGGAGCTGACACTGGCTTTAGGTTTGCTGTAGCAGATTTGGTCCAGAGAGTCAGGATGCCTGATATTACTGAGACGTTAGGAAACTTAACACAACTACTACAGCATCACAGCTATTCCCAGACCTTGAGGCTGTTAACTGGCTGAAGAATGCAGAATCCAGTCAGCTCTTGTGAAAACTCATACCTACTAAAGACTCCACAGCATTGTATCCTTACAGGAGGAAAAGAAGGGTTGGGGAAAGGGGATTCTACTGAATTCATACTGCCAAAGTCTTACATGAGTGCAACATGGTGTAACCTAATCTCTAGCTGGAACCCTACTGGTAAGGGAGTCTGAGAATTATAGCTCTAGGTGTTTCTCTCTCTGTAAGAAAGACTGTAAAAGGAGTGAGAATGGATGCTGAGTGCCAATAGTCAATATCTAGCACAGTACTCATTCTTCATAGTTTATTTGTATCTTCTCTTTTTATCTTAAGATTATCTAACATTTATTAGTCTTATTTGCCTTTTCAGAGGATCAACTTTGACTTTGTCTTCACTATCATGTTTGTTTTCTATTAATGTTTGTACGTACCTTTAATATTTTTTCATTCTACCTTAGGTTTATTGTTCTTTTTCTAACTTCTAGATATAAATACATAGCTCATTTATTTTCAGTCTTTCTTTTCTAACGTAACCATTTAGGTGCTGCATTTCCAGCATTCTACAATTTTGATACATAAGATTTAATTATTGATTAGCTCTACATATTTAATAATTTGCATTATGATTTCCCTTTGACACATGATTTAATTTGAAGTATATTTTAAAATGTCCAAAAATATGGGGTTTTTTTGCTATCTGTTACTGATTTCTACCTGTACTGCAATTAGGGAGTGTGGCCTTTGTGACAGTAATCCTTTGGGATTTTATTGAGAATATTCTTATTGCCTAGTATGTGGACAGTTTTTATGAATATTACCTATGCGTTTGAAAAAAAAGTATATTTTCTAAATGTTGGCTACAGTATTCTGTATACATCCATTAGATCAAATTTGTTGATTGTATATTTGAAATGATCTGTGTTTTTTCAGATTTTATACAGTTGATTTATTAATTTCTCAGAGAAATGGGTTATAACATCTCCCACTAAGATGGTGACTTTCTCTTTAAATTTTATTTATTTATTTATTTATTTATTTTGAGATGGAGTCTTGCCCTGTCGCCCAGGCTGGAGTGCAATGGCACAATCTTGGCTTACTGCAACCTCTGCCCCCTGGGTTCAAACAATTCTCCTGCCTCAACCTCCCGAGTAGCTGGGATTACAGGTGCTTGCCACCACGCCCAGCTAATTTTTGTATTTTTAGTAGAGATGGGGTTTCACCATGTTGGCCAGGCAGGTCTTGAACTCCTGACCTCGTGATCTGCCCACCTCAGCCTCCCAAAGTGTTGGGCTTACAGGTATGAGCCACCGCACCCGGCTGTCCTGTTTTCTCTTTTCTTTCCTTCTGGATCTCCAAATAGATGTGCTTGAGAATTACTATCCTACATATTTATGCTATCCTCCATATTTATGGCATCTATTTTCATATTTCCCAACTCTTTATATCTTTGTGCTACTTTCCATTCCTCTAGATTCATCTTTCATTACTTATATATTCAAGTGTGTCTAATGTGCTATTAATCTCACCTATTTATTGAGTTAAATTTCAGAGGATGAAATTTTTATTTCTAAAAGTTCTAGTTGGTTTTCTAACTAATTTGTTCATTTCTTCTTTTTCTTTAAAAATATGATACTTATATTCTGTGCCAGATTTTTCCAGTGTCTAAAATCCTTCAGGTTCTGATTCTGCTTTCTATTATTTTTGCTATTAGTATCTTGTTTCATTTCATGTCTATGTCATATGACTATTTACACCGAGCTCTTGCTCTTTTTAAGCATTGATGCTTTTTATTTTTAAATTGACAAATAAGGATTGTATATATTTATAGTATACAACATGCTGTTTTGATATATGTATTCATTGTGGAGTGGCTAAATCAAGCTAATTAACATATCCATTCCTCACAAAATTATCATTTTTTTGTGATGAGAACATTTAAAATCTACTCTTTTAACAATTTTCAAGTGTAGTCATGTGCTGTGTATCAAGGTTTTGGTCAATAACAGACCACATATATGATTGCATCCTATGATTATAATGGAGCTGAAAAATTCCTGTCACCTAGTGATGTCGTGGCTGTACCGTCCTAGTGTGTTACTAGTTATGCTGTACCTAGTGTGTACGCTAGTTATCTAGTGTGTCCCAGTTACACTGGTATAAACAAACCTGCTGCATTGCCAATCATATAGAAGTCTAGCACATTTCATTATGTATAGTACATAATACTTGATAATGATAGTAAACAACTGTTACTGGTTTGTGTACTTACTACTATATTCAAAAAAGTTTAAAAGTAAAAACTCAAAAATAGAAAAAAAAAGAGGAGAGGCAAAGAAAAAATAAAAATAGGAAAAAGCCTATAGGATAACGATATAAAGAAGGAAAATATTTTTGTACAGCTGTACAATGATTTTGTGTTTTGTCATTACAAAAGTGTTTAAAAAGTAAAAAACAATTAAAAAATTTATAAAGTAAAGTTACTGTCAGCTAAGTTAAATGATTAGCAAAAAGATTTTTATATGTTTAGTGTAGCCTAAGTGTACAGTATTTTTAATGTCTACATTAGTGTATAGTAATGTCCCAGGCCTTCACATTCACTTACTACTCATTCACTGACTCACCCAAAGCAACTTCCAGTCCTGCAATCTTCATTCATGGTAAGTGCCCTACATGGTAAGTGTACCATTTTTTATCTTTTATACTGTATATTTACTGCAACTTTTCTGTGTTTAGGTATACAAATACTTCTGGTTCTGTTACAGTTGCCTACAGTATTCAGTACAGTCACATACATGCTATATAGTTTGTAGACTAGGAACAACAGGCTGTACCATATAGCCCAGGTGTGTGGTAGACCATACCATCTAGGTTTGTGTACATACACTCTCTGATGTTTGCACGGTGATGAAATTGCCTAACGATGCATTTCTCAGAATGTATCCCTGTTATTAAGCAAAGCATAATTGTATATGGGAAGATATGCATACGTTATATACAAATACTACACCATTTTATGTAAAGGACTTGAGTATCCTTGGATTTTGGTATCCTTGCGGGAGGGGGGTCCTGCAACCAATCCTCCCCTATGGATACCGAGGGACAACTGTCCTCAATTTGGGATTGTTAGACCACATAGGTAGTTGGATCCTGCGCAAATCCATGTAAGGGTCACATTGTGGTTGTAAATTTTTAGGGGAGACTTTTTTCCCACCATGTTAGTACCACAGTCAGATAAGTTTCTTTCCTGCTCCTTCTGTGGGGGCTGGTTTATTTCTTATTCAGAGGTGCAGCTTTTTATTTTATGTGAAAATCTTCTTTTATTAGACTCTCTACCTGAGACAGGCCTTGCTTTTGTCTCCTGTCTGCTGTGCCCTGTGCCACCATCAAAACCAGCAGAGGATGCCTCCATGTCCCCTGGAGAGGCAGAGGGCACAAGTGGCCCAGGGCAGCCGCCTGCTCAGGATCCTCAGAGTCTTACCCTGGCATGCTGTTTCCCTTTGTTTTGGGCCTCCAAGGATTCCTTTCCTTCGTGCCAGCTCAGTGATGCACTTTAAAAGATAGTTTTTGTATTTTATTGAACATTTTACATCGTTTTCTGTTGGTAGGTCATTTGGGGTATTTTGTTTATAATGCTGCTAAAAATGGAAGTTTCATCTTGGTCTTTTTTTGTGTTCTTGTTTTTTGGGTTGTGTTTCTATTTTTGTTTTTTCGTATCTACAAGTAGAAACACTTCGTTCTCCTTTCTGGCTGCCCCCAGTCAGTGCCCAGCAGGGGTAATGTGGTATGGGAGAAGCAGTGTGGGCTTTGGAATCAAACAGACCTGGGTTTGACTCTACCACTTGCTAGCTGTGTTACCGGGCAACCACTTCACCTTTCTGCATCTAAATTTTCTCTTCTGAAAATAGAGATAATAATACCCACCATAGTACCCAGGAGGAAAAAAGGTAGGTGATCAAACATTAGTTTTCTTTTCAGCGACACCATTTATTTCCCACCTTCCCCCACCTGCCACCCAACAAAATAGTTCAAGCCAAAGAAAAGATGCTTATATCTGAATATAAAAGAAGTAGACTGAATTCCTGTTGATTGATAATGCTAAATTATTCTTAGCAGACATTTAAATATTTATTAGATTTATATTAGATTTTAATGAGTAGGGTTTCCAGCCTGGAAACCTGGATTAGGGAAGCATATTTTTGTAGGGGACATGAATTCAACCTTTGTAAAGCTAGGGGTTAGGAAGAACTGTATTAATTTGCTACTTCTCGGGTTTATTTGTATCATATTTCTAAGCCTTCCTCTCCCAAAGAAATCATCTTTCTTCACACTATATACAAGGTGTTTATTGGCAGTTGAGGCATTAAGGGGATGCTAACACAAGGGAATGTTGATTCTAGCTCAAAGAAGGAGCTGGCTGAAGGAATCAATATCATCCAAAGCAAATATATATATTTTGTACTTTATATATTTATTTAAATTCCAAGAAATATATTTAGAACATGCATAATTAGCTGAGGTTACAAAGTTGCCTTTTCAAAAGGCATATTTACCTAGAGAGGTTATGCATATTTCATAAAGAACAAACAGATGATATAAAAACACAGTCTACCCTTGGTGTGTTCAGTGTGCTTTCCCAAGGAAAAGCCTGCATTCCTTAAATTATCATTCAGCTTTAAAACAAAAAATGTTGCATTTAAGAAGTGTCTGCTACTTATTGTCATTTTAATAATTTATTACACACAGAGTTCCAAGGAAACAGATATCTTTTGCTGACTTGCAAAAAACGAATAAATTTAAACCCGCTTGAACTATGTCATCACAATACCTTTAAAAATAAATTGCACGGGAAGAAAACTTTATTCATATTGTATAAGTAAATCCAATAAATGGAATGAGAATGTGCAAAGGCAGAGAGGGAATATCACAAAGGTGAATAGAGCAATTTCTGCATAGTTGACAATGAAATTTCTTAGCTCTATAATTTAGAGCTAGAACAGACTATGAAGACATAAATTTATTCGTTTTAAAGACTGAGGGATCAGAGAAGTGACAAATATAACTGGTTAGTGTTAGAAACCAGACTTCTATTCCAACAATCTTTTAAATAAAGTCCATAAATTCTGAGACAGTGTAATAATTGATGTATTAGTGATGATGGCACCAATATTTACTTAGTACTTACTATAAACCAAGCATTTGCTTAGCCCTTTACCTATATTATCTTGTTTAATTTTGGCAATCAGTCCATCAGGTAGGTAATGATAACCTCATTGTACAGATGAGGAAACTAAGACTTGGAGAGTTTTTTTTTTCACTTGTAGACAGTAACAGTTATTCAGTGATAGAGCTTCTTCAATAGCAAACATTTGTTTCATTTGTCATGTATAAGTATTTTGCTAGAAACCAAGGGATCAAACAGAAAGAAGACATGGTTTTCTTCTTTCGGGGATTGACACATTAGATCCCTACAACCTAACATGTAAGAAGTATCTGTAAGATGAGTAGTGTTTTTTTGTTTGTTTGTTTGTTGTGAGACACAATCTTGCTCTTTCACCCAGGCTGGAGTGCAGTGGTGAGATCTCAGCTCACTGCAAGCTCTGCCTCCTGGACTCAAGGGATCCTCCCACCTCAACCTGAGTAGTTGGGTCTACAGGGGGCTAATTTTTATAATTTTTGTAGAGACAGGGTCCCACTTTGTTGCCCAAGCTGGTCTCAAACTCCTGGGCTCAAGTGATCCACCTGCCTTGGCCTCCCAATGTGCTAGGATTACAGATGTGAGCCACCATGCCTGACTGAGTAGATTTCATATGTTTTGACCACAGCACTTGTAAGAAATATGTTTATTCTGAAACATATACATACATAAATATGTGTAAATTCATAGCTAAAAGTTTTACGAAATACCCTTACAGTGTGTTACACATGCTACTTTCTATTCTAGTCCATTCTATTCTATTTCAATTTTTTAACAGCCAGTTGTGACTGGGTGCGGAGGCTCAAGCCTGTAATCCCAGCACTTTGGGAGGCCAAGGTGGGCAGATCACCTGAGGTCAGGAGTTCGAGACCAGCCTGGCCAACATGGTGAAGCCCCATGTCTATGAAAAATACAAAAATTAGCCGGGTGTGGTGGTGCGCACCTGTAGTCCTAGCTACTCAGGAGGCTGAGGCAGGAGAATCACTTGAACCTGGGAAACAGAGGTTGCAGTGAGTTGAGATTATGCCACGGTACTCTAGCCTGGACAACAGAACGAGACTCTATCTCAAACAAAACAAAACAAAAAACCCATTTGTATTTATATGGATATATACATATATATTTAAATTCTGTGTGTGTGTTTGTGTAAAACTCTTTAACTACTAAATAGTCCTCCAGAGCTCCTTTAGCTATTTATTTTGTTATTTATCCCTATATTTTGTTTGGATTGCTAATTTTGCTTTATTAACTTGAGAAATTATCTATTGACTTCTAGTTGTCATAGACGAGGATTTTGCTACCTTGCCCTGTGCCTTATTTCCCCACCTTCCATCCTCCTAGTGTAGTAATGCTCAATCTTTTTTTAATAAATTGTTTTATTACTATGACTTATAAATGTCATTTCTCACAGAGCCATGTAGTGTATTCTATTTTCTTTCCCTTTATCTCTTTTTAATTTTCTTCTGGAGATCATTACCATATTTTTCCACTTGCATAGTTTTCTACATTTCTGAATTTTTTATTTTATTTTTTTTTCTTTTTTGAGACAGAGTCTTGCTCTGTCGCCCAGGCTGGAGTGCAGTGGCACAATCTCAGCTCACTGCCACCTCCACCTCTTGGGTTCAAGCGATTCTCCTGCCTCAGCCTCCCAAGTAGCTGGGATTACAGGCGTGCACCACCACATCTGGCTAATTTTTGTATTTTTAGTACAGATGGGGTTTCACCATGTTGGCCAGGCTGGTCTCAAACTCCTGACCTCAGGTGATCCACCTCCTTGGCCTCCCAAACAGCTGGGGATTACAGGCGTGAGCCACCATGCCTGGCCTGAATTTTTAAATTTCTTAATTTTTTTTTTTGCAAGTGCTCCATCAATAGCTATCACATACCTAAATTAGTGTTTTGCCCCTCAAAAGTTTATTATATCAGATAATTTGCCCACTTGCCTTTATCATGGAGACCTGGTATCCAGAGCATTCCACCTTCCTGGTCTGGCTTTGGTGCCCCGGGCCACTGCACAGCTGTCATCCTGGAACCTTCTCTCACTGCTCTGTTATGTTGCCTCTTCCATTTCCTGAATCCCATTTTTCTCTCGGTTCAAGCCCTCATTTTGCTTCAACACATTTTCTAGATAGTTCCAAAGAAAGAGAACATGGGAGAAATATTTTCTGAGTGCATGCATTACTTAAAAGGCCTTTCATTTACTCTCAACACTTGACTGATAAATTGGGCACAGATGTATAGATTGGAAATATTTCACTCTCAGGATTTTGAAGATGTTACTCCTTGTCTCCCAGTATTGCTGTTGAAAAAAATCAGATTCTTATTTCTTCATAAATAACCTGTTTTTAAAAATCATAGCAAATTTTTTAAGTTCTTCCAATGTGCCAAACACTGTTCTAACCATTCTGCATTATTTAACATTCACATCACATCTCTGTCTTGAACGGGGAGGAGACTGAGACATGGAGAGGTTAAGTAACATGGAAGTAGGGGTGGGCTGTTCACTGGATGCTTTACTATTAAAGGACATGGGGACTGACCATTTAACTGGGGGCCTCCAAATGTGAGCATCTGCTCTCCTCTCTGGAGGTCATCCTCCTGCCTGCCACTGTTCTCAGAACAAAATACAAGTCTAGAGGAATCCTCTGGTTAGGTATGCAGACTCTCAATTATCCCTGATTCTCAGCTAGTACCTCATAGTTTCTAGTGTCCTTGAGTCCTGCATCTCTACCACTCAGTTTCTCCAGAAAACATCCTTCTATTTTCCTACATGGAGAGGACAGTTTGCAGAAATGGTGAATGTGGAGCTAGCTCTACACACAGACATGTAAGTAATCTTTTGGCCTTAGCCTTGCTTTCAGCCTCAGCACCATCTAATACTTCCAAGTCCAAACCTTTCGTGGATTCTACAGGACATACTGACTTCTTTTCTCATGTGTCCCTCTCAGTAGATATTCTAAGTTGTAGCTCATGCGGCCCTGGTCAGTGAGTTACCATTAACACAATGGTTTACATTTTTTAAAATTATGAAATATAAACATACAGGAAGTAATAGGAAATAAGATAACAATGTATTTACCACTCAGCTTTATCAATGATCCGAAGCAAATATTTCAAAATAAATAAAAATGCATCATATATATGGTTGGTAACTCCTGTTTATCCCTTCTTGTGCTCATTTCATCCCTCCCTAACAGTTATCAGCATTCTAAATTGGCATCTATTCTTGCCATTATACTAAACTATTTATTATACTATTGCTACAAATGTATATATCTATAAACAACATAGTTTTATACTTATACACTTTATTAAAATGATATGCATAGTCTTGTGCTTTTGAGATATATTCATGTTGATTTATATAGTTCATTTTCATTTATTTTTGCTTCTATATAGTGTTCAATTGTGTGACTTAACAGTGAATTTAGCCATTCTGTGTCAATAGATACAATTTTTTGCTCTTACAACAGACGTGGTGAATATTCTTGCACATCTCTCAGTATGCTTGTATAAGAATTTCTCTGTATGGTTTCCATAAGTACACCAAGATACTGGTCTTCTCAGTCCTTAGGGTAGCAACAGGAAGACCTAGAGTCAGCAGAGCCCCTGAGCTAGTATCCTTTGGCCATGAACAATTTTATTTTTCCCCAGTGGCACAGGAAAAAAAAATCATTATTTCTATGTAGGATTGCTGAACTAAGGAGATACACATTTTCACATTTAATAGATATTACCAAATTGTTCTCCAAAGTAGTTGTACCAGTTTACGCTCTCATCAATGTAAAGTTCTATTTTTACTAAAACAAGGTACTGTAGTGATGGTTGAGAGCATGGGCTTTAGTGTTGGACTCTGTGAATTTGAGCCTGACTCCACCTGCAAGCTGTGTGATCGTGGGCAGGTTTCTTGGACTTTGCCTTAGCTTTTTTTATATGTCAGAGGATTAGTGGACCATATGCTCTCTGTGACAACTACATAGCCACTTAACCTCTCCGACTCAATTTCTCCAAATGAACATTAGGAATAGTAAACCTACCTACTTCCTGAGAATGTGGCAAGGAATAATCGGCTAAATAGGCAATAAGTAAACAATGGGTTGAGTTGCGTTCCAATAAAACGTTATTTACAAAAATAGGTGGCAGACTGAATTTGGCCCATGGGCTGTAGTTTGCCAACCTTACTCTAGAAAAATCATTCAGGGCAAATATTATACAATAAATTACTAAATGGTGTATGTATCATATAATATATAAATCTGTGTATATAAGTATGTATTTAACACATTGTTAATATGTAAACATGTAATATTATAATATGTAATATAAATTTATTCATTTATTTTTCTTGCTAATCCCAGAGAAATTAGCTACCCTCATTCTTTTAAAAGCTATTGTTTCCTCCTGTATACATTACTTATTCAATCAGCAAATTTACCTCCATACAGAAGGTAAATTTACCTCCATATACTTCAGTAATTTTGAGTTTACTGCATAACTTGTTCTATTTATAGATAGCCAAATTTTTTTTAAGTTCTGCTTTTGGTCTTTTCTTCCTTAACCTAACACTCTACTCTCTGAAGCAACATATTATATACCTAGCGTCTGCTGACATGATAATCTTTGTCTTAAGTTCACATCTCCTACCCTCCTTGCCCAGGACAAACAATTCTTATTCTCATAGGAATCTCCTATATGACACTGTCTCAAGCTGATTTGCATTCCGTCAATCAGATGTTGTCTACTTTTTAAGTTAGTCACTTTGCTAGGTACTGAAGACGCAGGTGTGAACCAGTTTCTCTGAAAATAGGGCATCCAAAACAGAGCCTAGATGTGGCCTGGCTCACTGGGGGGGTCCCATGGGATGACTCTCTTTCTCTCAGTCTGTGCACTATGCTTTTAGTGATAGAACTTGACATCATGCTGCCTTTTTGCCTTTCCTTTCATCCCCCAAACCAAGGCTCTTATTATTTCGAAGTAAGTTTGGCAGATATTAGGCCCCATATTTTCTTCAAATGAGAATACTAGGCTCAGAGTGGTAAGAAATTTACCCAAAGGCAGAACTGAAAATCAAATCCAGATTTTACAACTTCCCACTCCAGGATTCTTTCTAATATTTCATGCTTCCTCCATACCCAAAACACATTGTCCTAGCAAAACTTTATATGATTCCAAAACAGTCTCTACCAGTGAAACACTAATGAAGAATTGACCACATGGAAAAGACAATAGGGCTTAAAGTACAACCTCTCTCTGACAGATGTCCAAAGGCATGTAAAATTCATGCCTTTGGAATAGGTACATGTCTTCCTACGTTTGGACAAGCCACTCTCCTTCCTGGTAAAGGTGTTAGAGCTAAAATGATAGCACACAGCAGTTTGGGTCCCAAGGCAAATGCCTCACACCCACGGCCTACTTGCCAGGTTAGTGAAAGGTCTCTTGGCCTAGACCGTGGACCTGGGGTGGGCTTCCTCCTGCACATACCAGGGGCCACAAATAGTAATAAGAATAATCCTGTTAAAATAGACTAATAACAGACATTTATTGAAAGTTTATTGTGTGCCAGGCACTGAATTATTTAGTATATTATTTAATCCTCAGAACATTCTTACAAGGTAAGTACCATTTTAATGTTCATTTGGATATATAGAGTCAGAAAGGTTGAGTAACTTGCCTTCAGTCAGCTAGTAGACAATAGAGAAGGGCTGTAAAGAAGTGCTTTTAACCACTGTGCTATACTTGCCAACTTGTCCAAAACCATGAACATTATCCTTTCTAGTCCCAAATTTATTTTGCTGCTTCAGGGGTTTGAAAATTTAAAAATCCCACAGAAATATGAACTACCATCAGAGAATACTATAAACACCTCTACGCAAATAAACTAGAAAATCTAGAAGAAATGGATAAATTCCTTGACACATACACCCTCCCAGGACTAAACCAGGAAGAAGTTGAATCTCTGAATAGACCAATAACAGGCTCTGAAATTGAGGCAATAATCAATAGCTTACCAACCAAAAAAAGTCCAGGACCAGATGGATTCACAGCCGAATTCCACCAGAGGTACAAGGAGGAGCTGGTACCATTCCTTCTGAAACTATTCCAATCAATAGAAAAAGAGGGAATCCTCCCTAACTCATTTTATGAGGCCAGCATCATCCTGATACCAAAGCTGGGCAGAGACACAACAAAAAAAGAGAATTTTAGACCAATATCCCTAATGAACATCGATGCAAAAATCCTCAGTAAAATACTGGCAAACCGAATCCAGCAGCACATCAAAAAGCTTATCCACCATGATCAAGTGGGCTTCATCCCTGGGATGCAAGGCTGGTTCAACATACACAAATCAATAAACATAATCCAGCATATAAACAGAACCAACGACAAAAACCACATGATTATCTCAATAGATGCAGAAAAGGCCTTTGACAAAATTCAACAATGCTTCCTGCTAAAAACTCTCAATAAATTAGGTATTGATGGGACATATCTCAAAATAATAAGAGCTATCTATGACAAACCCACAGCCAATATCATACTGAATGGGCAAAAACTGGAAGCATTCCCTTTGAAAACTGGCACAAGACAGGGATGTCCTCTCTCACCACTCCTATTCAACATAGTGTTGGAAGTTCTGGCCAGGGCAATCAGGCAGGAGAAGGAAATAAAGGGTATTTAATTAAGGAAAAGAGGAAGTCAAATTGTCCCTGTTTGCAGATGACATGATTGTATATCTAGAAAACCCCATCGTCTCAGCCCAAAATCTCCTTAAGCTGATAAGCAACTTCAGAAAAGTCTCAGGATACAAAATCAATGTGCAAAAATCACAAGCATTCTTATACACCAATAACAGACAAACAGAGAGCCAAATCATGAGTGAACTCCCATTCACAATTGCTTCAAAGAGAATAAAATACCTAGGAATCCAACTTATAAGGGACGTGAAGGACCTCTTCAAGGAGAACTACAAGCCACTGCTCAATGAAATAAAAGAGGATACAAACAAATAGAAGAACATTCCATGCTCATGGGCAGGAAGAATCAATATCATGAAAATGGCCATACTGCCCAAGGTAATTTATAGATTCAGTGCCATCCCCATCAAGCTACCAATGACTTTCTTCACAGAATTGGAAAAAACTACTTTAAAGTTCATATGGAACCAAAAAAGAGCCAGCATTGCCAAGTCAATCCTAAACCAAAAGAACAAAGCTGGAGGCATCACACTACCTGACTTCAAACTATACTACAAGGCTACAGTAACCAAAACAGCATGGTACTGTACCAAAACAGAGATATAGACCAATGGAACAGAACAGAGCCCTCAGAAATAATGCCACATATCTACAACTATCTGATCTTTGACAAACCTGACAAAAACAAGAAATGGGGAAAGGATTCCCTATTTAATAAATGGTGCTGGGAAAACTGGCTAGCCATATGTAGAAGGCTGAAACTGGATCCCTTCCTTACACCTTATACAAAAATTAATTCGAGATGGATTAAAGACTTAAATGTTAGACCTAAAACCATAAAAACCCTAGAAGAAAACCTAGGCAATACCATTCAGGACATTGGCATGGGCAAGGACTTCACGTCTAAAACACCAAAAGCAATGGCAACAAAAGCCAAAATTGACAAATGGGATCTAATTAAACTAAAGAGCTTCTGCACAGCAAAAGAAACTACCATCAGAGTGAACAAGCAACCTACAGAATGGGAGAAAATTTTTGCAATCTACTCATCTGACAAAGGGCTAATAACCAGAATTTACAATGAACTCAAACAAGTTTACAAGAAAAAAACAAACAACCCCATCAACAAGTGGGCAAAGGATATGAACAGACACTTCTCAAAAGAAGACATTTATGCAGCCAAAAGACACATGAAAAAATGCTCATCATCACTGGCCATCAGAGAAATGCAATTCAAAACCACAATGAGATAACATCTCACACCAGTTAGAATGGCAATCATTAAAAAGTCAGGAAACAACAGGTCCTGGAGAGGATGTGGAGAAATAGGAACACTTTTACACTGTTGGTGGGACTGTAAACTAGTTCAACCATTGTGGAAGTCAGTGTGGCGATTCCTCAGGGATCTAGAACTAGAAATACCATTTGACCCAGCCATCCCATTACTGGGTATATACCCAAAGGATTATAAATCATGCTGCTGTAAAGACACATGCACATGTATGTTTATTGCAGCACTAGTCACAATAACAAAGACTTGGAACCAACCCAAATGTCCAACAATGATAGACTGGATTAAGAAAATGTGGCACATATACACCATGGAATACTATGCAGCCATAAAAAAGGATGAGTTCATGTCCTTTGTAGGGACATGGATGAAGCTGGAAACCATCATTCTCAGCAAACTATCGCAAGGACAAAAAACCAAACGCTGCATGTTCTCACTCATAGGTGGGAATTGAACAATGAGAACACATGGACACGGGAAGGGGAACATCACACACCGGGGCCTGTTGTGGGGTGGGGGGAGTGGGGAGGGATAGCATTAGGAGATAAACCTAATGCTAAATGACAAGTTAATGGGTGCAGCACACCAACATGGCACATGTATACATACGTAACAAACCTGCACGTTGTGCACATGTACCCTAAAACTTAAAGTATAGTAAAAAATAAAGTAAAAATAAATAAATAAAGAAAATCCCCCTACTCTAGGTGGATCAAAGAAAAAAACATTTATCTGGTCCCAAAATTCAAAGCTTCACAAAAGTCTTTATATTCCTGATATTCTAGAAAATATTTATATACAGCATCTTCATGTTTGAATAATCTTTTAAAATATTTCCATTTTATGTATATATCTATCTATAACTACATAGATGAGCCATTTCTAAATGCATTTACCTTCTAGTTATTGGTCTTACTACTGCACTGAAATTTTCCTTGACAAGTCAAAAATGGCCTTATAATTAGTAAACGAATGGTCAGTTTTCCATCTTTATTTGATATACCTGCAGCAGGAGACTGTTAAATAATTCCTTATTTAAATTTTTATTTCCTTCTTCATAATGTCTTCCTTTTTCACAGGTTTATCACATAGAAAAACAGTCTTTTGGAAACTGTACAGTGCTATTAAAATATCCAAATTATTATGGCTATTGGGAGGCTAGAATGAGATCTATATGAAAAGTTGAAGAAAAATTTTAGTACCTGTAAACATACATGCTGTTTTTTTTCTTGTGAAATGAAAGTATTCTTGTCATCTAAGTATTTCTTATTTTCAAGCATGGTTCTTGACTTAGACACATACGGTCCCTTCCAGAAGCCAGTGGTTTAGGCTTGTGGCCATGTTTCATGGGCTAGGAATGTCCAGGCAGCCGGAGTAATCTCTGTTGTTCTCTTCTAGGTATTTACCTTGCTGTGGATTGCTGACTGGATGGTCCATCACTTCTGGAGGAAAGGAAAGGACCCGGATAGTTTCTCCATCCCCTACCTAACAGCATTGGGTGATCTGCTCGGGACAGCTCTGTTAGCCTTAAGTTTTCATTTTCTTTGGCTTATTGGAGATCGAGATGGAGATGTTGGAGACTAATAAATTCTACAAACTGCTCTCAAGTTACCAAGGAAGAAAATACACGACAACCACTTATGGCTCTTTTTCAAAACTCTTAAATCAGTAGTTTGACTTTTGCCAGGGTAATCTTCAGTTGGCCCTGATTCAATTAAATGGCCTTAATTTTTTTTTAAGGAATTTGTGTCAAAACCAGAATGAAGAGTATTCGTGCTGCTTTTCATAGAATAAATGATAATTTGACATAGACATAGATATAAGTTCCAGCTCTGAAATTAATTAGGAAAGAATATAGGATGTTTACAGTGAATAATTTTAAAACCACAAACATAGCAGAAATGTACTTTATTATTAAATTTGTAATGCAGGATTAGAAGAAGCAGAGCTCTAGTTTAGCCTTTCTTGTCTCACAGATGTGCTGTATCCCAGGCATACTATAAAACGAAGAGTGCCCAACCAAGCTTTGAATCGTATTAACAATGCCCACCTCTATGCTAGCTGAGGATAAATTTACCAGTTGCTCATATTTAAACTGACCTAAATATGTTTTGCTGAGCATAAGATAAACTCACTTTTACCTCCATCTAAAATTATCCTGTTCTGATGCCAATTCAATTTCAGCTCTGCAAGTTCTTGTCAGGCTAATCTTTAAACATTGAGTGATCTTGAGAGATTGTTAATGAAAGCAGTGAGTCATTTTTTGATGATTGATTTGTTGGAAAAATGTTGATGTGTTTTAAAAAATGTAATCTTCAAAAACAGAATATAACCTGAGATGCATTTGTAGAGACAAGACGGTACGAGAATGTGTGTGTGTGTGTGTGTGAGAGAGAGAGACTTTTGATGAAGAACTAAATCTTGGATTGCTGATAGCAAAGATCATAGTGCTGTTGGAATATCAGCAATATAGAGTTATTCTTAAACACATTCTATTAACATGTTTTTGTCATTGGGTCCAAAAATTTTGCTGCTGACCAGAATTTACTATTTGTTACCTATATTCTTTTTTTTTTTTTTTTTTTTTTTTTTTGAGACAGAGTCTTGCTCTGTCGCCCAGGCTGGAATGCAGTGGTGTGATCTCGGCTCACTGCTACCTCCACCTCCTGGATTCAAGTGATTCTCCTGCCTCAGCCTCCCGAGTAGCTGGGATTACAGGAATGCGCCACAACGCCCAGCTAATTTGTTACCTACACTCTAATTAATAATTAATAATTTCTTATTTTAAAAAGTAGTACTATTTAATATAATCAAGATAGGAGATTTAAAATGAGCAAGTGATTCATTTGCTCTTTTAAAGAAGCCCGTTGACTTACGCTTTTAAAAAAGAAGTTGGTGGGTTACCTCAATTATTGTTCATGCTTAAACATATCCATTTGTACAGGCTTATTTCTACGTGGGACCCAATCATATATACTATATTTCTCAAATAATTTTTCTAAAACTCTGGCCTATATTCTAAACACTTGACCAACACCTTAGTTATTGAATAGGTAACCATTTTTAAAGTACATGTGGTTCATTTTTTAAAATTCAATCTCTCAAGACCGTTAGATATTTAATAATTTAAGCTGATAAGGGTATCAAAATGCACATTAACTTTGATCATCATGATTTAAGTTGTAACTTTGTGTTATTATATAAATATTAGGTTGTTTATAAATATATTGCAGAAAGTATTCTTGTTAAGCTCTTTTAAATGAGGGGACTGTGGTTTAGAGTTATATATTTTTGCTTATTTTTAAACTTCAATTATTCCATTCTTCTGCCTTATAATAAAACTTTTAAGGCAGAGAACTGAACTAATTATAGAATTTCTCCTTTGGAGAGTTATAATGTTACATAGTGAACATTCTTATAAAAGAAAGAATAAGTTTAAGTTGATGAATATTTAGCTGCAAAGATTTTTTACTTAAAAAAATCCATGAATATCTTTGATTTTATTATAAAGCATTTGTAAATTATTTGCATTTGAGCTGTAAGATTCATAAACATTTACATTTCCCAATGATTTCTATTTTGATTTTTAAAAAATATACAGGGCAAGCTACATTTTTAAAGCATTAATCAACAACTTTATTATATTACACATTCCAGTGCACAAACACACAATATCATTTAATACTCACAGTAGTACCTGTGAAATATATCAGATGGATATTCCTATCTCTATTTTACAGCAGAGGAAACCGAAATTCAGAGAACTTACATTTCTAAGGTTGTACAGCTGCAAAATGACCAAATTGTGAAGTCCCTAACATCCAGGTTTTCATAATGCCAGTACTCTTTCTATGACATGTTTATGACCCTCCAAATGTACCAAAACTACCTAACTAATTCACTGAGAGGAAGCCAACTGCAAAAATAGGATTTTTAAAAGTACAATAGAGTATTACTACATTTTATGGATTTCAGACAAAGAAACCTCCGTTTATTATATCCTGATGGTGAGTATTGCCAGCTCTAAATTATTCATATTTCTAAGACCAAGGAAAATATAGGTAAATGAAAATTTTGAAATAAAGAACAATGCCTTAATTTGTAAAATCTATCATTGCTACCACCCTGCCCAGGTCTGGCCATTTGCCATAAATGCTGGTAAATAAATACAATGACTGATAGAGTTCTGTCTCCTTTCTCTTTTGCTACCCAACCTTGGTTAGAGCAACCAAATGTCTAAAAGGCATGTAACAGGAGAAAAAAATAAAAACATTAGTCACCAATTCGCCGATTATAAAAGGGATGTAGATTCCTTTAAATTATTACTGACCTTTTGAAAGCCTTCACGTAAGTATGCAACAGATAAAATGACTCATTTACCCACAACAATAATCTATTATCAGTCTTAAGTAATGTGAATTCACTGTATTTCTTTTTATACAACATAAAAACTTCTGCTTTCCAAACTTCTTCCTTTTCACTAATTTATCAGCCACTTTATTTATACACAGATAACACTTTTAGAAACATTTTTCTTTCTTGTCCATTTTTTTCTTTCAAAAATAAAGTTTCTTAGAACCTGATAAAATGGAAACTTATGGTAATATGTGTTCTGGTAGGTGTCCAAAAATTCCACACCATAGACTATCAATGATATAGCCAAATAAAGGCCATTCAAAAAAATCAGTAATTGGGATTCCTTGCCTTATATCTATGGTATAGTGTACCCATTTATAACGGGGTTCTGCCATCTTCGAATTGTTTTAAACTCAAATAAAGAATAAAATTTAAGAAATAATTATCCAGTCTTGTTATGCTTACTTCTTGATGAACTAGAGAACATCAAGCCAGTGTGGAAATCTCCCAGAAGAGACTGGGGTAATTTATGTATACATATGATATTTATGAATTATAATAAATTGGGCTTTGACCATATCTAGACCTCCAATGCATTGCTTTACTACTTTTTGACTGTCAAATACTCTCCTCATTTCTTCACTCCTCTCATTATCCAGCTTACATTGCTTGGTTCATCAGTCCATACATCTGCAACTGCCTCTCTCATGCTGGCAGGACAGAATACAAACTCTGGATAAAGACAGCTCTCTGTGTTTTGCCTGTACCTGAGTGCTCAATATGGCTCATGAAAAACACACAACTCCTCTGACAGATCTTTAAATTTATAACCTCAGACATCAAGTTAACCCCCAACTGCCCAGCAACCTACTCTGTTTCTCTAATGACTTTACTTTCTGAGAGACAGGTCTTTGTCCCCAGCACTTTACTGAAAGCAAACTTGTTGTCAACCTAAATAGTAAACAGAGAGAAGGTTTCTAAAAGAAAATGATATTCAGGAATAGGCATTGCAATGGGAATACACGTGCCACAGTGTTCCCACTGCATATGAACTACCTGCATATTCAGGGAGGTAAAGGAAGGAGGAGGTTTTTAAAGAAGGATTACAAATTATTTTGAGATAATTATCCTTGGCTACAAGGATCGACAGCAAGCATAACGCCAGTCTGAGGTTGAACAGGTGTTTGCTGGGCGGATATTCTCACAGAAGTATTTTTTGTGTGTAAGGTTGCAATGGCCATTGTACAAGGTTGTGGTTTTTGCAGAGTCTTTTGTGATGGTTTTTGTTACTGGGCATTTATGCATGAGAAACCTTTCTTCATGGCCTTCTCTGGCTCTATTTGTCAGAGTTTTATTAACACAAGTGACTCCATTATGTTTCTGACAAGTTTCACATTTCCCCCTTTTGATCAAGATATTTCTCCAAAAGCATCACTGACCAATCATCCTGTATTCAGGTGTTGATAGCTCCTGATGCCAGGATGGGCCCGTCCTGGGTTGCTGATCTGGTCCTATGTTAGAGAAAGTGAATGGTGGCTAGGAGTCCGTGTCAAAACCCTATTATCCACGTTTGAGCAACAAGGGAGGTTTGAAGGGAGTGGATCTCAGGCTAAGTCTACCTGGAGTCCATTATTAAGTTCAATTTTTTCTGTTCCATAGTCGTTTGCTGTTATCTCAAAGTGCTGGGCCAGCATTGTTCTGTTAGGAGTTCTACTTCTGCAAAAATTTAACAAGTAATAGTGCAAACTTTAAAAAGGAAATAATAGTAATTTGAAAATCCCTGTTTGCATAATGGTTTTGAGCTGTGAATCTAGGCTTAAAGACAACTATTTGAATGAAACAAATGACCATAGGGAATTAGGTAAGACCTGTTGTAACCATGTGGCTATGTTTTTATTTTGCTTATATGGGTTTCAACTTTCCCAGAGGGATTTATCCGGGTACAGCATGCAATATTTGCAATAGCACAGAAATTTTCTTATTTAGCCAGTAAATAATATAGAGCTATTTATCATCTAGTATCCCATGACTGGGTTGAATTAAAGCAAAAGGTGAGCACCAATTGTATTAAGGATGTTGCCAAAGTCACCCAATAAGTGGGCTAAGGAATCTTTTAGATTAGTTTCTGTCTAGTTACTGGCAGAAGCTACTGATTAAGAAATTTACACCATTATCCAGCCAAGTGAAAAAGGTAGCAGTAAGGGAGGTCAGGGTCTTGTTATGATATAGAGTCTTGTGCCAATATCTTGGGAAAAGCTGTCTACAGCATGAAAATGTCAATTTCTTATCCTGTTTGCAGTTTGAATGTCTCTGGTTATGGCATTAGGCAGTTTGGTGAACTCTTTGTGTGGCTCATACATCAGGCACAAGACTTGTTCCTTAAAATTTATCATTTCAGCTTATAGAGATTTAGGAACAGAGCAGTTCCTGTTTTTAGTAATTCCATGGAAGAAAGTTGGATTAAAGGAATATAAAAGAATTCAGGATCTAGTCTACTCTATAGGTAAATAAGAACCTGAAAACAATGCACAGAGCTATAATCTAATAGCAGATGTATTATAGCTTTTTCTTTATAAATATAACTATTTCTGCCTATGTTGATCACACAGGAATCTCAGATTTAAAAACCTCTTGAGGCTAGGAAACCAAACTAAGGAAGACTTTAGATGTTACCTACAGTCCTAAGGCTCCTGAGCCTGCCAGGAAGTGAGTTTTTATTCACCGTAAGGCTGAGAACCCTTGAAGTCAGGTATTCTATGCATATTCTCCAATCTATTTCACTCAAAGCCTTGGTAATATAACCAGTATTTTCATTGTATCCAGTTATAGAAAGCAGATTTTTACTGAATTTATGCAAATAACCATGAATAGTTCCCACATTTTGGAGGCATCAAGTAGGTAGAAAAGCAATTGCTTCCATCTTTGTTCACACGAGTACACTTTACCAAATTTCTGTAAACTATGGATAACTAAGAAAAAAAAAGTTCCTTCAATCTGGAAAATAAAACATTTAAGAACCAATAATGTTTCAAATAAACATAAAAACATCTTCATCAGTTACTTAATCTCATGTAATTAATTTTTGTTTTGCTTGATCTTATCTGTTTTATGAACCCATCAGTTTCTTCATTAAATTTTTGAAAATTTTTTATGTAGTCCATTGATCTTACAGTTATTAGAAACCTGTATTTAAGAGTAGTTGTTAGAGTATTTTTCATGAAACTAATTGCAAATGCTTTTGGAGAAAAATCAAAACAATAATTGTGAATGACAGAGACTTAAAATAGCCATGGTTAAGAATCTGACTTTGATTCATTACAATCAGCAATTGACAAGGAAATTTGGTTATTTTATGGCATACAATATAATAACCAGAATTATGGCCAATAAGATATTAGATTTCTAAGAGTTTTGTACAGTTGGGGACATTCATATCAATAACATACCCATAAATGTAACTGAAAGAAAACCTAGCATCACTTATCATTTGACAATACTTCCCGTACAAACAAGCCTAGTCACTTAATATCTCTACAAGATGAAAGATACATCCTTTGAGGCTCTCCAGTGGCCCACATGGAAAATCCTGAAGTTAATTCTAGGTCAAAAAGATTTAATTTAGAATGTTGATCCTGGAGAAGCCTGCCAAAGATGCCAAAAAGTTCAAAATACTTGATCAAAACAGGATCGCAGGTCACTGTGAAATAATAGCCATTCATTTAACCAGAGTGATAATCCAAAGACTTCAAAAGCAATAAAGTTTCATAAATGTAAAAAAAAAAAGCAACTTTTTCAAAGCTCAATTTTTCTACATAATAATAAAAATAAAGATAACAACAGGAAATTATCTTGGTAAATATAAAATATTTGCTTTTTAGGCCAGTTACCAAAAATAAAAACCTCCTCCAGTGTAACTGCTTCTCCTTATGGGAAGCCTATTTAGATAATCTGGAAGTCAAACCTCATGAAAGGGTACTTGAACTTAATCAGACACAGGAAGAGTGTGCCCAAGGTTATGAATGTATACCATATTATAGAGAAATATAAACAAGAAAACTAGTACCTTGAGCAGGGGAATATATGTCTCTTACTAACATCATCAGAAGTTTCCTGGTTACATGGAACAATTCAGACACATTAAGAAAAGCCAACAGAATTAAGTTATACTAGAAGAAAACACTGATTTTCCAGGCCTTCAGGATAAGCATTTTACTGTCAGGTTATAACGACAGAGTTGGAGCTGGAGAAAAAAGTTAAGGAATGACAAAAAAGTTGAAGGAGAGAGAGATCATCTCAGTCCTTCTCAAGTAGAGAAAGAAGAACAGGAGGCAAGATGTTATGACCTGCAAATCACATGTCGCAAGATAGAGCCAAAGTCGAACTTCTGAGAAATAGATCTGAGAAGCTTCAACAGGAAAACTCTACCTTGTTAAATGAAATTACCAACCTGAATGAAGACAGCATTTTCAGCCTGAAACTAGGGACATTAAATGAATGTCAGGAAGAAATGTGGCAGAAATAGAAACTGTACAGTTTAGAAAATGCCTGCTAAAGAAACAGATTTTAGAATTAAAAATAAAAATGTCTTGTAATTTTTGCTAAGAGCAGATCAAAAATTTGAGAAAACCTGGCTATTCTAGCATAGGGGACCAAAAATTTAATTTTGTATTAGTGTATTTTTAATATCAAAGTTCAATCTTTAGAAAAACTTACAAATAATTCCCTTCTAATTGTAACCAACATGATCACACAAAAATTGCTTTTATAAATTCATTCTTCACAAACCTTATCATGATTTACTCAGACACTCGATATGCTTAGCTTTTTTGCTTTGTCCTCTACTTCGTCTTTCTTAAATAACCAGTCATTTGATGTTAGGACAAAAATATGCCACTCAAGATTCTTTCTTATACAAAATTATTCTCTTCCTCTTAAACTTCCTTACCAAAAACATATCTTCACTGTCAAAGTCACCAATAGCCTCCACATTGCCAAATCCAATGATCAATTTCTAATAAGAATTCTTACCTTATTTAATCTCTAAAGTCATTTAACAGAATCTCCTTCCATCTTGAAATATTTTCTTTACTTTGCTTCCAAAAGTCTGCCCTTCGCTTTCTTTCCTTACCCTACTAAAAGCCCCTTCTCAGTTTGTTTTGCTGGTCGCTTCTCTTGTTCTCAATCTCTAAATGTTGGAATGCTCTAGGGCTCAGTTTTATCATCTCTTCTCTATCTACTTTCTTTCCCGATGTGATCTTACCCATCTTATTGTTATAAATATCATCTGTACTGATTATTCCAAAACTGTCTAGTCCCAACCTCTCAACTGAGTTTTAAATCTGTATTTCCAAATACCTGCCAGACAACTCTACTTGAATGACGACTAGGTATCTCAAGCATTTGAACACTCTCATCCACCTTGACCTAATTGACATCTGTAGAACACTTTATCCAACAAATGCAGAATACATATTGAAGGTTAATCTCCTTGGCAAACAAAGAACTTTTATAAATCAAGGGAAAAAATACCAGCAACCCAATAGTAAAATAACCAGAGGAGAGATGGTTCACAGAAAAAAAAATTTAATACCACTCAAAAAAATGCTAATTAAAATCACACTGAGATACTACTTACCTATCAGATTGGCAAAAATTCAAAACTGGATAAAACATTCTCTTGGCAAGGCTGTAGGGAGACAAAATTGCTGGTGGTAGAGCAGAATAAAAGCTCTATAGTGGGGAATCTAGCCATATATAACAAAATTACAAATGCACTTGTCATCCTATCTTGTAATTTCACCATTACTAGGCAAGTAAAGGCTGGGCCCTTTGCTGCATGATTTATAGCAAAGTTTGGCAAATTTCAGCCAGTGGGCCAAATCCAGTTTGCTGCCTGGATAAATAAAGCTTATTAGAATTCAGCCATGTCCATTCATTTCCATATGGCCTATGGCTGCTCTCCCTCTATACAGTAGAATTGAGTAGCCTTAAAAAAGACCATAGAGCCTGAAAGCCTAAAATCTTTACTATCTGGCCCTGCACATACACATACACACACATACACACACACACACACACACACACACACACACACACACACACACACACACACACGTTCACCTACCCCTTCTTTAGAGTGAATTCCTAATTTCTAAATCTTCTTTCTAAGTCTCCCCACTGATAGCGAGACTAGCTGGAGTCAGCAGTGCCATCTGGGCAGGGTGCCCCAACTTGGAACTGATCCTGTATGGTCTCCAGTTGGCAGAAGCTCCTACCTTACAGTTTTGTAAGTTGCCATCCAAAGCCTGAGACTGGCCAGTGGGCTGGCAGTTGGCCCAGTTTCTGTTTTTCCCCTTGTTTGAGGTCCACCAGAGACCAGAGACTCATGCCTATGGGGTAGTTCCAGGATTCTATGGCCAGCCCTAGTTCCAGAAAGGCATTTTGATGAGTTGATTGCTCTTACTGACCAAAATGACATGTTGATTTTGTGTGACTTTCATGTCAGACACAGGGGAAGTTGAGAGCTCTGGGCCACTAACTGTCCATAGTTAACCCTTGGACTCAAGCCGTAGCTGTCTTATATCAGCATTCTGGCTGCAGCGTTGCCTCCCGTCTAGAGCATTAAAGTATGACACGGTGGTAGCAGTCACCCTTTACCCTGTGCATACTTCATCACTTGCACTTAGGGAGGTTTCCCAACCCCCTTTGCTGGCTCTAGAACACATGTCAGGCAGTTCTCTAGGGATGGCTGTCCCTTTCTCTCCCAAAGGTATTCAAGACCACTGCTCCACAGCCGGCCCTTTCAATTGGTGTCCTTCTTGCCTACCGTCAATGTGGTGATGTCGATGTGGTACCATTTCAATACAAATAGGTTCTGAAGAGCCCTGGCATTGCAACCAGTAACAATATTGTTAACTTTTCCTTGCAGTGGGAGATATGAAATTAGCCAGGAATAACATATTTGACAATAAAGAAAAAACACAAAAAGATGGTACCTGGACACTATGAAGAATCTTCATCTGTACTTACTGGACAGTAGCCAAATGTGTAAGTACCTCTTTTCTATCCATTACACTAAATCTTCATTGATAAATCACTAAGCTTCAAATGGGTTCAAGGATTTTGCAACAACAGTTTAAAGCCAAATGGCGTAAGACGGCAGTGGCCCTGCAAAGAATATTTGCCTGGAGCTCCACACATCCTAGGAGCCGCCTGGCATCCAACTTTTTGAAATCGATTCTACAGATATTCGCAGACATATATGTCATGACGTACTTCAAGATTATTATAGCTTTGTTTGTAATAGTAAAAGATAAGACAACAACTCAGGGCTCCTAGTGGAATAAATTATGGTGCATCCATACAATGGAACATTATGCAACTGAGAGACAGAAGGAATAGGAAATATCTTTACAGATTTATATGGTAAGATCTCCAGGATACATAGTAAGGTGAAAAAAGCAAGGCATGGAACAGTGTATAAAATATCCTTCCTTTTTGTAAGGTTGTGAGAAACAGGATATTTCTCTCATTGGGAAATAAACATTTGGGCAAGAAACACTGGAAGAAAAATCAGGAAACTGAGAAAAACGGTTACCTATAGAGGACAAGGCATAATAAGCTGAAAGGGAATAGGGATGAGGACAAGACTGGTCAGTGTATACTTTATAGATCATTTTCATTTTTGAATGATGTATGTGTATCTCAAAAAATCATTTAGAACTTTTATTTTTAAAGAAAATTTATTTTTAAGGAAAAATATATTCTTTGCCCTATTGACATACCATTGTAGAAATCGGTCCTAAGGTAATAATCACAATATACATTGCAGCAATTTTCAGCTTTACATTTTTCATTTGAAAACAGACTTAAGCTGGGACTGGTGGCCCATGCCTGTAATCCCAACACTTTGGGAGGCCAAGTGAGAGGATCTCTTGAGTCCAGGCATTCAAGACCAGCCTGGGCAACACAGCGAGACCCCATCCCTAAAAAAAAAATTTAGCCATGCATGGTGGCATGCACCTGTAGTCCCTGCTACTTGGGAGGCTGAGGCAGGAAGATCACTTGAGCCTAGGAATTTGATGTTATAATGAGATATGATTGCACCACTGCACTCCATCCAGCCTGCGCAACAGAGCAAGATCCTGTCTCAAAAAATAAACAAACAAAACAGGCATAAACTTCAAAAAAATTGGTACTATATATTATAGTCAGCAAATTTATATTTTAAAGCTCATTTGATGAGTTAGGAAAATATTTATAAAATAATGTGTGAAAAATACTGAGTACAAAACTTTATCTGGAATGACACTAATTTTTTAAGACACCAAAATATTTTAAATGTTTTGCTCTGGATGATGTGATTATGGATTTTTTTTCTTTTTAAAACTCTTTTGTGCTGAACAAATTTTCAAAAATGAACCTGTTACTTTTATATTTATTTTTTGAATTACTTAATAATTATTACTTTTCTAGACAATAGATCCCCAGCTCAAATAGTAGTTAACTATTGTTTTGGGTCTTAAAAAATAAAAAAAGATTGATTTTTGTCCTGTTTAGTAATGAGTACCTAATGTTTTAAAAAAATGAACATCCTTTTTATTCTTACAGATGAGAGAAAACATTCTGTAGAAATGGAACGTTTTAGTACTTAAAGACACTGGGGTATTATTAGTAGGAAGAAATAGTGAATAAATATGGGCCTAGAAGAATAACATTTTTCTCCCTATCATCTGTTCTTTAGGCAAGTGATAATGTTATGCTAACATAGGCTTCTGACTTCTGGTAATTCCCACAGACAGCCTTCTCTGGTCCTTCTCCCAGATCACACACCAAATTCCGCGGGTTTGGCACAAAACCATTCATGTCTGGCTTACTACAAATCCATGCTGTCCAGCTCCACGAACTTGCCCAGAGGGCAGTTTCAGAGCTTCTCTCTTCCCACTCTTTCTCCTCCACTGCCCTCAGCAGGTGGTTCTGACTCCAGGGAGAAGGCTGAGGCCTCTGGATAAGCTTCCTCAGTAACTCCTTGTCCCTGCCTTGACATGCCCATATTGTTTCAAGCTCACCCTTCAACCCATCCATTTCTACCACATTTCCTCTCTTTAGCACCAGTGGCCCACTTCTCTGCTCCATCATATGCACAAGACTTCCTTGGAAGGGAAAGCCTCCATCTGACCTTACCAACACCATTCTACTCTTCTCCTCTTTAATTGTCAACTCTTGCACAAGAAGAGACTCCTGCCTCTTCTTCCTGGCCATTGCCTCTCTGCTTAGCACCCGACAGCCATGGCACAACTTAACTGCAAGGGAAGCTCAGAAATGTGGTCTTCCTGTGTGCCCAGGAAGAGGAAGAAGAAATGAAATTGAGTTTAACACATAGCATTTGTCTCCACTGCAGGACTTAAGACATTTTATTCGGATATTCAAGGAAGACATCACCCAGGAGGCTGAAGGGCTTGAGGCTATTTGAGAAACAGAAGAAAGAGAAACCCATGCAGCTAACAGACTCAGTCACTAAGTCACAATTCCAACTCCTCCTGGCAGAAAATCTAATGACTCATCTTTGGCTCTGGCTTCTGATCTGCTGTGGCCAAGTTAAGGAGCAGATATCACATGGTGATTGGACTGCCTCTTCCAGTGCCGTGAGTCCTCTCACAGAGAGGAGTAAGCGGAGAAAGAATGATTGGCACCTCTAGAGTACGCACCAAGCCAATCTGCAGATCACAGGGAAGGTGACCTGAAGGTTATTTTATGAACTGCTCAAGATAGAACAGAAACAACTTTGCCTTACACTTTACACATTACTTATCCAGGCACTTTCGGGAAAGTAAAAGTTGCAAAGTAAAGTTATATAACATAGAGTAAAATCCTAAAAGGTAGTCTACACACACACACACCACACACACACACACACAGAGAATGAATGCATGGAAAATATGTGGAAAGTGTTTCCTCAATGAATGACTTTTAAACTAATACCTCTCTTCTAGATTAAGACATGAAATACTCTTAGGTTGAATCCCTTTTCACCCTCAGATCAAAATGTCAGTGTCAATAGGCCAAAACCAGAGACTAGACTCAGCTCTAGACGTTTTGTGGGAATAAGAAGTAATGGATTCACCTGAATCTTGGTGAAGTCACCTGTATTCCATGAGTAACTCTGGGCCCAGGGTTGGGCAGATAGTAAAGTCCCATTTTAGGTTCAGCCTGCTTCAGGGCAGTGGTAAAACTAAAGTCTTTAAAAGCTGATTTCCAAAAGATCTTTTGCCTAAAGGCAGTAGTCAGGTAGTTTTGGGACGTAGTCTCTTTTGCCTTGACTTTCTATTTCTCTTAGTGAATTAACAGTTGATGTTTATATCATTCATTGGCATATTACTGTCATCCATGTAATTGTATGTGTCTGTGTCATGAAATTTGGACTTTATGCACACAATGATGTGCATCATATAAATCACCAGGAAGGTAAGTTAAGCTAAGTACTGCCTGGGATTTGTTACACAGTTCCTTTTGAAAGGACACCATCTGAATATGAGATTCTGTTGCTGCAGCTATAAATTAATATGTATGATGCAGGCATTGCAAAGTGTTTTTTAAGAAATTATTACTTGTGTTTTCATTGTTTGCCTTAATAGATTCTGCTTATAGCATTTCAGAAGTTGAATGTAACAGAAACATGAAATGCCTGTTTATAGAGTGGATAGGTCGTGATAGATGCTAATTGGATTTGGCATACTCTTGTGATTTCATATGGCTTAATATTAAAGAGACAGGTTTTATAGGGCGCCAATGCAAGTTGATCTAGGCCATGAGTGAAGTTAACAAGCGTTAATTAAGTGCCACGTGTGAAACCACTTCTGTTCTTAACACCGAGAGGACTCCAAAAGGATAAAATACGGTACTCCCAATGTTCATGGTAAATGATATGTGAGAGGGCCAAAGATTTATATATGAGAAAATTTATATCAGTTGTTGATAAGAGTGAAAATCATAAACAAACTAAATGTCCGGCAACAGAGAAATGGTTAAAAAACTATGGTACATAAAATTTGCAAAATAGGTATCATCATGCACAATCATCTTTTCCAAAAACATTTAATGACATGGGGGAAATTTTCCCAATATAATGGAAGTGAAAGAAGGCATGGCATATGCAGAGAAAGAGAGAATGCATAGAATATATGTGGAAAGTGTTTGCTCAAACAATGAGTGATTTTTAAACTAATACATCTCTTCCAGATTGTTTAGGAAATGAAATACTCTTAGATTGAATCCCCTTTTCACCCTCAGATCAAAAGGGCAGTGTCTATAGGCCAAAACCAGAGACCAGATACAGCTCCAGACCTTTGGTGAGAATGAAAAGTAATGGATTCACTTGAGTTTGCTGTGGACTGTCCTCCACCATCTCCCACCCAGGTATTTGAGAGAAGCAAAGAAAGTCACATAGGTTTATCAGTTTTCCTAAGTCAAAACAGAGAAACTGTGATACAACTCAGGGAGGAATAAGTGAATCCTCACAAAGCTCAGGTATATACTTTCAGACCCTATTTTGGAGAAAACAGCATCAGAGCTCACCCTTATCCAGACCCTTTCCAGCTCAACTCCCCGCCGCAAGCTAGAGGCCTCCTTCACTGAGACCGCGCTCGCTGCTGCCCCTGATGGCGTCAACAGAAACTGCGAGGCCAGTGGCCACGGAGAATCCACAGGTCGTGGAATTGAGGAGCACGTCGTCGTGAGCTATTTCTGCAGGAGCGAGTGGTAGTGTGCCCAAGGGAAAGGAAGAGGTTGGGGACACTAAGGGGAGAAGGCAGAAGTGGGAATAAGTAGGGTATAAGCGAGGGCTGCCTAGCACAGCGCTGAGGGCTTAGCCAGTGTTTCACACTCGCACATTAGAGTCACCTGAATCCCTAAAAGAAACATAGATGGCTCCACCCCACTTCAGATTAATTGAGTCAGCTGTGGGGCCTGGGCACCTCAGGGCCATAGTACAGAAGGAGAGAGCAGTGCGGTACAAGTTCAGTAAGTCAGGGACACGGCTGATCAGCTCCTGCCACCTCCCCGATTCAGCTTCCTGACAGCCCCTGGGGGATTGATTAAAGGACTTTCCATCCTCTTTGGGGGCGCCGTGTATGCCTGCTTCAGCAAAAGGGCCGGTGGGGAGGCTGGCCTCCCGTCCTACATTCACTGAACGACAGCAGCCCCTCACCTGAACACGGAGGGACATCCCTCTTCCCCTAAGGTGGCTTGAGACATGCTCTGGGGACAGAAATAAGAAGGGACTCCCAAAGGGCCCACACTGACTTTGAAGTGGAAGACTCGGGATGGGGCTCAGAAGAATGAAATATGCATTAAAAAAAAAAAAAAAAAAAAAAAAAATATATATATATATATATATATATACAATAAAATATATCTTGTATACATTTTATTGTCTGTATATCGTGATGTTTTGACTTCTTAAAAACCCATAAGAATGATACAATGGACTGTGGGGACTCCGGGGGAAAGGGTGGGAAGGGTGAGGGATAAAAGGCTACAAATTGGGTATAATGTATACTGCTTGAGTGATGAGTGCACCAAAATCTCACAAATCATCACTTAAGAACTTACTCAACTGGGCGAGGTGGCTCACGCTTGTAATCCCAGCACTTTGGGGGACCGAGGCGGATGGATCACCTGAGGTCAGGAGTTCGAGACCAGCCTGGCCAACATGGGGAAACCCCGTCTCTAATAAAAATACAAAAATAAGCCGGGCGTGGTGACGTGTGCCTGTAATCCCAGCTGCTTGGGAGACTGAGGCAGGAGAATCGCTCAAACCCAGAAGGCGGAGGTTGCAGTGAGCCGAGATCGCGCCACTGCACTCCAGCCTGGGCGACAGAGTGAGACTCTGTCTCAAAAAAAAAAAAAAAAAAAAAAAAACAACAACAACAACAAAACAAGTAACCAAATACCACCGGTTCCCCAAAAACCTATGGAATTTTTTTTTTAAAAAAGAAAAGAGGAAGGAACGCTGTCCAATTGCTTTATTTGGCAAAAATAAATAAATAAATAAAATAAACAAGTTCTTGTCCTATTAAAAAAAAACAACAGAGGAGATTCAAACAAAAAATCCTTCTGGGCTGGAGACAGGCTACTCTCTGGGGCTAGCCAATTCTTAGGGAAAGCAAAGGACTCAGCTGGGAGCATGTCTTTGATATGCCAACTAGCCACTCCAGAGCCACACCTCCTTCATCTGGCCTATACTTCCCAGGAGACAGTATTCCTTGGCTTTAGTCACCCCAGGGCCAGGTACTGGGCAACCAGGGACCACTCCTATAGTTTAGAGCCCACCAAAATTATTCAAACTAGCCAGTTCTAAACAGTTCAGCCTGCCCTTCCCAGGAAACCCCTGTAACCTCTGGCCTAGACTTTCCCCTTGCCCCTGCTTTCTGCCCCTTGATCATCCCATGTGGCTTCCCCATGTGACCCTGCAGGAGTGCCACACTTCCTGTTTCCAGAATCTGTGAATACAATAAACTGTTTTTTTCCTGAGCCTCTCCTGTGTCCTCTTGTGGCCACATCTGACTGACCATCACATAAAAGAACACAGAACAAAATATACATGTAATATGTAACTGCGTTTTTAAGAGATTGGAAGGAAATGTTCATTATCTTACAGTGAGATTTTAGATTATTTTCTCTTTATGCTTCTCTTTCTCAAATTGTCTGCAATGAACATGTATTATTTTTGTATTATTATTATTATTTTGAGATGGATTCCTGCTCTGTCCCCCAGGCTGGAGTTCAATGGCGTTATCTCGGCTCACTGTAACCTCTGTCTCCTGGGTTCAAGCGATTCTCCAGCCTCAGCCTCCTGAGTAGCTGGAATTACAGGCATGCACCACCACACCCAGGTAATTTTTGTATTTTTTTAATGGAGACATGGTTTCACCTTGTTGGCCAGGCTGGTCTTGAATTCCTGACCTCAGGTGATCCACCTGCCTTGGTCTCCCAAAGTGTTAGGATTACAGGCATGAACCACTGTGCTCAGCCTATTTTTGTATTTTTTAAAAAGCTGTGTGTCCTAGAAGAGAAAGAAACGTGCCAAAAGTGTGTTCTAAATGAGATTTTCAAATGAAGTTGGCTGTAGCGTTTACGACAGGGGATGTCAGGTTTACTTGTGGCACCCTCATTGCCCAGGCTACTGTCTATCACTATCATTAGTGATAAAACCATGTTGATTGATATCATCACAGGATAGTGATTTAAGGATTTAATGCATCCTTTTAAGGCGATTTTGGTGAGCAAGTGATCCTCTATATGACACCGCCAGAAGCATACAGGACGAGAGTTCTTCATTGCATTTCCCAGGCTTCCAAAACGTCTGCAGACATATATTGGGCAAATTATATTCTAACTTGTTCTATCAACTGTTACCCAGCTTGATATCTCCCTAAGACCTAGTGTGCAACAAAATATAGTAAATACAACTTCAATTGTGATGTTATGTCTGGCTACTGATCAGATTATTGGACTATACTATTTTTGGACCCAAACAAATCAACCACAACCTTTGAAATGCACCATAAGAAGTAAGATAGTGCCCTTGAGAATATTAACAGTAGGTGCCCCTGAAAGTAAAGGGCCAAATATAGGGACATTTCAAGCCCAGTCGACCAGGTAGATGGGGGTGACTTGTTCAGCTGAGGAAGACCTTGGCTCCTGGAACTACTAAATTCCAATGATAAATATCTTTCTTTAAGGGCATTTGAAGGATACAAGCCTATGTATTTTTATTTAGTATATCTTTCTGCCAACTTTTTTAAAAAAAGTATTATTTTAGAGACAGGATCTCTCTCTGTTGCCCAGGCTGGTCTCCAACTCCTGGCCTCATGTGAGCCTCCTGCCTCAGCCTCCCAAAGCCCTGGAATTACAGGTGTGAGCCACTGTGTCTGGCCCCCTCTTTCAGTCAATTTTTTGTTGGGTAAACTGAATGCTTAATTCACTATACCCAACAAAATTTATGTTTATGTTTATACAATTATGTATTAATTTTGTGTTGCCTTGGCATCCATTTTAAATACATTAGACTTTCTCATACCAGAAGCAGGGCTCAGTCATTCCTGACACTATTTCCAGTCCAACTCCCTGCCGAGTTCCTCAATGTGCCCCATCCAGATATCTGCCTTATACAACTGCTCCCTAGTGACCACTTCCCCATGGGACAGCTAGATGCAGCCTGCTTGACTGGCCCCACTCACTCTTACACCCCACAGAGACTGTGCAGATCTGCCATAGTGACCATGTATCAGTTATTGTGTGACCTGGAACTTGTGCCTGCTTGGTTTAAACCCAATTAAAACTCCGTGCAGGAAACCTGTTTGGATAATGCCCAATACCCAATAAAGGCATTGGCCCATGGGTCTCTTTTTTCTCTCCCTGCCTGTGCTGTCTGACCTCCCTGTGTGGCCTCTAGGCATGCCATGTCCCGCCCAAGGACCTGTAAGTAATACAGTCTTTATTTCCATCTTGTAGTTCTCCTAATCATTGAAGGATGCTCTCATCTTAAAGATCCTAAATCAAAGAAATGGGGAAACACCAATAGGGTTAATTTTGAGTTTCAATTCAAGCATATTATGAAGTATTCCACATGAGGAAGAATTTTAGACTTCTTGGTCGTTTATCCAGAGGCTAAATTCAGATTAAGAAGCTTTATTAAGCCCCAATTATGAATGTGGCCAAAGGAAAAATGTGGTTAGTGGCCTCAGAGGAATCAGCACATTAACCATCTTGCAGAAATTTAAAACAATTCTGTCTGGGTTAATGGATACAATTAACACCAATAGACACCGTATGTAAGTAACTGAGGCTATTTAACGCAGTTATTGACTATACAAATCTCTGCACTGTGGATTAAGCAGTCTCACAATTCGTTAGAGAACGTAATTAGCAAGACTTTATTAAATGTCATTATTGGCTCCAGAGCAGATTTGTATGAGAAACACCTAGGTAGGTAGTTTTCTGAGAAGAATGCTTAAATGACCATCATTTCAATGCTTGGTTTTAAGTGGGTAAATATGTATCTTCAAATACAAATTGTTTACTAAATTCAACTTAAATTTCAGCGTATCCTTTCTCCCCACTTCTCTCCAATCTTCACTGGCCTTCATTTCTCCCACCACATTAAATGGACTTTTCTGCCCAGCCAACAAGGTCCTTCATAATCTCCCTACTACCCTCATTTCACTTTGATGTGTGTTTTTGCCAGTGTTAGGGCTGGCCTCCTCGTTATCTATTTTATCCAGTGAGCTCATTTCCTCCTTATCTCCCAGCTCCTCAATGGCTGACTCCTGTCAATCGTCGCCGAAGAATCATTTATTGAGAAAAAGGGAGTCAGAAGTAAGTAAGCCTATGGTAGAAAGAAGAAAGGATGCATATTTGAATCTGTAATGAGGCTGCCATGGCATGAGTGTGTCCCCTAAAGTTCATGTGCTGGAAACTTAATCCCTAATGCAACCATGTTGGGAGGTGGGGCCTAATGAAAGGTGATGAGGTCATGAGGGCTCTGGTCTCGTAAGTAGATTAATGTTGTTATTGTGGGAATGGGCTAGTTCTTGAGTGGGTTGTCACAAAAGCGAGTTTGGCTCCCACTCATTCTCATCTCTTTCCTCTTTTGCCCCTCCACCTTCCACCATGGGATGACACAGCATGAAGGCCCTTGCCAGATGCCAGTGCCATGCTCCCAGACTCCAGAACTGTAAACCCAGCTCTCCAGGTGATTCTGAGAGTTACAGGAGCCAGACATTTATCATTGGAGTTTAGTAGTTCCAGGAATTTAGCAGTTCCAGGCCAGGTCAATAACCACTCCTTAAGAGTGGTTATTAACTTCTCAAACTTTGATGTGCATGTAAGTCACTGGGGGATTTTGTTACAGATTCTGGTTCAGTGGGCCTGGGGTGAGGCCTGACATTCTCAAACTTTTTCATTTCAAAAAAGTTCTCAGGTGATGCTTATGTTGCTGGTCTGTGGACCACAGAATGAATAGCAAGGCTGGAATGGGAAAGGTAGAAAAGGACACATAGACTGAAATCATTTTGCATCCAAAAAGAAGTTCAGATAAAGCACAATTGCTATTATACTGAGTTTGTGCAGAATAGGATGTTAATGATGATGATAATGACAATGCTAGGCTGGATAAATATAATTCAGGTTTCCCCAGACCTCACCAACCTGCGTACAAATAAGGTCTTATGTTCACAATATGTTTACAGTAAGTACTCAGATTTATCCTGCTCATTAGTCTATTTGCATATCACAGAAACACTAGCTCCCTCTCTTTAAGCCTCACCCAATTATTTCTAGGAGTCCCTGGGGGTCTCTCACTTCACTTTGGCAAGAGTTGTCCTCTCAGGGTCTTCAGCTCAGGATCCCCTTTGTTCATGCTCAAAGCTCAAGACACTGTTTGGGTAGGGGCTTTACTCCTGTTGGTGCCATTCCTGCCCTGACAGCCCTGGTGTCTACTCCTAAGGCACTGTCTCCCAGGATCCCAAAGCTGCAGAAACTTGAGAGGCCAGAACAGGGCTTTATCCTTGAATTGAAGCCATGGAATGTTGCACATAGCAGAGGGCAATAGCTTTTCAGCAGCATTTTATGCTGAAGCAGCCCCACTTGCTCCCTGCTGTGTCTGCCTGAGTTCCCTGGGAAACGACATCAGATTCTACCTGCAGCCTGTGTCCAGACCATACCTATAGGCTGGCAAATGAACAGATATCATATCTGTCTCAGTACAAGAGGAAGCATACAGATAGACTCCAAACTGAAAAATCTGTCTCCCGGAATTGAGTTTCTTACCAAAGAAGTGTAAAAATAGGGGCAAGATGGCCAGTGCTTATGCCCATTTGCATAGAAGTTATCTGGGATTACTTTTTGTTGCACTCTTTAATTGGTTCACTGTTCTTGGAGGTCATGCCATTGTTTGTCTTCAAGTTATTTTTCCTTTTGCTGCAGTAAATCCTTAATTTACTTTTTCAGAAAGTGTATATACTTACCTATATATATGTGTGTATCTATATATAACCTATATGCAAACATGCATATATAACCTATATATGCATGTTATAACATGTTATATAACCTGTATATGCATGTTATATATAACCTATAAACATGCATAACTTATATAACAAACATGCTTGCACACACATGCATGTTTGAAGATAGGTTTTTGTATATCTAAGTTTTTACATGTGTGAAAATGTATTATATCCCTCTAATACTTGATTAATATTTTGGGTAATTTTCCATTTAAAATTATGTTTCTTCAGAACTTTGAAGGCATTTCTTTACTGCTTTCTAGAATTCACTGTCACTAATGAAAGAAAATAGTGGTTAAGAGTACTAAGCCAGACTGCTGGGTTTGAGTCTCAGTTCTGCCACTCACAAGGTATGTATCCATGGGTAAGTTCCTTGATATTTTCATCTGAAAAATGGTAATAATAAGAGTAGCTACCTTGTAGGACTGTAGTGAGGTTGAAATTAACCAATATAGGTCAAGTGCTGAAAACAGCTGATCGCACATAGTAAGCCTATTAAAATGTTAGCTTATTAACATTTATTATTAAAACGTTAGATCATTTTCCTCCTTTGCTCAAAGCAAAGTGGCTCCCTTCTCTTTCATCTTTATATTTATCCTCCATGTTCCAAAACATCATGGTACTATAGCTATGTGGGTCATTTTGCACTCATTGAGCTTGGAACTTAGGAAACTTTTTTGAATATCTTCCTTTAGTTCTGGGATTAAAAAAAAAAAAAAACGTTTCATGCTTTTTATTCTCTTTTCCTTTCTAGGATGTCTTAGTTAAATTTGGACCCTCTTGGATTGATCTTATGTATTTCTTATTTTTTTCCCCTCAGATTTTCCATTTCTTTGGGGTGTTTTTGTTGTTGTTGTTCTATATTCTGGGAGATGTTTTCATCTATTTATTTCACCCAATGTATTACATTCTTCATTTATGCATTTATATCTTTAATTTTTCACAACCTACTTCTTGTTTTTTGCTTCTTTTTGTTAGTACTTTGAATGGATGGATATGATATCGATCCATATCTTTGTGGCTCTTAATTAGATTCGTTTTATGATCTTCATTTTCTCCTAAGTTATCTCAGTTCCTCCCAGAATGTGATGAACAAAAGTCACTTATAGATGCTTGAAATCTTTGAGCACTCTCCCCATATTTTGATACCTTTTCATAATATTAATTTCATCTTCTCATAGACATTACAAATATTACATTTCCCATCTCCTTGTAATTAGAATATAGACTTTGATTCAGCCAACCAGCATAGGCTCTTTTGAGAGCTTTGATTCTAAAGTTAGTTGCAAGAAGAACGTGCTAGGACACCTGGCGCCTATTTTGCTGGCACTGGGGGAAGGCAGAGGTGCAACATTTTTGGAGTCCATAGCAGCAGTGGCCGCAGCAGATCTCTTCTCAGACCAGTCCTGGAGTATGGTTCAGGGAGATGTTCCTGGAGACTCAGCCTGAGATGATTCCTCCAGTCCTTTCAAAGATTATCCAATAATAAATACATTCCCCATGATGGCTTTCCAGCCTGGACTTATCCCTCAGATTCCAGATTTTTTCCAACTGCCTATATGACCTTGCCACATGGATATGCAGTGAACCACACCACCTGGCATTTGTGCCCATGTGTAATCCTCTTTCCTTGAGTGTGGGCTCGCTGGGCATGTTAACTCACTCCTAATTAATAGAATAGGGTAGATGTGATGGATGTCACTCCAAGATTACGTTATAAAAGGACTGTGCCTTTCATCTTGGGCACTCACTCTCTCTAGCCCTTTCTTGGATGACTCAACCTGAGAAAAGCCAACTCTCATATTATAAGGTAGCCCTGCAGAGCGGCCTCTGTGGTGAGGGACCAATGCCTCCCAAAAACCATGTGAGTTAGAGGGGAAGCAGATCCCTCACTCTCAGTCAAACTTTCCAATGAGACCACAGCCCAAGCCCCAGTGACTCCAAGAGAGACTTTGGGCCACAGATACTCAGCTAAACTGCACTCAAGATCAAACTCACAGAAGCTGTGAGATAATAAATGTTTGGGGTTTTTCAGCCACTGAGTGTTATTTTGCAGCAACAGATAATGAATATAGGTGTCATAAATTTAACTTGTCTAGAACCGAACTCCTGATCTTCAAGTCTGCCCTCAACACGCTCCTCTCATAGTCTTTCCTAAAAAAAAAGAAAATAGTGGTTAAGAGTACTAAGCCAAGCTACTGAGTTTGAGTCTCAGTTCTGCCACTCACTAGGTGTATATCCGTGGGTAAGTTCCTTGATATTTTAATCTGAAAAATGCTAATAAGACTAGCTAACTTATAGGACTATTGTGAGGTTGAAATTAATGAATATATGTTGAGTGCTTAAAACAGTTGATCACGCATAGTAAGTACTATAAAAGTTTTAGCTATTTTTCTTAGTTTCATCATTATCTTTATATTTATCTTACTCTATCCTTCTAGTTGCTGAGGCCAAAAACTTGGAAGCCATCCTTTACCTTTCTTCCTCTCTCATAACTGATGCCAAACCACCAGCAAATCCAATTATATCTTTAAAATGTCTCTAAAATTTGATCATTTTTCATCACCTCTACTACTACTACCCTGTACCAAATCACTGTCACTTCTGGTATGGATTATTGCAATAGCCACCTCACTGGTCTCCTGTCTTCCATTTTGACCCTCTAGAGCCTTTTCCGCACACAGCCAAAGTGATCTGTGTAAAATCAGATCATTTTACTCCTTTGCTCAAAGCTCTCCAGTGGCTCCCCTCTCTTTCATAGTAAAGACAGTCTCTTGAAGGGCTTTATGTGGCCTTACCTTACCTCCTACTATGCTTCCCTGTGCTATCTTCCCAAGTTACACTGCTACCCTGCTGCTCCTCAAATACACAAAGCCTGCTGTCATCTCAGGGCCTCTGCACTGGCCATTCTTCACCCAGAAGGCCTGATTGCACTTGACTGAAAGGAAGGGGTCATGTCCAATCTATTCGTTGCTGTACCACCAACACCTGAAAAAGTACCTGGTTCATTGTAGGCCTTTAAATATTTGTTGAATAAATGTATAAACCCAGGTAGAGTAGACACTTCACTCTGCAGCTAAAAACCCAGATTGATATGTAGCATTCATTGTTTTCTTTGTTCCCCTAAATTTTTCTCCTTTGTGAAGTAGCTTTTCCTTGAATGTCTTATGGTATTAGTGATAGTGAAAGGAAGCAGACAGATTTCTCAGCAGACAGGGATAGGTCCCTGGTGAAACCCAACTTTCAAGCCAAAAATAGCTTAAAGTCTAAAAACTGAGCTGCCAGTTCCAGGTAGAGTCCACAACTGGAGTGAGAACTTCCTCAATGCCTTTTAGCCAATCAAATGGTGCTTTTTCCAGGCCTGCCCATGGACTATCAGTACACACTCTCCCATTCTGAGCCCATAAAAACCCCGGACTCAGCCACACATTGGGCTACCTGCTTTTGGGCCCCCTCTTGTTGTCAAGAGCTTTTCTGTCACTCAGTAAAATTCTTCCCTGCCTTGCTCACTCTCTGGTGTCCACATAACCTCATTCTTCTTGGTCATAGGACAAGAACCTGGAATCTGCTGAATGTTGGGGCAAAAAGAGCTGTAACACTGTAATTCTCCCTCCTGCTTACCAAGCAACTGGGGAGTAAAAGACACTGGGCACCACACACGCCCATTCACCACACTGCAGGCAGCAGGAACGAATGAGCTGTAACACAAATGAGCTATAACACATCCCCCATTTGCCGCACACTGCAGGAGGCGGGGACAAGAGAGGGCTGTAACACTTCTTGGGGGCTCAAACCTTGAGACTCCCCAGGTGAGAGCCATAATGCCCTTTGGGGCTCAGTGGTTACCGGCATCTCTGAGTTTCTGGGTGCCACCACATTCCCCTCATCCAGATGCTGGTGCCCAAGGCAGAAGCAGGTCACGGCACAACTGGCTCAGCTGCAGGCTGAGCACAGATCCTGAGGTGGGTGCAGGATCCAGGACAGGGCACAAGCCAAGCATAGCCTGTCAAGCCAAGTGGGCAGAGTGAGCCCAGTGTCAAACCAAGGGCCAAGGAAAGCCTGGGCAGGGGCACCATTGGCCATGGAAATTTCTGGCTGGCAAAGCAGCACTGAAAGGATCCTGTGTCAGTAGGTTCATTCACTTAGGTCATTGGCATGATTTTCTCTGTCTTTACTGGCCTCTCTTTTTGCCTGATATGGTTGACTATATAATGTGGGTGTTTTTCTGTGTGTGGTGTGTGTGTGTGTTTGTGTTTAGGGGTGTAGGGCATATCCAATGGTGGGCATCACTAAAAGCTTTCATGAAAACATGTCCAGGTTAGGAACAAGCAGACATACTTTCTCTTCCAAATGTTCAATGGGGATGGCTTTCCCTACTTTGAGAACTCAACCACTACTAGAGGAACCCTAAATTCTAGTTCAACTTTTTAGAGGATGTTTATTTGGTTTAAGCCTGGGGGCAAATGCCACCATCACTCATAGGGGTAAGGGAAGCAGGTACTTGATGTTTTTCTGCAATTTCTATCAACGTCTGCTCTTTGTCTGAAATTCGCCCATTGTACCTGCTGACTCTGAGGGCACCTGGAGGAAAGAGCTCTCTACAGTATGTCTGGGGATGGGGGCTCATTCCCTGCAATTTCGTGTCACCCCATCCACTTTCCATCCATTGGTAGCCACAATCTAAGAATGCAGATGCCCACTCTCTTTTCTATTCTCAGCAATTTTATGACTTGATTCTATTTCAATCCTGATGCGTTGCTAGGACTAAGAGGTGGTAAACTCAATTGCTCAGTATATCATCTTCAACCTAAAGACACCTCATTATATTGTAATTTTTATGACTTGCCTTCCCCATTATATGGTAGTTTTATTTATCTATTTGTCTTTATTTTCTTTTACCAGAAGGATTTGTTCCTGGCGTTATGAAACTTTGTGATAAGCCTCTTGGTGTGGGCATTTGTTTATTCACTGTGCTGAGCACACAGAGTCCCTCCTTTACTTCTGGGAAAACTTGCACTACTTTTTGATAATTTCCTATTCACTGTTTTATCTTCCTGGAATTCTTATTAGATGGAAATTGTACCTCCTGGGTAGATAAACCACCTCTTCCATCTCTCGTTTTCTATCTGTGTATTTTAAAACATTTTTTCTATGAGATTTCTTCAACTTTATCTCCCTATCCTTCAATTAAATTTATTTTGGCTGTGCTATATTTAATTTCCAAGAGCTCTTTTTATTCTCTATTCTCTATTGCTTATTCTCCTTGTTTCTGGCATTTCTTGTTTTATGTATATAATATCCTGTCTTACCTCTACTTGTTTTTTTTTTTTTTTGTCTGTTTTAATCTTCTGTATTTCCTCTAGATTTATTTTTTGCCTTCGCTTTGTGCTCTTCCTCTTGCGTTGGTTGGCTTTCCCAAATATTTGGAGATTCCTGGCTGTATGCTTATGTATCGTAAGAGTAAGACCATGCATGGGCTTCATTTGTTGACAAATGGGTTTCACTGTAGAATAATTAGGACAATTGAGCATTTCTATGGTGGTTATTTCTCAGGAGCCTGACTGAAATTTATATTGAAAGAGGCTTATTTCCACATTAAGAAGCAAGGAATCATAGTCAATCACAGAGCAGCAAATATCAGTGATAAAGTAGCATTGTCTAAGCAGGATTGTCCCCCAAGATGGTGAGCTATGCCCTTACCATATATGGCTTTATTATCATCTATTTTGTGACCAAATTGAGGACAAGTATTTTGACTCATTTTGATATTCCTCAGTGTCTCAATAAATGCATGTGGAATGAATGAATTGATAAGCCAAGCCTGGTAGGAATTTACTGTCTGCCCTCCATATTGTGGGTTTGGCACTGGCTGATTCAACCAAGCACAGATCAAAAGTATTTGGGAGAGAAACCCAATATAACAATAACAAAATTTTTAAATACAGTATAACAACTATTTATATAACATGTACATCAATTAAACTAGAGATAATTTAAAATATACAGGAGGATGGGTATAGGTTATATGCAAGTACTATAGTATTTTATATAATGTACTTGAGTATCTCTGGATTTTGGCATCTGTAGGGGTCCTGGAATCAATCCCCCATGAATCCCAAGCAACAACTCTACTTAGACCCTTGCCCAGCACCTCAAATTACATAAACCGAATAATGTTGGCCAACAAACTGCTGATTGTGGCAGAGGCCCCGGCCTAGGCCCTGAGAGATCAGCTCCAGGTGAGGCAGCTCAGACCTCATGTGACTGAGGGAAGGTACACATGTGCCCAGTAGGAAAAGAGTCATGCCTGCCATGTTGTGTTGCTGCTCATTCTTACTAGTGGGGCTGAGCTCATTGTTGGGTCCCTATTGCCAAAACAAGCCATGGAAATAATGGCTCCCAACTACACAGTGATCCCAAACCACTCTTGTGTCTATGTGGTTTAGATGTGTTCCCCTTTTGTATTTTCCACATTAAAGCACGACTGGTCCTATGTCATCCCAGACATTTTGCCATTTAACTATCCTGAAGAGCCACTTGTCATCTGAAAATGTGCCCTCTTGAGATCAATAGTGAACATCGTGTCCTTTTCCATCTGGGAGAGAAACATTATCCACACTCTCTTTCCCTCTCTAAGTCACTTTATCTCCGATTTTTTCTAATGCCAAGATAATTAAAATTTTTAATTGGCTTTCTTAAGACTTTCTGGAAGTAAAAATAGATGATGCCCTTCCCATTTAAGTATGTATTATTCACCTGCATCGTACTAAGTACAATAATGGATAAAGAGAAAAATGCTTCCTTCAGGGCCTTACAATTTAATGGAGGAAAACCACACAAACCTAACTATTATAAGTCTGGTAAGTCCTATATTAGTATTTGCACCTCAAAAACAGTATTTAGGGATAGAGTAAAAGCCAGTGGCTTCTCTGTGACCCTAGCTGGGTATGCACAGAGCTTCTAAATGACCCTCAAATTTATAAGTAAAATTTAAAATCAGGAAAATTACCTTGTGCTTTGCTTTTGTTGCTTCCAATTTGGATTTGTAAATTAACAAATGGAAATTCTAAGTGACAGGCAGGTGTGAAAGAGAACTCAAAGAAACAGCTGCTTTAAGGAATAATATTGAAAACATATAAAAGCTGTTAATAAATAAAAAGATGCCCATATGTGTATTTTAGAAATCCAAAACACTTATTTCCTGGCTTCTTCACAATCCCTAAGTGTAAATAGATGTTTTAAAAATTAACCAAATCTGCCTAGTTTTCTAAAGACCCTCGAGGAAGCATGAGGGATAAGACATAGGTTAATGTAAAATATTAAGTAAGAAATGATAGTATTAAAAAGGGAAGTTGAGCAAACATGAAAGACAGAACTCAGGCTTATAAATGTGTCTAGGACGTAAAACCAAGGTGGGAAAGCAGACCTGATGCAAGTGCAGCTTGAGTAAAACTACCTGGAATCCTTGGGTTCTCAGAATTATCTTGGGGACTTATGGCGATGGGGGATGGAGAAGTTGGAAGGGCTCCATACCCTCTCAATCCTCTTCCCTCACCACCACCAATGACCAAAGCAGCACTGGGTATGCCTTTTTTTCAGATTGGACTTCTGCATAAGATTTCATTTGAACCAAGTGTTTGGAAAAGTTTACACAGATGCTATTGCATCAGCTCAAAAAGCTAGTCAATAAGGTGGGAGATGCACCTGCACAGCAACCTAAATCAATACCAAATCGCAGACACAGAGACTAGAATGCAGGAAAAATGGACAGATCTTGGGAGTCCTGGGAAGAACTCATTAAATAGAATAGGACAAGCAGATCCCAACAGTGTCTAAGGCTTCAAGGGATACACTAGGGCCAAGAAAATCATTAAAGATCCGTATTCTATCCTGAATGGCAATCTTGATTCAGTCACTGGGAGAGAATGACAGAAATCCACATTCAAAAAATTAAAGAATAACATTAATTTAAAAATTGAAGAGTAACATTCTAAGAAAGACAGTTTCTGGTCAATGTTTAGACATCAGAATTAAAGACAGCCTCTTTTAAGGATTTAAAAAGAAAGGAAGCATTGAGAGATGTAAGAAGAAAACAAATCTGGAGTTTACCCCTTAAACTATAGAGAACAGAAAAGGAAGGCTTCGGGGAAAACATACAAAACTAAGAGAAATGGAGTTGTCAGTATCCTTGCAGGGCTGGTCAGGTTGACCTTTCAAGGTCTGATTGGCCTTTTGCTTGACCTTTAACCTAGGCCAGGTTGACCTTTTATGAGCTAATATGAGATATGTCAGAGGTACTGAAATAATTTGTCAACCCCACATCCCACAGCTGCAAGAACTTCCATCAGGGGCAAGGCAGATTTGAATTACATGAAAACCCTTCTGAAAGAGAAATTGTCTAGGACATCCCCAGAGGGCACAGTTAACAAAGAAACATTAATAACTATAAAACAGACAATAAAATATGAGAAGCACAAGATAAAACTAGATTCCTGAAAAGAGCTGATTACTGGGGTTAAGTCACATATACCTGGTCTCCATGGCATTCACGGCAGGGTCTCAGTAATTATTTTTAAATGAATACATCAATGTGCCAGATACTGTGCTAGATACTGAGAATATGGCAGTTACAACACAGACATGGTTTCACAACACAGACATGGAATTTAGAGTCCAGTAGATTGGGAGTGCAGAATGAAGGGAAATCAAGATGCTAAAATTTACTACAGTGGCAATGCAAATAAAAAGAGAAAGCAGGCCATAGCAGCCCTTAAAAATAGACTTAGGAAGTAGTAAAAAGCATAAATATATCAACTTATATTTAAGCCAAAAAGATAAAATCCTCTGGATAAAGAAGAACCAGGCCAGGAGTGGTGGCTCACGCCTGTAATCCCAGCACTTTGGGAGGCCAAGATGGGTGGATCATTTGAGCTCAGGAGTTCAAGACCAGACTGGGCAACATGGTAAAATGCCATCTCTACCAAAAATTAAGAAATTAGCCAGGTGTGGTGGCACATGCCTGTAGTCCCAGCTACTCTGGAGGATTGCCTGAGCTAGGGAGGCTGAAGCCGCAGTGAGCCATGATTGTCCCAGTCTAGGCAATAGAGCAAGACTCTGTCTCAAAAAAAAAAAAAAAAAAAAAAAAGAAGAAGAAGAAGAAGAGATGAGAAGAAGAGGAGGAGGCGGAGGAGGAAGAGGAACCAGTAACAGAATTAAGAACAAAATCTAACAATCTGTTGCTTAAAGAAGACTGAAAAATGAAAGTTACTTGTAAACTAAAAGAGGGGATTAAGCTATGTGAAAAACACAACAGATAATAGCGTACAATTCTACCAAATGTAATGAGGTCCTATAATATAAATACCATAATTCCACTTGCTATATCATCAAGATTGATGAACAGATAGTTTATATACAAGAAAAATCAGACATTTAATTATCTATTGAGAAAATGCACTCCTAGCACTATGAGAAAAAATAACAAATTGAACCATCTTCTAGGCACCATTACTCACGGGTTCAACTAATGAAAATAAATTAGAGTGATAAAGTCCAATGCTAGCAATCAGGAGAAATATGTATTCATACTCCTAGAGGCACTGTAAATGAGTCTTATCTTTCTGGAGACAATCAGGAAATACTGCAATGAGAACTATAAAGTTGTTCATATCCTTTGTTTTGGTAACTCTAAATCTTAAGAAAATATCCTCTAAAGGAAAAAAATCATTTTTAATAATAATGTTCTCATTGGCACTAGGTATAATGTTTTACATAGAAATAATTAGAAAAAGCATTATGAAACATAATATTTAAAACTAGAGAAATAACACTAAACTCTTAGTGTTAAGGGATTAACTAAATAACCATAAGATGTTGGCTTAACTATAGGTATTAAAACAGGCATTTTTCTGCATCCACCTATGACAGGATAAGACAGTCCAGAATTAACTTCCCACAATAAAATACTAGAAAAATGGACAAAATATAGACAATAACAATTTTCAGACACTGAACAACAGGCAGAAATGAACTATGATTCCTTAGAAAAGGGAACAAAGGAGGTAAGGTCCACATTGCCAAGACTTTCTGTCTGAGGTAATTACCAGACTGTGGTTCACAGAAGGAAATTCCATACAGTCTCTCTGAGTCGAGGAGTTAGACTGAAATTCTGAAATGCCTAGGTGGCTAGAATTAGGTGCAGAGCAGGGTACGCAAGTGAAGAGAGCTACACTAAGAAAGAGCATCAGAAATTTGGATAGAGGTCCTTTTGTGTCTTTGAATGAATGCCAGTAAGTGCATGCATAGAGTAAAATCCTACAAGGCCAGAAGAGAACAACTTACAAGGAAAGGACAATTGCTGAGGTGCTATATGAAAAATATTTCCCAGAGGTTACACAATGCCGGGAGTTATTTGAATTGCTTCTAGCAAGTGTAAAAGACCTCATTAAATATTCATGGAATTAAGTGGAACCCTCAGAAAGACCACACCTTACAAATGGGGTTAAATCAGCTCTAGAATAAAGGCTGCTCCAGACCCACTTTAACTGAGTTTAAAAACAAACCTGAAGAGGATCAGTCTAATCCATAAGTAATGTAATTGCCTGCCAGAAAATGTCCAACACCCCTTTAAAGAGTATAGTAAAACCCAGCCTGAAAAATGTAAAATTAAATATCCACCATCAAATTAAAAGTTGCTAGACATACAAAAAGGCAAGAAAATTGGAACAGTAATCAGGAGAAAAATTAGTCAATATAAGCAGACCTAAAAATGATAGTGATGATGGATTAGCAGATAATGACTTTAAAAGATTACACACACACACACACACACACACACTTCCACATTCTCAAGGATATAAAGGACATGTGATCATTATAAGGAAAGAAATGTAACACTTTTAAAGATCCAAATGGAACTTATAGAAATAAAAAATACAACATCTGAAATGAAAATTTCCCTGGGATGGCATTAACCGCAGGATTAAGAATCAGTAAACTTGAAGAAAGAGCAATTAGAAAATATTCAAAATGAAGCACACCAAGAAAACAAAAACTTTAAAAAATGAACAAAGCATTCATGATCAATGGAGCAACATCAAGTGGTCTAACATATAAGTAGAGTCCTAGAAAGAGTGTAGGGGCAGGAAAGAATATTTAGAGAAGTAATGGCCAAGTAATGGCCACACATTTTCAAATTTGATCAAGAATTTTTAGTTAAACAAAAGATGAGATAATTTGCTGCCAGCAGACCTATAATACAAGGAATAAGGAAATTTTTCAGGTTGAAAGAAAATGAGACCAGATGTGTGGAGTTATGCAAAAGAGCAAGGGCCAGAAATGATAAATGTGAAGGTAGATATTAAATTGTCTTTCTCACTTTTTGCATATTTAAAGGATAATTGACAGATAAAGCAAAAATGATAACATTTTATAGTTTGTAACACGTAGAACAAAATATATGACAACAAGGGCAAAAAGAAGGGGAATGGAAGTAATCTGTTGTGGGGTTCTCGTGTTAAATGTGTATATAGCATAAATTTTTAAAGATAGACTGTAATAAGTTTAAATACACATATTATAAATCCAAAGGCAACCACTAAACACAAACCAACAAAGAAATAGCTAATTAGCCAAAAGTAAATGGAAAACTAGAATAATAAAAATACCCAATATAAGCAAAGTAAAGGAAAAAAAGGGAAAAAGGAAGAAAGATAAGAAATAGAAAACAACAAGATAGTAGGTTTAAACCTAACTATATCAATAATTACATTAAATGTAAATAGTCTAAATATTCCAACTAAAAGGAAGAGGTTCTCATATTAGATTTTTTTTTTAAAAAATATCTGGCCAAGTGTGGTGGCTCATGCCTGTAATCTGAGCACTTTGGGAGGCCAAGGTGGGAGGATTGCTTGGAGCCAGGAGTTCAAGACCAGCCTGGATGACATTGCAAGATCCCGCCTCTACAAAAAGTAAAAAATTACTTGGGAAAAGGGTGTGCACCTGTAGTCTGGCTACTTGGGAGGCTGAGGCAGGATGATCTCTTGAGCCCAGGAGTTAGAGGCTGCAGTTAGCTATGATCACACCATGCATTCCAGCCTGGGAGACAGAGTGAGACCCTGTCTCTAAAAATTTTTTTAATTAAATTTAATTTGATTTTAAAAGACCCAAATATAGGTTGTTAACAAAGAAAGCTACTTTAAACATAAATACACAGATAGGTTAAAAGTAAAAGAGAGAAAATGGTATATAATGCAAACACTGAAAAAAGAAAGCTGGCTTAGTATAGTAGTATCAAAGTGGACTTCAGAACAAGGAATACAGCTGGGGAAAAAGAGGGACATTTCATAATAATAAAGGAGTTAATTCATCAAGAAAACATAACTTTAAATGTGTATGCAACTAATTTTTAAAGTTTTAAAATTAAGCAAAAATTGAGAAGAGAAATAGATTAATCCACAATTATAATAGGACATTTTAATACTCCCCTTTTCCAATAATTGATAAATAAATGTTCAGAAAATGAATAAGATATGGAAGACTTGAAGAACATTATCCACCAGCTTGATCCAGTTGACAGTTATAAAACCTTCCATCCAACAATAGCGGAATAAACATAGTTTTAAAGTCCACAGGGAACATATACCAAGATAGATCCTATTCTGGGCCTTAAAACAAGTCTCTATGAAGTTAAAAGGACAAAAATCATACAAAATATGTTATCTGACGACAATGGAATTTAAGTAGAAATAAAATGAAGATATCAAAAAAATTCCCAGCACACTTAATAATCTATGAATTAAATAAATAACTATAAAGAAAACTAGAAAATACTTTAAACTGAATAAAAATGGAAACACAATTTGCCAAAATTTATGGGATGCAGCTAAAGTAGTACTTAGAAGGACAATTTTAGCCTTAAGTGCTTATATTAGTAAAGAAGAAAGGACTCAAATTAATAATCTAAAGTTCTGGCATAAACTAGAAAAAGAAGAACAAATTATTCACAAGGCAAACAGAAGGAAGTAAATAATAAAAATGGGAGCACAAATCAATGAAACCAAAAACAAACAAAAAAAGGCAGAGAAAATCAACAAAACCAAAAGATTGTTCTTAGAAAGAATCAATAAAACTGATAAATTTCCAGCCAGACAATGGAAAAAAGAGAGAAGACATCAACTACCAATATCGGGAATGAAAAACAGAATATAATTACTTATCCAACAGGCATTAAATGTTAATAAGAGAAACTTATAAACAACATTATGCCAATAAATTCAGCAACTTAGATGAAACAGATATATTCCTTCAAATGTATTTTTACCAAAGCTCATTCAAGAAAAATTAGATTACTTAAGTAGCTTACTTAAAATTAATAATTTTATTTATCTATTAAATATTTATCTATTAAATAAAAATAATTTTTAATTAAAAACCTTCCCACAGTGAAAATTCCAGGAGCAGATAGCTTTGCAAGTGAGTTCTACCAGATATTTGAGGAAAAAAACGATACAATTTCTACACAAATTCCTCCAGAAAATAGAAGAGGAAGGAATATTTCCCAAGTTGTATTATGAGGCCGGCATTACCCTCCCATCAAAACCAGACAAAAGCATCACAAGAAAAATATAGGGTGATATTTTCTAGGAACATAGGCGAAAAAATTTAAATAAAATATTAGCAAATTGACCACTTTAATCTGATAAAGGGCATCCACAAAAAACCTACAGCTAGAATCATACTTCATAGTAAAAAACTGAAGCTTTCCTCTTAACCACTTTTATTAAACCTGGTATTGGAAGTCATAGCCAGTGCAATAAAGAAAAACATAAAAGCATACTTGGGGAATTATAATACCTGACTTCAAGGCCTCCTATAAAGCTATAATAATTAAGGCAGTGTGATATTGGCATAGGAACAGGCATATAGATCGACAGAACAGCAGAGAGAGTCCAGAAAGCAGCTCGCATATATGTGATCACTTGATTTTTGACAAAGGCACCAATGTAAAAATAGTACAGCTCTTTCAACAAATGGTAATGGAACAACTGGATATTTATAAGGTCTGAACTATGACCCTTACTTCATATATACAGTACTAACTAAATGGTCATAAACGTAAATGTAAAAGCAAAAATTATGACACTTCTAAAAGAAAACATTGGATAAAATCCTGGAGACTTTAGGTTGGGTAAAGATTTCTTACACAGGACACAAAAAACCCAGCTGTAAAATAAAAATTGATAAATTGGACTTCATCAAAATTTAAAATGTTTGCTCTTTGAAAGACATTAAGAAAATGAAAAGGGCAAACCACAGACTGAGAGAAAATATTTGTAAAACATATTTCTGATAAAGGATTTATGATTTGAATAAACATTTCTCCAAAGAATATATAGGAATGTGTATATAGAATAATCTAAAGTGATACATACATATAAATATGTAATTCATGTATAAACGATGGAAAGAATCAGAAATGGATCACAAAAATGATTTTGAGTTCAATATTCAGTGGAATATATTTAAATAAAGGGTCTTTTTTACATACAAATATTTTAAGGAAAGCTTAAATTCATTTAAATGAATAATGAATAATCCTTGATTTTGGTGCCAAGATACCAAATTTCCAACATTCACCTCATGGCAACACCCCAAGATGTAAGCTCAAAAGGGAAGACTATAGACGTGGGTATATCACATGAATATAATTTTAGAGTTTGCAACATCTCAAAGAGGAAGGTACATTGACTCTCATCTGGCTAATAATTTATAGCTGTAGGTTTATTTCTGGAAGAAGAATAAAGCCTATTCTTTCCTGATGGAGCAGGGAAACGGGAGCAACTCTTGGTTCTGAAGCAATGACAGGCATTGTTCTCCAAAGCACGCAAATGTCTTTTAAAGAAGGAATTGGCATTTGGATCCTGCTGCCGCTGATGGAGACTTGTGTCTCTGGTGAATAAGAATAGTACAACAGAAGATCATCCTGCTGTTTTGCTGTAGTTCGCCTCATCTCAATCACAGATCTAACAAGAGAATTCGCCTGCTTTCATTCTTTTATAATATAGCTGGGATTCTCTATGTCTGCCAGTGAGGCTGAAGTTGATGGATGCTTGCAGCACAGGGGTGCCTGGCTTTGGGCTGAATGCTGTCAGAACACGCAGAGGCTTGTTTGGAAAAATACAGCTCAGGTGTCAGAGTTAGCATTCTGCTATGGCAGACCCACACAAAAAGCAGATTATTCTATTTTATGCTCCTTGTGCCCCTTACCTGTGTTTCTGTCTGAAAATCCACATGGCTTGTAAAAAAAAAAAAAAAAAAAAAGGCCTGGACTGTTAATTGAGCAGTGTCTAGCTCATTAATAATCCTCTTGGAGCAAGTGTCATGCCAAAGGAGCATGGGGTCTGAATGAACCCTAGCTCTCTCATATACTAGTTTTGCAGTGACTTAACCTCTCTGAGCCTCAGTTGATCCATTTGTAAAATTGGGGTAGTACAAATTCACAATTTTATCTGAAACCCTTGGATCAGATGTGTTTAAGAATTAATAATTCCCCCCACCCCAAATACTGTGCAAATATCATGTATTTCTTAATACCCCAGTAGAATATGGGGCTGAACTCCCATCATAAAACACATGAATATTTCTGCAGGAAAATGCATGAATATTCACAGTAAGTGGGATAAATAAAGACTATAATTAGTCTCATGCTAGCTAAGGTCAGGTTTCTCTGCCAAGTGAGCTTGCTGCAAATCTATGAAAAAACATTTCGTTTTCAGAGTTTTGTGGATTTCAGAACTGCAGATAAAGGGATGTGAAATCATTATATTTGGGCCACTGCTAAGTCACAGAGCTTTTGTGCAAATTTGACAATTCATTTTCTGGGTGGGTACAGCTTTTGGGCCCATAACTTGGCAAGTGGGGTAAGAAAAAGGCATCCAGTCCTTCAGAGTAAATGACAAATGTCAACCCCATCTTGGGCCTACCTTTGTGCAGTGCACAGCCTGCACAACCAGACACAGTGGACCTGATCATACACATCTCAGGGTTGCTGGAAGAGTAAACAGTAATGAAACATGACCCCATCTCCCAAAGCCACAGCTTCTCCTCAGGCTCTCTCTTGTGCTTAGACAGGGGCTTCTCAAATGTGAAGCATGTGAATCACCTGGGGAGATTGCTAAAATGCAGGAAGGCTGGTGTGGGGCCTGAAACACTGGGTTTCTAGCAAGCTCCCAGGTAATTTCCATGTTGCTGGTCTACAAATCACACTTTGAGTAGTAAGGCTCTAGAACCACTCCAACTTCTCCTGGATGTTTTACCTGAACCTTAATTCAGCATGTCTCATAGTTAACTGAGAGCCTTCCCCAAAACCTGTTTCTGCTCCTAATTAACTGATCTCCAATAATGGCCCCACTATCCAGCTATGGTTGCTCAAACTCAATTCGTGGCAATCCTCCTTCCCTTCTTATTTCCCTCTTCCTCACCTACATTTCCATTCAGTTACTAAAAGACATAGGTTCTATCCCAAATTAATATTTCTCCAATGTAGGGCTTTCCAGTCTCAGCATTACTGACATTGTGAACTGAGCAAGTTTTTGTTGTGGGGATCTATCCATAGGAAGGCAAAATCATTCCTGGTTGGGAGCCACTGTTCCAAACCCTCAACTTTTCTCCATCTCTCTAGCTACTGACTTGCATCACTTCTTTCCCAAGGGGAATTTGGTGTTTTGTCTTCATGCATGTGTCAACTATCCCATAACTACCCGTTAACATTTCTATGTTGTCCACTTATGAATCTTAAGAATTCGCATATTCTTGGCATCTTGCACAGGGGCTGACATAGGCAGATGCTTAATATATGTTTGCACAGATGAAGGAATGAATGTATCTCTTGACAGCTGCAGGTCCCTGGGGCTGAGATGGAGGAGGGGAAGTTGGGGAAGCTCAGAGCTCTCAGCTTACAGAGTAAGGCCTAGGGCTGTGTGCAGGGTGCTACCACGCAGAGGGAACTCTGTAGAAGAGACATCCAAAGGTGCCCTAAGACACTCCCACCTGCCATGGAGTCTCTTTCTCTTACCCTATTTTTGTCTGCCTTTCTGTTCTGCTTGGAAATGTCCTTCATTTGGGCCAAATGACTCCAGTCCCACTGCTGCTTGCCCAAGTGCATTGCATGGCAGTGTTGCTGTGTGTACAGCTGCTTGAACACAACCTTTACCCTGAATGGCTGCCCTTGGAACTTGATTTGGGGCTATGTTGGAACCTTAGGCTGGCTTGTTCTGTTAGAGCATCAGAATACTTATGGCTTGTTCTTTCCATTCAGCAGTCTCACAGCTCCCTCTGAGACCCTGATTTGAATTTCACTTTGCCATTCATTGGCTTTTATTGGAAGTCCAAGCTTTCTAAACAGTTTGTCCAAATTTGATGTTCATCAGTCCAGTAGGTTTTCCAAGCTTTTGCCAACTGGGCTAAAGTTTTCATCTCTATCCATGTCTCTTTGTAGCACCATTGGCTTCCAGGTTTAGACTTCTGGCCTCCTCCACTCTTGGTCCACCAATAACGCCCAATTTTAGTGGGCTGGAGAGTCAACCAGACCTGGATCTGAATTCTGGGTAACTTGAGGCAAGTTATTTATTCTAATTTTCTGCATCTTTATGTGTATATTAGTCCATTCTCATGCTGCTAATAAAGACATACCCAAGACTGGGTAATTTATAAAGGAAAGAGGTTTGATGGACCCAGTTCTACATGGCTGGGGAGGCCTCACAATTATGGGCAAAGGGACATCTTACATGGTGGCAGGCAAGAGAGAATGAGAGCCATGTGAAAGGGGAAACTTCCTAAAAACCATCAGATCTCGTGAGACTTATTCACTAACATGAGAACGGTATGTGGGAAACTGCCCCCGTGATTCAGTGATCTCCCACCAGGTCCCTCCCACAACATGTGGGAATTATGGGAGCTACAATTCAAGATGATATTTGGGTGGGGACACAGCCAAACCATATCAATCTGTAAAAAGGGTCCCAGTATCTACCTTGTTTGTTGTTTGTGAGGATTAAATTGAAAGCATGTAACACACTGTGTGGCATATAATAAACTAATAGTTAATAAAAGTTAGCTACCTTTATGGTCAGCTTTCCCTATGAAAAGATAGAATTTGGAAAAGAGCACATTAAAAGCAAACATTTCCAAGGCACCCACAGTTGAGTTTGTGTTCACTGTGCAAAGAAGCTCAGCATAAAGGTATAATTTCTATAGTCAGAGTTCCTTCTTCCTTCATCTCTTCTTTAGGCATTTTTTTTCTCTATCCTTTTGCCAGTTTGGTTCCGGGCACAAAGTTGTTTCTGGCTTGATCTATCAGATAAAGCCCAAGGCTGGTCCTAGCCACAAAATAATCTTCTCTAGCTGCTGCTGGCTTGTCCAAACCAACGTGAAATCCAAAGCCCTTACTCTTCTCCCATAATGAGATGCTCTATTATTTTTAAAAACAAACTTGGAGCCGGGTGTGGTGGCTCATGCCTATAATGCCAGCACTTTGGGAGGCCAAGGCGGGAGGATCACGAGGTCAGGAGATCGAGACTATCCTGGCTAACATGGTGAAACCCCGTCTCTACTAAAAAAAAAAAAAAGAAAAATTAGCCAGGCATGGTGGCAGGCACCTGTAGTCCCAGCTACTCGGGAGGCTGAGGCAGGAGAATGGCGGGAACCTGAGAGGTGGAGCTTGCAGTGAGCCAAGATTGCGCCACTGCACTCCAGCCTGGGTGATAGAGTGAGACTCCATCTCAAAAAAACAAAACGAAACAAAAAAGAAAAACAAAACAAAACCATGGAAAAATAAAAAGCAGATTAATACAGAGACTGTTTTTCATTCCAGTCTCTTGTATTTCAAATTAATAGGGTTTTGTACAAAGGTGGAGCCTGTGTTTCCATGGTAGAGCATTTGGAAAGAGGAGTGTAAATTTCGGTTCCCATCTTGAATCTAGCTATGAGCTATTTCTTTGCTGCATCAGCTTTTACGTTTTTTTTTTTTAAATAATTTCTATTGTTGCATCTTAATCTCTGTCTAACGCCATCCCCTTAACTCCCTTCTCAAAGCAGTTTTTACCTGCGTGGTACCATCTAACTGGTCAATCTCTTAGGCATAAAGCAGCAGAAGCCACAGAGGAGGATTCAGGTAGATCATTAGTCAAACAGGAAAGGCTCAGAGGTCACGTAACTTACTGCTTCTCAAACTGTTTTCCTTAGAACCCTATGGCCCGTGATGGTTTACAGGGACTTTATGGGAAAAAGGCAGAGCTGGGCCTCAAACCATTCAATCACAGCATCTCTGCCTCATCTGTTTTACATATGAGTGTTCAGAATGCAAAAATTTTTAAGAGGCTCATTTTTAAAAACCGCATTGAAAACCACAGATATAGCTCAATTCTTTTGTTCCGCAGATGAGGAAATGTAAGTCCCCTCCCTGCATAGGAAGTAATTACCTGTAGGTTGCAGACAGCTCCTTGGTGGATGAACTGCAGCTAGGAAAGGGTTTTCAGTCGTGGCACAATCCAGATATTATTGTTTTCCCTATTTCAAAGAGGAAGTGACTACGGGAGTTTGTTTGGGAATGGTTCTCAGCCAGCAACGCATTTGGAACCAGCAGGCTGCCTCCACTCACAACCTCTGGCTGTTTTCTCCACCTGTGGGTTCTTACAATTTGGGGAAGAGGCGGGTGCTGGTGAAGATTGTGAAATAGGGAAAAGGTGGTTGTTTTTCTCATATCAGCCTTGCTAGAATGTTCCTTTTTCCTATTACACCAGACATATTCATCACCCCAGACCCAAGATGTCTGATAAACTTTATCTACAGTGAATGTAGCTAGCCCAGTGTTCAGCTTCTTGTAAGTCACCCCAGAACCCAGAGGCCATAGCCACTGGCCACATTGTGGTGTCCAGCTGTGGGGCACTCAGGACTGTGCTTCAGAAGGGATTTCCACAGAGTTCTGTCCACCAAGCCCTGAGGTTTCTCTCCCATCACTTCGTGCCTCAGATGTATTCTTGACCAGTGGTTCCTGGTCTTTTTGGATATCATGACTTTTTCAGAAAATGTTTAAGATGACATTGGGGGCTGACACTAAGTTACCAATATTTTATGTCCTAGTATCAATTAACATCTATTATTGTAAAAGAGGCTGGACGTGGTGGCTCACACCTGTAATCCCAGCACTTTGGGAGGCCGAGGCAGGCGGATCACAAGGTCAAGAGATCGAGACCATCCTGGCCAACATGGTGAAACCCTGTCTCTACTAAAAATACAAAAATTAGCTGGGTATGGTGGCGGGTGCCTGTAGTCCCAGCTACTTGGGAGGCTGAGGCAGGAGGATCGCTTGAACCTGGGAGGTGGAGGTTGCAGTGAGCCAAGATCATGCCACTGCACTCCAGCCTGATGACAGGACGACAGAGCGGGACTCCGTTTCAAAAAAAAAAAAAAAAAAAAAAACCCAAACAAACAAAAAAAAGGAAACAAAAAAAGATATTCTAATACCAAAAATGTAGGAAAGACGTAACTTGAGAAAAGGGAGCTCTTCCCGAGAAAGAGTACTTTACATCTTACACTACTGATTCTGCCTCATCCTATTTTTGTCCACTTGGGGGATCAATAATTACCTTACCCTGACCTGGCCCAGGCAATGTTCTGGGCCACAGGCTCCTCAGGTTCTGCAGCTTCTGCAGGTCAGACATAGGGCACCTGGGGCACCATCAGAAACACCTCCCGATTAGCTGGCAAGAAAGCATGTCAGTGTCACTCCAAGGGGAGCAAACAGGCTAGAGATGACCTCGTCTAGCTTTGCTTCCCACTGACATTTACAATGTTCCAAATGAGACAGAGACAGGCTATCGCAAAGTCACATCCATTCACTGATGAAAAAGGATGTATGTTTTCTATGAATCTAAGATGACTAAGCTCTGTGGTCTGGGCATTTCCCAACCAGATGGGACCATAGCAAGGACAGTGATGACACTAGCAATGTATTCTTGGCCAAATGTATTCTTAGCCAATGGTTCCTGGTCTTTTTGGATATCATGCCCATGGGTGGGCACCAGCTACCAGTGGGGAAAGCCAGCTGGTGATTAGAAACCATATCTAGCATGGTTGAAAACGGGATCTATTTTCTCACCCAATATTGTAATGTTAAAAATGTTTAGATGTTATGTTTAAAGAAATTGGTTAGCCGGGCATGGTGGCACACGCCTATAATCCTTGGGTATTTTGGAGGCTGTGCCGGGAGATCGCTTGCACCCAGGTCAAGGCTGCAGTGAGTTACGATCGTGCCACTGCACTCCAGCCTGGGTGACAGAGTGAGACCTTGTCTCTTAAAAGAAAATTAAATTAGAATACAATGAAAAACAGAAACAACATTGAGTATAATTTCTTCTTTGGAAAAATATACAGAAATCATTTTTACCAATAAAGCTAAAAGATGCAGCCAGGCACGGTGGCTCATGCCTGTAATCCCAGCACTTTGGGAGGCTGGGGCGGGTGGATAACAAGGTCGAGGGATCGAGACCATCCTGGCCAACATGGTGAAACCCCATCTTTACTAAAAATACAAAAATTAGCTGGGTGTGGTGGTGCACACCTGTAGTCCCAGCTACTCTGGGGCTGAGGGAGGAGAATCACTTGAACCCAGGAGGTGGAGGTTGCAGTGAGCCGAGATCTCACCACTGCACTCCCGCCTGGCAACAGAGTGTGACTCCGTTTCCAAAAAAAAAAAAAAAAAAAAGCTAAAAGATGCTCATCCATAGAGCCGAAATAAGCTATGTGGGGAATCAGAACAGGATTGGATTTGGAATTGAAAAACTGGGACTTGAAGTGCAGGCTTGCAACTTCCTAGCAGTGGCACCATGGATGGCCATTTAGAGAGGCATGTCATTCAGTGCCAAAAACATGGAGTTCTGAAGGCACATCAACCTGGGCTTGAATACTGGCTCTGCCACCAAAGCCATTTACTGACAGCCTTCATGCCTTTTCACACGAGTGGTGGAACTGTGTGATCACAGTGCACCTTCTAATGCATTAGTCTACAAAGACTTTATAGAAAAAATGGAAAGAAGAAAAGCTTCCATTCACCCGATGAACAGAAAGAATTTGGATCTATGGCGGTTTTTACCAGGGCTGAGTCTTCCAACGAAGCCTGCATCTCCATCCTTTGATACACATGAGCAGGGCCCCCCGCATGCTAAGGTCCACGGCCCACCCCACCCCTACAGTCTTTTGTTAATGAGCCATGAGCAAACCATACACAGAAAGCAGCTTCTTTTTTCTTCAATTTAATTGAAGTTACTTAGAAAAATAATCAGGCTTGAATGGCTTTTCCTGGAGGAAGGTTCATGAACATTTTCACGCTTTTGTTGGCAATGTGGAATTCAGCTTTCTTTAACAGTACAGCAAGATACAGGGAGCGTTTTCTACAACAGGCTCTCTACTGCATACAAATATGTGAAAAAAGAAAATCACACTCCACAAAGATGTGACATTACATGTCCATATGCCATACTGAGCATGCTCATAAGAAAGTAGTATGGGCAGCTCCTTCTGGACCTAACAAAGTGTAGCAGACTGAAATTTGCCTGTTATCAGCCAAGGGTTAAGCGGATTCTAGAAGGCCTTGTTGCCTGTAGGGTTCTAACTGGTTGTGATGGAAAAAGGTTGGAGGAAATGCTGGTGGTGGGAACTCGGGGGAGTGATGTGGTCAGTCCTGCTGACATAGAGGTGGGCAAGGAAGGGATTTGGTCACTGGGATTGCACAGAATGGCGCAGCTGAGATTGTGTGTGTGTGTGTGTGTGTGTGTGTGTGTGTGTGTAGGGGAGGACTGGCTAGGAAAGCAAGCAGAGTGCCTCTGCTTCTTCTGCCAACTCTATCTCAGCACTGATCCAGACCCCACCAGCCAAGCATTTGTGGGACCCGCACACTTTGCTCTGGAGCTTTCTAGTAGCCTGGATTAATCGACCCCTGTGCTTCATGCCTTTGCCACCAGGAGAACCAGTGCAACTGAAGTTTCCACTGCCTGCTGCTCTCCTGTGGCATCCACATCCTGAATAGGCAGGAGGGTGCAGCCCACCTGGTGCACAGGGAGGAGGAGGAACGTCCCCTCTGAGATACCACAGGTCAGCAGACCACCTCTTCCCAGACCAGCTGGGGAGGGCAGGGAGGCGGGGTCTGGAGGAGCTGCGGGAATCATCTAGAGCTTTCCAACCAAAGGGATAAAGTAAGCAGGAATGTCCTTGCAAATACTGCCCTGGCTGTACCTGGTCTTTAAAACACAGCAGCACCTTTGAGAAGTGGCTGGGAGATGGGACGCCTGCCTGTACTTTTCTCCAGCTAAGCATGCATAGAAAGCAGTTTCAAATATTCCTCTTTAAAAAACACAAACTTTCATTTTCCAGGCACACTTCACAAGTGGATTTCTTTAACCAAGGACACAGAATACTTTCTACATTCTGCAAAAACAGTTGAATCCATTTTTTTTAAAGTTTCAATGCCATTAGAAAAGAAAATGTGAACACAAAGCAAAACACGGGGAGAAAGAGTCCCTCATTCCAGAAACCTATTGATGTCATGTCCCCTGAAGGACAATCTTTCTCACTTAAGAGAGAGAAGCCAGATGAAAGGCCATCTTCACATGACAGTGAGCAGGCTTGCACAACTGACCAAAGACGGACACAGAAATGCAAAGCAACGTGAATTTCCATTGAAAACCCCCCAAAAAGCACACAGTGAACGATTCCAAACTATGAAACTGAAGAAGCACTCATCAAGAGATCATCTGTTCCCACTGAGCATCCTTTTGAGCCTGAGGAGTAGGGAGCCACCCTGGGCCCTATACCCCACTCACCCTCTCCTCTCTTCCTTCTGTCCACACCACCCAAGACTTCCTCCACTCCCTCTGGGAGGGATAGAATTGTAGTCCGTGGCAGTATCCAGGATTAGAACCATTGCTTCATTAAATAAAGTACCTCTGTTGCTATAAACCAGATGGAGACTGTGGTGCTATTTTGTATTTTTTTTTTAATGGAAGGGTGTTGGGGTGGCAGTTTTTATCCTTGAAGACCTCAGATATGCTAAGTCAACCTAAGCAAAGTATACTCGGTGGAACCCTAGCTCTGTGGGGTGATCTGCAAAATAGAGTATCCTGGTCATGTAAGTTCAGGAAATGCTACAGACTCAAGGATTATTTTTGGGGATTCACCATGCACAGCACACATTGAAGGCTGAAAAGTCCTTGCAGAAAGGAAACTGACTTAACTTTGTTTCTTAAGGATATTTGACCACAAAACCCTTAGTCTGCATCACACCAACCTGATGCCTCCTGGAACCTGTGTTCTGTAGAATGCGTATTAGAAAATGTTGGACAACCTGTTTCATTATCAGAAGTCCCATTTCTGAGGACAGTGTTCTCTGCCTGGAAATAAGGTCCAGATTCTCAATTCCAGGGACAGCCAAGGTCTGTCACTCTACCCAGTAAAACACATTGCGTAAATCTCCATCCATCAAGGGTATAGTTGCTGCGCCCTTCACAAAGGGGAGAGAGCTCGGAAGAAGGTACACAACGTTTTATAAATAGCTTCAGCTACCTTCTCCGGCCCACATCTCACTCACGTTAAATAAAATAATTTCCCCGGTGAGATGTTGCAGCTGCTGCCCACTGAGCTTGCTGTGAGCTTTACAATACAATCTTAATAGTTTCTGTGAATAAATTATTCAATTTTTGTTTGTTTAGAATATCCTCACCCCTTCACTATATACGGCATCAAAAACAAAACAAAAGGCAAAACTTACCCACACCCCATCCCACCCTCCCCTATTATTAAAACTATTATTATTATTATATACAGTAGCTGCTACCAACTCATTCACTAGCTGTAAGAGGGATGTGGCTCAAACTTCAACTGAGAAGCATCAGCAATGGCTGGAAATGAGAAGCATGTTTAGATGTTAATTAGCAAGGAACAGGAAATGAAAAGTTTCCAGGCTTCCAGAGGAAATGGGGCATGGATTATGGAAGGCTGTCCTTGCTGCTCATGCATGGCAGTTACCAAGATGCTGATAGTCTTTCAGCCTCTGGAGGACGTGAGAGGGTGTGCATGTGTGTATGTGTACAAATAGTCCACCTCTGACCTTCATGAGGGGTAAAAACCATTGCAAATCCCCAAGTGTACGAGTCTCACCTTGGCATTTCACACTTGTACGTGGCAAGCAGTAGAAGACAACACTTCTACATGGGGATGTGGTGCTAGGCTGAATGGAGATGACAGTAGGAGGCACTTGAGGAGTGTTCCCCTTTCCTCACCCAAGGCAGACATTGCTAATCAACCACAGCACTCTTCCACACTGTGCCTGGAGAATCCATTCTGGGGCTTAAAGGCAGACATTACCCATCAGTTGGAGCAGGCACATGATAGGACACATTTTTTTAGCATCTTTTCTGTTGGTCAGTGAGCTTGGGATCACTCACGAATATAAAGTGGCCTGCTCCGAATGTGAGGTTTTCAAATATGGGCCATAGAAAAATGTAAATTTGTAGGGGTCATGGACCTTCTGCTGTTGCTCATGAATAGTCCAAACCTCATGTCAAGTCCATGAATAATATCAGGGGTTTGCTAATTGTCGAGCTGGATGCTCTATGTCACATAAAGCTTTTTGAGGGCCAAGACTATTGGGTTTGTTCAACGCTCTATCTTCAGGGCCTAGTATATAGTAGATGCTCAATAAATATTTGTCGAATATAAAGCAATAGCCACTTCACCTTCACTGCAACTGGCACCGCCAGTTTAAAATTCCTGTTAAAAAAGCCTATTCTATCAGATTGCTAATTCTGGTGAAAAATTGTTACAACCAACTTTCTCCTTGGGTTAAAAAAAAATCACATTTCTTTAGTGCAAGGGACTTTCAGGTCGATTGGAATTGGTTTGGAATGAGTCCCTTGCAAAGATGACTCTAAGTGCAATAGCAACCTACTTATTTCTAGCAGAAATTCAAGAATGGTGGCATCCATACACATGACAATGGCTGTTATCACATGACTCCATGAGAGGTTAGTAAGGAGAACATTCATGCCCCCAAATGAGCTGTAGCAAGCAAAGCAGGAATCATAGATTTCTTCTGGAAAGATGTTAGAATTTTGCTGCCACAAAAAGAAATAATGAGACCATGTTTAAATAACTATAAATAATATTAATTAGAATTTATGGAATGCACAATTCATGGAATTCACCAGAACACAAGAAACCTTTGAGACAGTGTTGCAGTATTCACTTCTACAGACAAGGACGACCCATCCTATTTCCCCTGCAAAGACAGCTGTCCTTCCCTACGAAGGATTTTAAATAATTCTCACTATGCTGCTCGCAGCATCATCCCCAAAGAAATATTAATTTACAAAATAACCCAATATCCATATAATTCTTTTGACAAATAAAAATCTTAAATTAAAAAGCATGATTCTCTCCCTCTCCCCACCCCCTTTATTCCAATTTCAGGTAGCTTGGCACTGAGTAATTGAACATTAAAAAATCGAGTTTGTAGACTTCGTACAGCTGCGTTTGGTGCTCTGAGCTGATGTTCTGGAAGAATTCTGTGGTCATTTCATCAGTAGTTCTCGTAGACTTTGCATAGGTGGGGAACTTCAGGTAGCTGCCCACTCCTGCCAGCTGCAGGACGTAATTAGAATCCTCTTCCAGTGTCTCGTACTTGCCCACGAGGTCATAGTGGATGTGGCAGGGATGGCAGAGTGAGTAGACGGTTTGCCAGTGTTCGTTGAAAGGCTCCTCCCGCTGGGTGTGTGGGTCGATGAGATAGGCCACAAACTCCTCGAATTTGACATCGTCCCCTTTGCGCAGGGCCTCCTGGGTGGCGTTCTTCCGCTGGCGTTTGATGATCTTGGTGCCGTACCGCTTGTGGAAGGAGATGTTGTACTTCTGGGTGAACTTGTTGCGGTAGGCGGACACTAGCCTCTCGAAGGGCTCCCGGACAAACAGGAACTTCATGTAGCTTTTCAAGCGGTGGTTGATTTCTGGGATGCTGTACTGGTTCAGGGTCTTCAGGTTGGCGGAGACGTGTGCCTCGTTGGCCGGGATCTCCATGGGGTCGCTGTACTTCCCCCGCCCGGTCAGGACCATCATGAGCCGCTTCCAGTTGGTGCAGGCCACCTTGGGCACGTAGCAGTAGATGAGCTCGTGGTCCTCATCCACCACCAAGTGCTTCAGGTCGTTGGGGGTCAGCACCCTCCGCTTACGGCTTGTGGCGCTGTTGGCTCGGCACGTGTCTGTCACCTGGTCCCGCCGCATCTGGTGCAGGACAGCAGTGTTTGAGAGCTCCAGCTGCAGAGGAGACACAAGACGAATAAGAACTCAGTACTTGCCTGAAACATTTCCACTTGGCTACAAGTAGATCATAAATCCACCCGTTCAAACACATATCTAAGCTGGGTGCAGTGGCTCATGCCTTTAATCCCAGCACTCTGGGAAGCTGAGGCAGGAGGATCGCTTGAGGCCACAAGTTCAAGACCAGCCTTGGCAACATAGTGAGACCTCATCTCTAAAAAAACTAAAAAATTAGGAAGGCATGGTGGCGCACACCTGACATCCCAGCTACTTGGGAGGCTGAAGCAGGAGAATCACTTAAGCCCCAGAGTTCAAGGTTACCTTGAGGTATGACTGTGCCACTGTGCTCTAGCTTGGGTGACAGAGCAAGACCCTGTCTCTAAACACACACACACACACACACACACACACACCCCACATGGATCCAGACCTCATGATGTATAAAGTGCTCTGCTCAGCACTGCAAAGAGACATAACCTAAATCACTCATAGTCTAGGAGGTGCCAGGGCAGAGAGCTGTCAGCCTCAGTAGAGGGCAAAGGGAAATGCTTGGGAAGATGTGTGTGTTCCTCTGAATTCTAAGAGCAAAAGTTTCTCCCCAAAGGCCATTCACTCCCAGTCCAAACCAGTACTCACAGTCTACCCAGAACAGGAAACAGGAGGGCACTCTGCCTGCTCTGCCACCACCTGCGTCTCCAGCACCCAGAGGCTCAGAGACCTTCACGGAGTGGTGGCACCCTACTGTCGGATTCCTGCCTTACCTCCACCACCACTCATGAAAGTTCAGTATGGTCCTTCTTTTATATAAATGGAATAATATTAATTGTGATTAAAGTTACAGAGAAACTGGGGGCACAGGGCTATGGAATAGTTGCTCTGGAGCTACAGATGAGGTGGTGTCTTGGTTGCCTCCTTGCCCCAGGAACCAAGCCCCCATTCATACACTGGCCTTTTGGGGTTCTCCATAGCCCAATGCCAACCTACTTTTCCAGCCTGATTCCTACTCCTCACCCTTTCATAACCGGAGGGGGGGGTCCCGAGAAACCAATGATTCACTCTTTCCTCTTTGCCGCAAGCGTTCCTTAGGCTGGGCCCATCTGGGATTCTCCCCTCTCAATCTCTGCTGGTATAAACTTGACAATTCTTTTCTTTTCTTTTTTTTTCCAGAGTCTTACTCTGTTGCCCAGGCTGGAATGCAGTGGCGCGATCTCAGCTCACTGCAACCTCCGCCTCCAGAGTTCAAGCAATTCTCCTGCCTCAGCCCCCCGAGTAGCTGGGATTACAGGCACGCATCACCATGCCCTGCTGATTTTTGTATTTTTAGTAGAGACGGGGTTTCACTACGTTGGTCAGGCTGGTCTCAAACTCCTGACCTCAGGTGATTGGCCAGCCTCAGTCTCCCAAAGTGCTGAGACTGCAGGGGTGAGCCACTGTGCCTGGCCCCAAACTTGACAATTCTTCATGGCCCCACACACTCCCCTGCCACACAAGTGGAATAACCATTCCCTCCACTGAACACCCACAACACTGAGTGTGCTTCATAGCACAACCCTCCTGTCTAGTTCATTCTTGGTTTTCTCAACTCCTGTGGCCACTCACTTCACAGGGACTCGGAGCCCCAGAGTCACCGCCTCCTCCAGGCCAGACTGTGGGTGGCTTTGAGTCCTGAGAATGCAGCTGTATCCGTGAAATCCTCCAGTCACCTGGACAGCCAAGTCAGTAGAGCCTAGGACTTGAGTGCAACCCAAGTATCTGCCCCTGCTCCTCCAACTTTGAACCTCAATCTGCACAATTTTTACTAAAAGGTGCACAGGGCCATTGGGATGGGCCTAAAGTAGGGCCACTGATGAGTTTGCTGGGGAACTGAGGGGCATCATGGTAGCCACCAGGGAGAAGCCATTGCACCCTGCATTAAGCTCCATGTCCATCTCCTCTCATGGTCCCCAGGACAAAGGATGGTGATGGTCACCATGACAACAGCAGACAGTATGACTAAGGAGCTACTCTGTAGGAGGCACCTTCACAGGTGATTTAAATACATTATGTTTAATCTTCCCAGCAACACGCTGAACTATAACATGCCATCGCCACTAAAAATTTTTATACCCAAGGGAGGAAGCAAACCAAGACAGAGTACCAACACTTTGCAAGGTCTATGTGTGAAGAGTATGGTGATTCTCTCACTGCTTTAGCCTCACAAATAACTGGTGGAAATCTGGAAAGAGTTGCTAGTATCCCCCGATGTGCATTCCCCTTTGCAGTCTGACACTGACACTCCTCCCATCAAGAAGCAGAGACTCTATTTCTCCAGTTCTTTGAATGGGGGCTGGCTGTGACTTGCTCTGATGAGTAGAATGAGGTAGAAGCAACGATGAACACGTTCTGAAGCCTATTAGGAAGCCCTGCAGTTCCTAGCCTTCACGCTGTTGGAACGCTGCCCTGAGACAGTCATGCTATGGAAAGACCTGTCCAGCCTCCTGGAGGATGAAGACTGGGGCACTGCAGACCAGCACCAACTGCCAGCCATCCACGGACCACAGTGATGTGAATGATCCCAGGTGAGACCAGCAGACCTGCCCGATTACCTACCCACAGAGCTGTGGCAGGTGACATATCAGTGCTGTGTTAAGCCACTAAGTTTTGGGGTGATTTGTTGCCCAGCAATAAATAACTGCAACAGGAGAGCTGAAAAACAGGAGAGCTGAGGGTCCTAGCCGGGATACGATGCTGAGACCCTCAGCCAGATTCCAGAGAAGCAAGGGCACCATATATATATTTTCGGGTTCCACTTGGTAAAACCAGCTTGGCCTGGAGTTTCCCAGCTTGGAAATAACTGGCAAATTACCGACCTCTGGTTATTCACAGACCAAATGCCACCACTCAACAAATTTATCCCCACTATAAAGGGCAGAGCAATAATCTATATGTGCAAAGAGGCCTGGGCTACTGAACCACGGATCCAGTTTGCATGTTATTATGACCCAAATATGGGGCCTGGGCCTTTCTTGGCCTTTGTTTCCTTGCCTATGCAAAGGAGATCCTCACTCCGATGCCTTGTTAGGCTGGTGTGAGGACTATAAGGTGTGTACTCCGTGGCCTGAACACAGTAGATACGCAATCAGTATTATTTCTTCCTTTCCTCCCTCTCTAGGCTGCCCCTGCCTTGCCTGTAGAAAGAGGCAGTTAGATTAGCTGACTGCCGGGGTCTTGGCCACCTTTAATGTTGGGTAGAGCCCAGTTTCTTCCAGGGTAGCCAACTGGTGGCCATGTATTCTTTTCTGGGTCCCACAGAGAATCTTCCAGAATATTCTTCCTTAGTGCCTGGGTATTGTTTTGTCTTGCTGAGATTTTGCCACAAAGGCTCAATGCCCAGTGGTCATGGGTCCCCATCAATCCAAATCTCCAGTGATGCTATTTTTTAGTTCTCCAAGTATAAGTGACACTAGGCATATGCCAAGAAATATCAAAAGCAAGCTGCAGAATTTTCTAATTTTCCCTCCTGCACAGTATATATCAGGATGATGATGACACCTAACACTGACTGGGTGAGTGCTCGTTGTGAGCCAGGTAATGCTCTTCATGCTTCACACTGACTAACTTCTTTAATGCAATCAGTAATAACGGAGATTATTAGGATCTCCATTTTACAGCTGAGGATCCGTCAGACGCACCAACACATGAATGAGAACGTGGAAAACGATTTGTGGAGCACTCCTTGTTCACTACCTTGAGGAGATTCTCCCAACATTTGTAAAGCTGTGGTGGTCTCGGCATTGCCTTCTGTCAACGAGGAAACAGGCTGAGACAGGCAAAGTGACTGCCCAAGGTGCCTCCTTCTAAGAGAAGCAGAACTGTGACTTGAGCCAGAGTGTGTGACTCAGATCTATGCTTGTCACACCATTCTGGCATGAAGTGTCTGCCTTATCAAATAGAGGTACCACAGAGCAGGAACTTTGTCTTTCCATAGCGATATCCCCGGTGCTTGCAAAAGTGCCAGCCCCATAGGAGATGCTCCATAAGTGTTGGTTGAGTGAATGAATGAATGAATGGCTTAATAATCTCTGTAGGGATACTTGATCTGTAAGCAGGAAGACCCCTCTAGTTAAAGAAATTTCTAGGCCAGGCGTGGTGGCTCAGGCCTGTAATCCCAGCACTTTGGGAGGCAGCAGCGGGCTAATTACTTGAGGTCAGGAGTGTGAGACCACCCTGGCCAACATGGCGAAACCCCATTTGTACTAAAAATACAAAAAATTAGCTGGGCGTGGTGGCGGGTGCCTGTGATCCCAGCTACTCGGGAGGCTGAGGCAGGAGAATTGCTAGAACTCAGGAGGCGGAGGTTGCAATGAGCCGCGATCGCGGCACTGCACTCCAGCCTGGGCGACAGAGTGAGACTCTGTCTCAAAAATACATAAATAAATAAATAAATAAATAAATAAATAAGTAAATAAATTTCCCAATTGTTTGTTGATTATCATAAAGTTCTTTCATAGAGCTGTACTGTGACAAATAATGTCCCTCCCAAATTCATGTCCACCCAGAACCTCAGAATGTGATTTGATATGGAAATAGGGTTTTTGCAGGTGTAATTAGTTAAGATGAGATGATACTGGATTAGGGTGGGCCCTGACCCAATGGGTGGTGTCCTTATAAGAAGAGAAAGCAGAGACACAGAGACACGCAGGGAGAATGCCACGTGAGGACAGAGTCGGAGACTGCAATGATGTGTCTCCAGGCCAAAAAATGCCAAGGACTGCCGGCCACCACCAGCAGCTGGGAAGAGGCAAGGAAGGATCCATTCCTCTGGAGCCTTCAGAGAGAGCATGCCCTGCCAACAGCTTGATTTCAGACTTCTGGCTTCCAGGACTGTGAGAGAATACATTTCCTTAGTTTTAAGCCACTCAGTTTGTGGTAATTTGTTATGATGGCCTCAGGAACCTAAAAGAGGAGGTCAATCATTCAAGTGATAACTTTGAGCAAGTTGGTACTAAACTATAAGTTTAAAGAGAAGATAACATCATATAAGAGGCTATTTTATATAGAAGAATAAGGACAGTGTATTAGGGTACTTGTAAAGTACAGTGAAGATAAGATTTGAAATAAGAAGGTCTGGGCTTGATCCTGGGCAAGAGCCTTACCCTTCTGAGTCTCAGTTCCTCTATTTGCAAAATGGGGATAGTACCACCTACCCCGCAGGGGTGGTGACTACAGCAAATAAGGTACATTTCAGCATTCAGTAAATAAGATCAACTCTAGTACAGGATTTGGACAAGGTATGGCACAAAACAGGTAGTTAATACGTAGGCATTCTTTTATCAAAGAAGAAAAAAGAAATCTGAAAAAGAACGCCTGGATAGGAATCTCAAAGACAAATTTCACCAGCTCTGTAATTTTGTTGCAGGTCAGCCCTAGGTCACTGGATTCAATTAATAATTATTTTGAATAGGAAAACTCTGACCTTTGCAATTCATGACTTCTTAGCCGATGTATTCATCACCCTAAGAGAAGCATTCATGGGCCTCTTGGGCTATTGAACAATGCCATTAAACAAAACCAAACCTGTGTTTAAAGGAAATGAAAGGACTAGGAAGGAAACAGGGCCCATCAATTCTGCCATTTGAATCACTAAGGACAATTCTGAAGGCAATAAGTTACTAAGATGAGCAGAGAAATAAGGGGATCTCCCCCTCATCACCCTCCCAACCTCTTTTGAGCTGGAGACAATTTTCTGGCCACCTGAATCCCCAGGGAGGTAGCATGCCAGTTAATACTGCATTCAGGACCACAAAGGCAGGAAAAATGGAAATGACACCAGCATATCATTTTACATTCAGTTGCAGAGGCGGAAAATAACTCAGTGGGGCTTTTAAACCTGGTATTTGAGGTTTCTTTCCCCTCCATTTCCTTCTTCTCCACAGCAGTTTAAGGGGCAAATGGTGCACCTGCCACAACAAGGCACACACAGTTTCCCCTCAGGAAGACTCTGGGGTAGGGGTCAAGAGAATGCTTCTCAAATCCAAGAGAGAAATTCACCTGGGCCTCTACTATTAATGTTTTTAAAAATACATTTTAATTGGTTTTTATAATTTTTTAATTTTAAAATAATTTCAGGTGACAGTAAGCACCTTGTCTCAAAAAATAAAAATATTTTCAGACTAGTGTTGATTTAAATTATTAAAAATAAAATGGTACTAAAATGTGCACAAGCCAGGCACGGTGGCTCACATCTGTAATCCCAACATTTAGGGAGGCTGAGGCGAGTGGATCACCTGAGGTCAGGAGTTCGAGACCAGCCTGGCCAACATGGTGAAACCCTGTCTCTACTAAAAATGCAAAAATTAGCCGGGCATGGTGGCAGACACCTGTACTCCCAGCTACTGGGGAGGCTGAGGCAGGGGAAAATCACTTGAACCCGGGAGGCAGAGGTTGCAGTGAGCCAAGATTGCACCATTGCACTCCGGCCTGGGTGACAGAGCGAGACTCAGTCTCAACAAAAAAAAAAAAAAAAAAAAAAAAAAAAGTGCAGAAATATAAAACCAGGTACACAACTACAAGTTCAAAACAAACATAAACATTCAAATGCACAACATTAACATGAGGGGTGATGTTTTACTGGAACTAAAGCCCTGCCTGAAACCACGCAGATGCTTGCTCACTGCTGTGGGTCAGGGTGTTTGGAGTAGAGCTTCCCTTTCTGTGCTGCATGAGGACTCGGTTTCCTTACCACTTCCTCATTCCTAGTTACTGTGAAACTCGGCACGCTGGAATCTCATTTGACCTTTACTTGGTAAAAGCTCATCATGTATATATTTTCCTTTTCTGCTCATTTCCAATTAGCCCAAGACAATAAAAATGGAGCTACACGGAACCACCAAGAACATCAATGAACACAGGCACCACGACTTCATATGGCAGAACTAGGTTATCCGGGGCAGACCTGATGATCCAGAAATGGATAATCATTTTTCAAAAGATTATCACCAAAATAAAAACACTCAATCAATAAAGTTCTTCTATGGAACTCTAGACTCCTGGGGGTTCTATCTGTGGACTTCTTGAACCTTGGTTTATGAAACCTGGAGTAAGGACAGCCCTGGACAGGCCAGACGGAAGAGAGGAATTCTTTGCCACCATGTCAAAATGGGGCAGGAGAGATTTCTGATGACAGCCTGGCTCCACCAGGGCTCAGAAGAGCTTTTGTAACTGTCATAACCCCTCAGCAACTAACACGTTCCCTGAGCACAGTTCCGGAACTACTGATGGGACCAACAGCTCTGGGGACATCAGGAAGACAAGAGAGTGAAGAAGACTCACTCATTAATGAAGAAAAACCCGTTCCCTCATAGTAAAAGAGAATGCCCAAATTTTCCAACCAAGTTTGATCAATTTTACAAAGAAAGGACTTGTTGATCTGACAATTATCTGAGCTGTGAGATCAATGTCTTTCTTCTTACATTCCCTTTCTCTCCCCTCTTCTTGTTTGCTTTCTCAAAAGGTTTTGAAGAGACCATAACAAAGGACATATGTGCAGTATGAAATAAAAATAGAAAAAAAATATTCTATGAGGGCTGGGATTTAGAATCTCAATTGGCTGTGGGCTTCCTAGCAGCAAGGACAAAAGGGGAAATATGATTAAATCTTCTTGCTCTAGTTATCAGAAAAGAGAAACATTCCAGTTGTTTGGAGAGGAACATGCACAAGATTTCAAAGGACTCGGAAAATTCAGTGCAGGAGGGAGATTCTTGGATTCAGTTTGCCTGTGTTGGGGTATTTGGAGGGTTGCTTTCTTCAGCTGACTGAATAATGCCACGATTCACTTCCACCTAAGGTCAACAGAAAGCTTCCTCATGTATGGAACACTTTCACACATACCACATCCCATTTAAGGAACCCGTTGGGACTCTTCCAGAGGCTGCAGAGCCTACTAAAAGAAAGTTTATATTTAGCCGACCAGTCCCTACTCCAACCATGCGTCATTCTCTCCTGGGCTGGCTACCCCTGAGTACTAATCATACTTCATGCCAGTGGTTCTCAAACTTGAGCCTACATGAACGTTATTACCTGGAGGGCTTGTGAGAACACAGCTTGCTGGGTTCTCCTCCCAGAATTTCTGACTCAGCAGGTCTGACAGGCCTGAGAACCTGCATTTCTAGCAAGCCCCCAAAGTGTTTGGGCCGCCATAATAAATACCACAGACCAGGTGGCTTAAACGACAGAGATTTATTTTTTCACAGTTCTGGAGGCTGGGATTTAAAGACTAAGGTGCCGGGTGGGGCTGGTGTTCCCTGAGGCTTCTCTCTTTGGCCTGTAGATGTGCCTTGCTTGCTGCCTTCTCACACGGCCATCTCTCCCCCGACTCCACTCCCCAGGTGTCTCTTCCTCTTAATCTCCCCCCTCCCCCCTCCAGCCCCCACCGGGCATGCGCTCCAGGTGTCTCTGCCTCTAATAAGGACACCAGTCAGACTGGATCAGGGCCCCACTCAAAAGTCCTCATTTTCCCTCAATCCCCCATTTAACAGTCCTTTCTCCAAATACAGTCACCTCTGGAAGTCCTGGGTGTTGAGAATTCAACGTATGAATTTGGGAGGGACACAATTCGACCCCTATAACACCAGGAGATGCTGATGCCGCTGGACTAGGAACCAAACTTTGAGAACCACAGCTTTATACTATTTGGAAATGACTGTAATCTAATGTCTTTCACCAATTCACAGCTATACTTAATTACAAAACACAGAACCCAGGTTCGCCATCTGCTGCCGACAGACTCCTAGATCCACCCCCAGCCCCAGCCTCCAACTCCCTTCATCTCGCTTTGATCTCTCAAAAGTATAAATTAGGTCAGAGGAGGGCTGATTCTAGGAAACCGTGAACATGGCTCCGGGCTCTGGGCTGTGTCCTGCATTCTCGTTTAGATGTCTATTTTTAATTTGGACATTTATAAAAGGCAACCATAATTAGTTTAAGTAACAAATTTAGGGACTGTTTGAAAAAGTCTTTAAAATTTTACTACGTTTCATCTTAAAAGGAAGAGCTGGTTTCCCTTAAATTAAAACATTACTGCAGCGTTTGCAATTTCCCTCAGACACAAGAACCCAAACAGGAGGAAGAGAGGTCGCCCCCTTTGACTGTCTCGGGGTGGGCAGAGTCGGGGGACATGCAGGCAAATAGACCCAGAGAAACAGGTACATTTGGAAGCATTAAGTGACTGAGGGTTTTCTGAATCTGCCTTTAACAACTGTTAGCTTGGGTCTAGCCTCAGTTTCTCCACTTAAAAATCTGAATGCAAAACCCCTCTCAGCATGTCAGTTGTGCTGCCATCATCTTTCTGTTTCAGAATTGGGGGAGGGGGAGGAGCACCTGATGAGCTGATTTGCTCTGATTATATGACGTTTCTTTCTGGCAGAGGAATTACTAAACTCTCATGAAAAGGGCTAGTCATGAGGAATCACCGAAGACACCACATCCACAGCAAAAAAAGGGTCACATATTTATACTAGCTACCATATATTGAGCACTTACTATGTACCAGCTACTGTTGATCTTCACACTCTATGAGGTAGGTATCATTAGTATTTTCAACTTGTGGATAAGGAAACAGGCACAGGGAGAATAATTAACTTGCTCAAGCTCAGGGAGCTAGGAACCGGGTCTGGGGTTCGAGTCCAGGCAGACTGTGGTCTGAGACCCTGCATGGTGCAGCCTCCTGGGGTCTGGAGACCCACCCGGGAGTTATCGGCTCCCGGGCAGCCGCTGGAGGCGTGGGTCTCAACCCTAGCAGCTCACTGGGATCATAGGAGAGCTTTAAACACTGAGGACTGAGTCCCACCCCAGAGATCTGTTATATTTAATTGCTCCTGGAAATCTGAGGCTGCCCGGGTGGGACTCCACTATTTCAGGGGCTCCAATGCCAGGAGCTATAAGCTAAAGCAAAGAACTGGACTGGAGTGGTGACCGGCATATGATCTTGGGCCAGTTTCACCTTCCTGGTCCTCAGGTTTAAGATAGGGGACTTTTCATTCAGTAGAGCCAGGGGTCAAAGGTCTAGAAGGTCACAGGTCTCAGACATCTTTGGGTGCATTTTAGGGGAAGCACTAAGAATTACATAATGCTCAAAACCTCTTAGGTTTAGAAAAGAAAGGAGAAAAATATTGGGCCTTTAAAGAAACGATCTGGTCTGGACCTGGTACAAAACGTAAAGGGTTTAGGAAAGAAGTGGCTTCATGTTAACTGACATTAACGTTGTCAGGGAAATTGGTTTCTCTGGATTGTAACTTGTCACTAGGGAAGCACCTGTTTGACTGCAAGGAACAACAACTGAATCTCTGCAGAAGCTTTGCCTTCCTTTCCAAGGCAAAAGGAAGAAGGAAAATGCACCGTGGCTGGAAAGCATTTTGAGCCCTGAAGGTGAGGTAGGAGGCTCTGGGTGATAGTGATGGAGGGCCTGGTGTTGGCCTCTGGATCAGCCCCCAAGCCAGCCTCAGCTGACACTGGCACAGGTGGGTGATAGTTCTGAGCTCCATTTTAACCTTGGGATCTTTATAGGCAGAAAAAAATGAGCAGAAAGGAAAGCCCAGGATTTGCTGAGCAATGAGAAAGGGTTGTTTCACCCTAGTGTAGTTAAAGTACTTCTTTTGTAGGCAGGGTTTATATTGGGTGACCTGGGTTAGAGTCACAAACTCAAAGGCTCTCCAGAACCATCAGGAAATAGAAATGAATGGCCTCGGCACCTTGAATGGGAATGAACCCAGTCAGCGTCCACTGGGCCACTGAAGGTGGCTGATGCCACATAGATCTCACTGATACCGTCATTAGGGAATTGAGGACCTGGTCTTTCGAGATGTTTCAATTTCTCAAGAGAAGTCAGAATTCAAACCCAGAGCCAACATCATACTAAACGGGCAAAAGCTGGAAGCATTCCCCTTGAAAACCAGCACAAGACAAGGATGACCTCTCTCACCACTCCTATTAAACATAGTATTGGAATTTCTGGCCAGGGTGATCAGGCAAGAGAAGGAGATAAAGGACATTTGAGTAGGAAGAAAGGAAGTCAAACTACCCCTGTTTGCAGATGAGATGATCCTACATCTAGAAAACCCTGTTGTCTGAGCCCAAAAGCTTCTTAAGCTGATAAACAACTTCAGCAAAGTCTCAGGATACAAAATCAGTGTACAAAAATCACTAGCACTCTCATACACCAACAATAGTCAAGTCAAGAGCCAAATCAGGAATGAACTCCCATTCACAATGGCCACAAAAAGAATAAAATACCTAGGGATACAGCTAACCAGGGAGGTGAAAGATCTCTATGATGAGAACTATAAGCCACTGCACAAAAAAATCAGAGATGACACAAACAAATGGAAAAATATTCCATGCTCATGGATAGGAAGAATCAATATCATTAAAATGGCCCTACTGCCTAAAGCAATTTATATATTCAATGCTATTCCTATTAAACTACCACTGACATTTTTCACAGTACTAGACAAAAGTATTCTATAATTCATATGGAACCAAAAAAGAGCCCGAATAGCCAAGGGAATCCTAAGCAAAAAGAACAAAGCTGGAGGCATCAGCTACCCTACTTGCTATTCTACAGGGCTATAGTAACCGAAACGGCATGGTACTGGAACAAAAACAGACACATAGACCAATGGAACAGAATAGAGAACCCAGAAATAGGACCACACACCTACAACTATCTGATCTTCAGCAAACCTGACAAAAACAAACAATGAGGAAAGGATTCCCTATTCAATAAATGGTGCTAGGGGCCGGGCGTGGTGGCTTATGCCTGTAATCCCAGCACTTTGGGAGGCTGAGGCAGGCAGATCACTTGAGGTCAGGAGTTCGAGAACAGCCTGGCCAACACGGCGAAACCCGGTCTTTACTAAAAATACAAAAATTACCCAGGCATGATGGTGGGCACCTGTAATCCTAGCTACTTGGGAGGCTGAGGCAGGAGAATTGCTTGAACCTGGGAGGCGGAGGTTGCAGTGAGCCGAGATCATGCCATTGCACTCCAGCCTGGGCAAGAGAGCAAGACTCTGTCTCAAAAAATAAATAAATAAATAAATAAATAAATAAATAAATAAATAAATGATGCTGGGATAACTGGCTGTCCCTATGCAGAAGATTAAAACTGAATCCCTTCCTTACACCACAGACATAAATTAACTCAAGATGGATTAAAGACTTGTATGTGAAACCCAAAACTATAAAAACCCTAGAAGACAACCTAGGCGATCCCACTCAGGACATACACACGGGAAAAGACTTCATGATGAAGATACCGAAAGCAATTGCAACAAAAGCAAAAACTGACAAGTGGGATCTAATGTAACTAAAGGGCTTCTGCACAGCAAAAGAAACTATCAACAGAGTAAACAGACAACCAATAACAGAACGGGAGGAAATTTTTACGAACTATGCATCCGACAAAGGTCTAATATCCAGCATCTATAAGGAACTTAAACAAATTTACAAGAAAAAAACAACCCCATAAAAAAGTGGGCAGAGGATGTGAACAGACAGTTTTCAAAAGAAGACATACATGAGGCCAACAATCATACAAAAAAAAGTTCCGCATCACTGATCATTAGAGAAATGCAAATCAAACCCACAATGAGATACCATCTCACACCAGTCAGAATGGCTATTACTAAAAAGTCAAAATAACAGATGCTGGCAAGGTTGCGGAGAAAAAGGAACACTTATACACTGTTGGTGGGAGTGTAAATTAGTTCAACCATTGTGGAAGACAGTGTGTCAATTCCTCAAAGACCTAAAGACAGAAATACCATTTGACTCAGCAATCCCATTACTGGGTATATACCCAAAGGAATATAAATCATTCTATTATAAAGACACATGCACACATGTGTTCACTGCAGCACTGTTTACAATAGCAAAGACATGGAATCAACCTAAATGCCCAATAATAGTCTGGATAAAGAAAATGTGGTACATATATACCATGGAGTACTATGCAGCCATAAAAAAAGAGAGATCATGTCCTCTGCTGGGACATGGATGGAGCTGGAGGCCATAATCCTTAGCAAACGAATGCAGAACAGAAAACCAAATGCCACATGTTCTCACTTATAAGTGGGAGCTAAATGATGAGAACACATGGACACAGAGGGGAACACTCAGTGGGGCCTTTTGGAGGGTGGAAGGTGGGAGGAGGGAGAAGATCAGGAAAAACAACTAATGGGTACTGGGTTTAATACTTGGGTGATGAAAGAATCTGTACAACAGACCCCCATGACCCAAGTTCACCTATGTAACAAACCTGCATATGTGCCCCTGAACTTAAAAGTTAGAAAAATATAAATTAAAAAAAGAGAAGTCAGAATATTAGGTTTCATGTGATATCTCTGTATTCTTAAATGTTAGCTACAATCATTTTAGTGGTGTGAGCCGAACCATCCCTGTAGGGTTGGTGCCTCCCCCAGGTGTTTGAGGATAGTAAGGGGGTGCCTTCCTCTGGCTGCTCTCAGCCCCCACTGCCTCCAGCCCAGCTGCCCCTGCTCACTTAGTGGAACCTGTGGGCAACTGCAAGAGAAAGACAAGGCGGAACCAGCCAGACTGTGGGAGTCCCTGGGTGCAGTTAGGAAGGCTCACACTCAGTGGTGGATATTAAGAGACACCTCTGGAACCTCAGCTCTCCCATCCCCTTCCCTGCTTCCCTTTTCTTTGTAGTACTTATCTCCTTAGTTTATCTCAATTTACTTATTTTGCTGGTCTCTCCCTTCTTGAACGTTAACTCTGAGATGGCAGGTAGTTTTCACTAATTTTTGTTCACTGTTGTATTCCCAGTGCTTCACATACGGTGGACACTGAAAGCTTTGTTGAATGCATGAATGACTTTGGGACAGCAGGGATTGTTCGGGTCACAAGACGGCCAATGAGGCCTCGTGGGCTTCCTGTGCCTAAACCCGCAGCCCCCACCTCATCTTCTGGTGGAGATTTCTGGCTTAGAGCCTGTGGCTGCCACACAGGAGCTTAGCATCAGCTCTGGGGCTGGAGGCCAAGAGAGAAGAGCGGGGACTCTCAGCCCTGGGTAGAAATGCAACAGCTTTTGATGAGGGAGGGACGCTGGCACTTTCCACCCGTCTGGTGAGGCCAAGAAACAAGAGGAGGGGAATCAAATCACGCTGGAGGGGGAGGGCGCCAAGGGCTGCCCAGGAAGGACTTGGTCTGAGGCTGTGTGGTACCCCCGGGGCTCCCTTTCAGCCAGGCCAGGTGCAGCTGGAAGGGCCTTATTGACATCTCAGATCAGCTGTTTGGGCTTCCGGAGGCCTGGGCAGGGTGCCGGAGGGGGGCAGGAATAGGAATGGGGCTGCTGCCAAGCTGGCCTGCTTTCCGATGAATGGTGGCCCGGAACAGGAACAACGGTGAGGAAGGGATGCAGCTCCCACACTGCTTGGGAAATCAGAAGTAAGGGCAGGCAGGCTGAGCACCTGCTGGCTAGTGCTTTGGGGTCCTCGGAAGTCGCTGCTGGCAGGAGTAGGGGAGGAGGAGCATGGGTCCACTGAGCAGTCCCGGGTGGCTTACCCCTCCCCTAGCCAGGGAGGCCGTCAACCTCCCCTACCACGATGGGCCTCCCAGAGGGTGATGCTCTTGGGAGGCAGGGGCTTGCCTCCCTTCAGGATCTCCTCCTGGCCTCTCCCTTCTTTGAACCAGTTGGCTTCATTGGTTCTCTTCCCAGACTGACCAGAATATTCTACTTCTATTTTGGCCTAATCACTTGAGCCCTTCAGGCCTTAGTTTCCTCATCTGCAAAATGGGGACAACAATAAAGTCTACTTCTCAGGGTCATTTTGAGGATTAGATGAGAGCCCACAAGGAAAGCACATAGCATGGTACCTGGCACATAGTAGGCACTCAGGAAGTAGCTACTGTAAACCTTACAGAGGGTGGTTTCCCAAGTGCCGGGGGCAGGATAGCAGGAATGTTGCTTTGCCTTTCACCTGACAGCATTTCTCAATGTTCAGTGTATGTAAGAATCACAGCGGGAATCTGATGCAATGCGGGTTCCCAGACACCACCCTGAGTAATTCTGGTTCAGTGGGTCGGGCTGTCCTGGGAACCTGCTCTTGATCGCTGCCCCGTGATGATTCTATCAGGCCAATTCTGAGGCTGGTGGTCTCTGTTTCACTTTGAGAACTGATGATTGAGCGTCGCTTTTACATGAGCGGGTTCTGCAGTGAACGCCAAACACATTTGTCATCTGTGCAAAATGCCTGGCTCATGGCGACTTAATATCTCACTGACACAGAAGACCGATAGAGGCAATTGGCGGCAACTTAGATTGGCAGCTGTTAAGCAAATTGGAGGTCTGAAGAGCAATTTTCTGGCAATATCAAGATTAGCTATTAATATGTATTAACAGACTGTAAAGGATTCATGGAATTTCACAGTAACTGAACTATGAATTGAGAGGCACCCAAAGAGGTCCATTTATTTCTTAGTCAAGCAGCATGTTTTAACAATACCCGATTTCTCCATTGTTCCAAAGGCACGCATGAGCCATGCTCTGGGCCTTTCGTTTCTGCATGTTGCATGCTTCCAGTGAGAGGAAGGCTGGTCCTCCCCCAAGAGAGAGGTGGAGCTAGTTCTGCAGATGGGGCTCCAAAGCCCTCCTCCTACCCCTGCCTGGAAGACACCCTCGTTCTCTCCCCAGTAACCACCACCACCAAGCCTGGGGCCCCAACGGAGCCATTTCCACCACCTTTACCTTCACCCCTTTGCCTCAACCTGCTCCATCCTGATCATAGTTAATGTCACTATGAACAATGTGAGCTCAACTCATGCCCTCCCTCCAGGGCAGCTGGGATAAGGCCCAGGTATCTCAGTGTCCCAGGCACTTGGTGCCCAATACTTGCAGAATTCAGAAAAGGGTGATTAGCTTTGTGGCAACACATGAACATCTTTGCAGAGTACTAAGAAGATTTTGTTTATCACTTCACTGCCTTTTTCCTCTTTCAAGAAGGACGGCCCATTCTCAATCATAGTGAAAGTGGAACAGGAAGACCATCGTGGAGTGCTAGAGGGACAAGCACGTCTAAATCCATCCATCTGCTGTTCACTGAGGAAGTCAGACATCTCTGCGGCTTCTTAGGCCATGGCCGAGGACATGAAGATACAGATATCCAGGAACAGAGTCACACACAATGGCAGGGACACAGACCCGGGGCCCAGAGGTGAATAAGACACCCTCAATTGCATGACATCAGAGGTATTAATATTCTTCTGCCTGTAGAGCTTTCAAATAATTTTGCATCTCAGAGTCCTTAGAACCCAGAACTTCAGAGTTACAAAATACCTTTGTGATTATCTGATACCACCCTCTGATTTTCAGATGGCAAAACTGAGGCCCAGAGATGAGAGCTCATCCACCCACTCCCAGAAAGCAGCAGAGCAAAGACTGGAACCCAAATATGCCTTTTTGTTGTGCTGCTGGACAGCAGAGCAAAAAGAGGGATTTTCTCCTTCTATCCACCCAGCAGCCCTTGTTGGAGGTGCAGGGATGGATTCCAGGGCAGAGTGAGAGGGCAGGGAGTGTCATCTGTGTGGTGCCATAACATTCCTATGAAATAGAAAAACCATCTTTGCTACCTTCCATCAACCTCAGAGGAGTATTTTGACAACACATGTAGATTTATGATCAATGGAAATTATAAAACTAAAAAGAAGTGAGTGACCCATTTTATTATCCAGAATAGGGAACGTGGGATAGGTCCCCCTGGGCTGGCCTGATTTCAGAGCTCATTAAAGAAAAGTGAGGCAAGAACTGGGAAAAGTCTTTGCATTTTTTTCTTTAAAGGCCAGTGACCCTACTAAAACTAAGTGGTAGAAACTAAATACATTGATTTCAGGATACAATTTTTACAGAAAATCAGTGTCTCCCTGATCTCATTCAATAAATACTGAACAAAAATGGAGAGTATTTGCTTTGATGGAACAAAGGTTTACTCTCCCTAGGATGTCTGGAACTCTGCGGAGATGAGCAAGCTCATCAGCACAGGCTGGAGATCAGACTCTGGAGTCAGGCAGACCAATCTGGATGTAAAATTTGGCAATGGCCCTGACCAGCCCCATGATCTGGGGTCAGTAAGATTCACTCTCCTGGCCTCAGTCTCCTCATCAGTAAAGTGGGAGCTGAGAGAGCACAAACCTCACTGGCTCTTATGAGGTTTAAAGGGATGAAGTCTGCAAAGAACTTACTGTGTCACTTGACCCACAGCTGCTCTTAAGGGACAAGCAATTAATATTCACAGTTAAAAGTTTTTTCTCATGAAAAAAATAGAGTTCTTTACTATGTGGCTGTTTCCATCAAGGGGCAGCAGAGCAGAGTGGTTCAGAACACAGGCTCTGCAGCCAGACAGCCTGGGCTTAAAATCCGGCTCTAGTACTTACTGGCTGTGGACCTTGGGCAAGTTACTTAATCTGAGACTCAGCATTCTCATCTGTAAAATGGGGATGACGGTGCCACGGACCTCCTGTGGTTATAGATGATGGTGAGAATAGCTGACTGTATGCCTGGTGCACGGATGAATACACTGGCCGAGAGAAGTCACTCTACCTTCTAGAAATTCAGGCCAATGTAGTAATGAAAAGATGAGGACACCTTTCCCAACTAGAATTTTGCCCTAAGCTGCTGACAAGGAGGGAGAGTGGCTGATGTCACTTTTCCTTTCACTTTCCCTGCCTCCCCTGGTTGAAGCCCAAAAAGTGATGAGTTCAGGGTGTTCCAGGTGGAGAGGGAGAGAACGCTCAGGCCTGCTCTTGCCCGCACCCACTACCCGGGCTCCTCTGGCACACACCGGCGTTGGTTCCCAACCTCCCACTGACAGCGTCTGCCACCTGCAGGTCCCGCTTTGCCCTGGATGAGCTTCAGACTGGTCAGCTCACCCCTCACCCCTGCCCAGCAGGCTGTCTACCTCCCAGCCTGGTCCTCCGTCTTCAGGAGGGACCCTGCAACCTGGTGGCAGCTCCATCCTTGGCCTGAATCAGTCCAGTGACTGCCAGTTATGCAAACAGGCCACAGCCTGAGGCGCTGGGGGAGCCCAGTTTGAAGCAAGATATGATTTCAGGGAGAAAGCACACATTCTAACAGGGACAAGGAACAGAAAAGATGGCAATGCAGTGTGGCAGCTGGAGTGTAATTTAGTGGCCAAGAGAAGACACTAGTGTCAGATTCCCAGATCTAGCACCTACTAGCTATGAGGTCCGGGCTTTCTCCTAAAGCCTCTATTTCCTCACTGTAAAATGAGCCAAACAGTACTCCCTGCTTTAAAGGTGGCTGTAAAGCTCAGATGAGAGGAGGGAGTTGCACGTGCCCCTGCAGGTAAGTGCTCAGGAAACGCCTCATTGCATCATGGGGCGGGTGTGAGGATGAAGTCAGGAAGGCCAGACCAGGCCCTTGCCTGGGTGTGTGTTTAGTTCATGTTCACTGCTTTTATTAAGCACAGGTGCCATGGACGCATGGCACAGGAGTGCCGTTCCAGCTTGGGAGAGCAGGGAATGATTTTCCCAAGAAAGAAGTATTCATGCAAAGCCCACAGAGGAGGAGTGAGCTGGCGCCGAAGGCCATCTAAGAGAGGATTGGGTGGGGGAACAGGGAGTGCAGCCTTGAGGCGACAGAGAGCGGGGCACCTCTGCGAACCTCAAAGCTGGTCGGGAAGGGGAAGGGCTCCATGGCTGTCCCTGCACAGGCTTTATGCCCAAAATGACAGGGCAGGCCGGTCTGCTGAAGAAGGATGAGCCCGCGGGGTCTGGGAAGGCTGCAGCACCCCCTGACCAGGGCCTTCCAGAAAGGAAGTGTAGCAGACATAATTACACCGGTCCAGCAGGGCGGGACGTTGGGATCCTTTTTTATACACTAAGTGGCATTCTCTGAGCCAAAGCAAAGAACAGAAAGGTTCAAAAAAGCAAGTAGGATCGGGGCCTGGGGGGTGGGTTTTCATGAATGAATCTGCTTCCTGTGGCAACTGATGCCTCCAAGGGAGGCCTCTTGGCTCCAGGGAACAAAGGCATCCAGTGACAGCTGGGGACAGGCCACCCAGCCTTCCCAGGGGACAGCCTCGCCCTCCCTTTCCGCCTGGCTCATCTTTCACCTCCCCATGCCCAGCACATTCTCAGGCCAGGCCCTCCCTGCAAAACTGCCTGGTGGGGGATTCTCCCTCCTCTATTTCTGAAATGTTCTTTTCTTTTGAAAAACATCAAAACCACAGGCGCTCAAGAGGAGTCAGAAATACCTCCACTCTGTGTCTTCCTCCACTGCCCCGAGGAAGGCACTGGGCAAAAGGGTCAATGCGAGATCTGGAATGAAGCAGAAAGATCTAGAAGGCTCTAGATCAACTGATCATTCACTAACTAATCTATGACCCCAAGGTGGCCAGACAAGGGAAAACTACAAACTCACCTGCAGGGCTCTGTGATGCGTCAGGCATCCCACGAAGTACTTGACAGTCACCATCTCAGTTAATCCTCACAATAATCCCCAAAGTGATATCCCCAACTTACAAATGAGTCAACTGAGGCTCAGAGGGCTTGAATTCATGTCCCAAGGCTCAGGCCTTGCAAGTGGTGAGGCCCAGGTTCCACCCTGGCTGTCCTGTTCTGAAGTACATGTCTTTGGCCCCCAAGTCAGCCACCCCCACGATGACCTCCCGTGTGACCTCAGTCATTCCCACGGGGGATGGCAAGGAGCCTGCAGGCTGATCCACAGCCCAGATCTACGTGGCTTCTGGGTACAGGGAAGCCCCTTGGGCAATGATTATTGAACTCAGTTCTTAGTCGGGAAGTTCTGATTAACTTCCTTTCCTTAAAGTTGTTATGGAGTTTTAAAATTCCCATAGCTAATTGCTGAGGCAGAATATCCCATAAAGATCATCTATAAATGGTGTTAAAGGAAAGTCACATTTTATTCTCATAGATACTCCTGGTCTCAGTTGTGTAAGTCACAGGGTGAGGTTTGGCCTTCTTAAGCCCTGAAGCCACACTTGGTTTCTATCAAGACTCACAATGAAGATGCTTTATGCAGCAGAAGGATGCATTTCTCCTATGCTTTCAAAAATCAGATTTTCAGGGCAGTTTATACATGACTTCTAGTACACCTACAGCGCTGTGTGGGGGACTGAAAGGGACTCGAAGCAGTCTCTTTCATGGACACCTGGATGGAGTTCAGAACTGAACCAGCTTCTCAAAGGGCTACTCTAAGACCCCCAACCCTGCCAACTCCGGGTAAATCAGAGTTCACAGGCCAGACTCACAGAGGGCCAGGTGGGCTTCCCGAGTTGTACGTGCAGTGGGTCCCAGCCCAACAGCCCACCACTGCCTCTCTGAGGCTTTGCTACGCTCAGTCAGCCTGGGGTGCTCTTCAAACTGGGCCAGAATCCAGGAGGGCAGGGCATTTTCTCTGAAAGTTATACGAACTTCTAACCAGAAACATCTGGAAATACATGGGACTCTGCTGGATGCCTCTGGGTAAATCTCCAGCTCGGCCAGGCTGGGCATTCTCTGTATGAGCTTGTGAGTCACTGGTCTTTTTCTTATCATCACCCTCTACAAAATGGCCCTCCCCAACCTTCCTTCTCTCTTCTCTTCTCTCTCTCTTCTTCCTTTCCTTTCCTTCCACTGAACATGCCACACGCAGGGCAGTGAATGTCCTGTTCCTTCTCCATGGAATGTTCTTTCCCCAGATTCTGTAGGCACAGGGATGGTATCTTGCAGGGGGAACTTTGGGGAAGGGAGGATTTATACCAGAGGCGAGAAGCATGCTCTCACCTTCCCGTTGGACATTGCCCATGGAATGTCCCACAGGAACCTCCAACTTGGAATGTCTGAGAGTGGTCACTGCCCTCTTCCTGTGTCCCATCTCAGGGAATGGCACTGCTGTCTGCCCAGGTTCCCTGCCAGGTACCTAGGCACCCACTCCCCACAGCCTGGCCACAACCCCGCATCCTGGCAACCCTGGTACAAACCACATCCCCTTGAGCCTCGACTGCTGCTGACAATCCCCTAGTTTCTGGGCTCCAAGCCTGGGTCCCCTCCAGACCAAAACAGAGGCTCTGATCACAGCTCTAACTCTGCTGTCCTTGTGCTTTAAACCCATGACGAGTCCCCACTGCCTTCCATGGAAAGCGCAGATGCCTGAGCCTGGCACCCAGCATCTGCATCCTGGCCCCTGCCAGCCCCTCAGGCTCTGTCTCTCAGCAGCCCTGTCCCATGCAGGGCACTGGACCCCTGTGATTTCTCTAGAAGTACTGCGCTTTCTTGCACCTAAGGGACCTGCCCAGGAGCAAGTCCCCTGCCCCCAAGTCTCTCTGGATTTGCTCACTCTCTTCTTCCCGCTAACTGTGGGGCTTTCAGACCTCACCATATTCCTCACTTCCTCTAAGATGATGTCTCGGATGACCCAGCCCCACCACCAGGCTTGGATCAGTCAGGTATCCCCTTTTCCTGGTGCTCCGCCAGTGATCTAGGCTCATCTCTCTTATAGAACGTGGTATTATTATTTTTACCATTATTGCTGTTATCATTCACAGCACAGCCACCAGCACCACCAGAAGAGCTAATATATTTTGAGTGCCAGGTGCCAAGCATCGTCCTAAGCTCTTGTGTAATCACATTTAGTCCTTCTATCACTCCTACAAGGTAGAGACGTATTATATTTCCATTTTATAGATGAGGCAACTGAAACCCAGAGAGGTGGTCATTTAAGTCACAAAGCTAGCCGGTGGTGCAGCCAGGATTTGAACCCAGGTAACTGGACTCTGGAGCTTACTCTCTTCTCACAACATACTGTAACTGTCTGTTTACCCATAGATCCCTACCTCTGCTCCCTGAAGTTCAGGACTGTTGCCTTGCTCATCCTGGAATCCCCTGTGTTGAGCACCATGCCTGCCCCCAGAGCAGGAGCTCAAAAAATGTTTGCAGAACAGAAGCAAACCTGGCAATTTTGCAGTTTGCCCTGATGAGGGCATGTGGTGCCTGGCAGGGTTCACGTAAACAACACGATGATGATACAGAATCACTGTGTTATTTATCAGATAAACGCAGGCCCCACCCTTGTCTAAGCATCCCAAACCCTCCTCCTCTGGATCTCCATATTATCTGTCTTTTGTCTGTGTTCTCTTGCTGTTACTTTGCCATAAAGCTCCCAGGAGGCAGAGCGCCAGTTCTCACAAATCCTCCTCACCCTGGGGCACTTCCCTGAGTGCCTACCAGGAAAGGCTGTTGGTGGCTGACTGGGTATCCCATGGGGTGAAGGGTGGAATGAACTACAGGGCAATAACCCCAGGTCCTCATTCCTCCCCATGGCAAAGTAAGAAACATGGGACTGGAATATCACAGGCCACCCCGTTTTCCACCTGTGACCGTATTCAGAACTAGGGGCGGGAGAAACAGCAGGCATTTGGGTCCGGATCTTAAGGTCCAGCCCTGCCCTTGTTAGCAGCACAGCCTTGGGCAAGCTGACCTCTCTGAGCCCCAGTTTCTGCAACTATACAACGGGCCCGGGGTGAGATTTAAATGAATGACATTCATCTTGTGCCTACACAGGGCCCGGAACTGCTGGTCCTTCAGGAGGGATCGTGCCCCTGTGATCCTGAGGCCAACCATCTTTCTGATGAATTTTGGGGCTGAATTTTCCTCAAGCAGCTCTGTACCTCCAACTATTTCAAGATAGTTGGATTTAAAATTTTTAAATAAGAAAAATAAACAGAAAAGCACGTCCACTTCTGCAGAGAAGCATGGGCTGGGCCTGAGCAAACACCTCCCTGTGCCCCTCTGGCGCCAGTGCTGACCAGGTACCTCTCAATAAGCAGCTCTGCTGGCGGAAGCTGGCCCTCCTGGCAGGGGAAGCCCTGCTGCCTTCTTTGGAGGAGCAGTGCCCAGCCAAAAGCTACAGAGATTGCTGGTGGTGGCGGGGAGGAGGCATAAGCCCACATTCCTGGGCAGCCCCCACAGGCACACACTTTTGCCAGGGCTGGGCCATGGGGGCATGGCAGCCATCATGGCATCATCAGAAGGCTCAAAGCGCCCCCCGCTGGCTTTTCAAAGAAACCAGACCCATCACCCAACTCCTCCTACCTTACAACGTCAAAAGCAGGGTTCCCCTCCTCAGAGGCAGTATAGATAAGATCAGTGCAGCCAACCAATCTCCCTGGGTTGAATCTGGTTCTGCCACCTACTTAATGATGTGTGATCTTAGGCAAGTTACTTCACCTCTCTGTGCCTTAACTTCCTTATCTATAAGGTAGGGATAGTATTAGGTTGGCGCAAAAGTAATTGCAGTTTTACCATTACTTTTGATGACAAGAACTACAATTACTTTTGCACCCACCTAATGGAAGTACCAACCTCACAGAATATGCAAAGCATTCAGAAGACTGCCTGAAACACAGTGTGTGTCAAAGTGTTGGCTGCGACTCCCAACAACTGATCCTGGTTCAAGGGTTCCATCATGCAGCCCTGGGAGGGAGGGTTGAACACGGGGGAACTTGCTGGGTTTAAAGGTGCCCCCAGAATCAGGCAAGGCCCTTTCCTGATACCCACAGTCAGTGTTACTGCCTCCCACAAAGGCCTTATAAATGTCCCCTTTCCTCTTTCTTCCATGCCATGGGGAAATCTTGGATCTACTCTGAGGTCTTTTCCCTGTGGGATCTGGAAAGCTAGACTCCAGATTTTGCATCTAGCAAAAACAGTCTGGCCTCATGCCCTCCACAGCTACATTCAAGATATGTCTTATCTACATCATCTTCCAGTTAAAGAACCCGGTGGCAGAACAGCATTGTGGGAAGAGGACACACCCTGGAGACAAGGTGCATGGGTGGAATCCCAGTGCGTGACCTTGCACACATCACCTCACTGGTCTGGGCCTCAGTTTCCCCATCTCTCATAGGGCTGGTCATACCTACTACACAAGGGTGTGGAGCAAAGATTAAGTGAGACGATGCATGTCAAGTTCAAAGCACAGGGCTGACGCCCTCTTTGTGAACTACATGTAAGGAAATAAGTGCTTAAAAAAAATACTTAATACTTAGTTCCAGAAAGAAAGCTTCCAATTCCGATGTCACT